>NC_000008.11:30769193-31072223 GCF_000001405.40 Homo sapiens | reverse complement strand
CATCCTCCTACTTAAAACATGTTCTTCACTTGGCTTTCTGCACACCACACCTCCTAATTTCCTCGATGTCTATGGCAACTCCTTTGGTGTCCCCTCCTCCACGCAAATGTTCAACACTAAGAGTTCCTCGGGATTCTCAGTCCCAACTCTCTTAACTCAAACTGTCCTCTGTGCTACAGCCAACACAACTAATTCTTGCACCACCTCCACTTTGCTGTCTTACAGGTCTCCCTCCCTTAACATACCTAAAATCAACTGTGTGACAACGCATCCCAAAATCTTGCTCTTCCTCAATGCTTTTCATCCCTGTTGCTTATGCCAACAACACAGGAATGATCCTTGACATGTGTCTTTCATCATTACCTCAAATTCCATTGGTTTATTAAATGTATTTTGAGGCTGGGCATAGTGGCTCATGCTTGCTCTATTAAATGTATTTTGAGGTCAGGTGTGGTAGCTCATGCCTATAATTCTAGCACTTTGGGAGGCTGAGGTGGGCGGAAGACTTGAGACCAGGAGTTCGAGACCAGCCTGGCCAACATGGCGAAACCACATCTCCACTAAACACACAAAAATTAGCTGGGCGTGGTGGCAGGCACCTGTAATCCCAGTTACTCAGGAGGCTGAGGCAGGATAATCACTTGAACCCAGGAGGTGGAAGCTGCGGTAAGCCAAGATCGCATCACTGCACTCCAGCCTGGGTGACAGAGTGAGACTCAAAAAAAGAAGAAAAATGAATTTTGAACCTGTCAACTTCTCTCCATTCTCAACACAATTAACCGACTCAAGTTGCCATTACTTCTCACTTGGATTATTGTCACAGCCTCCCAAAAGATATTCCTACTGTGACTCCTGCCTTCCTCCTATATCCGTTTTTTATTCTAGAGCCCAAGTTCTTATTTTTTTAATGTAATTCACTTCACTGCTGTGTTTAAAACTCTCAGTCACTTCGATTGCTCTTGGGAGGAGATATAAACTCCTTACCATGGCCCATCTGCTTTCCTTTTTCTGCTTTGCCTTCATCCGCCCAGCCCTATTCAATGTTCACTATACTGAATTACTTTCAATTACCTATAGATACCATAATTTCTCTCACCTCTGTAACTTGGCACCTGTAATTTCCTGTACCCATTCTTTCCTATACTCTTCAGCTAGCTAACTTTTTTTTTTTTTTTTTTCTGAGACAGAGTCTCGCTCTTGTGCAGGCTGGAGTGCAATGGTGCAATCTCAGCTCACTACAACCTCCACCTCCCAGATTAAAGCGATTCTCCTGCCTCAGCCTCCCAAGAAGCTGGGATTACAGGTGCCCGTCACCACACTCAGCTAATTTTTTGTATTTTTAGTAGAGATGGTGTTTCACCATTTTGGCCAGGCTGGTCTCAAACTCCTGACCTCAGGTGATCCACCCACCTCGGCCTCCCAAAGTGCTAGGATTACAGGCGTGAGCCACTGCACCTGGCCTTAGCTAACTCTTGCTCAGGTTTCAGGTCTGGCTTTTACCTGCACTTTCTCCAGGAAATATTCTAGAATATTTCCCCCAATGTGTCAGATGCCTCTCGGTGTGTCAACTACAGCACCTTGTTTTCCCATGACATAAGACTCATCTCCCTACACTGCAATTGCTTTCTTCACTCATCTATATCCCCAATAAAACTGTAGGCCCCTCAGGAAACAGAGTATGCCTGGCTTGTTCACTACGGTATTCCCATATCGTAAAATGCTCAACAATATTTAATAAATGAGTCAATGTATCTTTAACTACTATATCATTTGGTGTTTTTAGCTACCATCTTGGGAATAAGTCAATGGGGAAACAATGTGTAAATATCCTTTTATGTTCTAATCTTTTTATCCTTTAACAAGAAGAAAAAAACAGTCTAATAATAAAAAGCAAAAGAGAAAAGTGGTCATTCGAAAATATCATCCATATGTACATGAAGAAAATAAGAGAACAGTGATGCTGATACTTCTGGCTGAATAACAGAAAGGAAGGAAGGGAGGAAGGAAGGAAAAAAAGATGGTAATCTTAGTTATTAGGTTGGTGCAAAAGTAATTGTGGTTTTTGCCATTAAAAATTACCAAAACCACAATTATTTTTGCACCAACCTAATACAATTCACTGGAATCTGAGTCAAGATGTCACAATATACTCACACATATAATGTAATAAAGGGGAAAAAAAGTGAAGGTCAAATAATGTAGCATTACAATGACAAGTACACAGATACCAGGACTTCCAGTACTGTGTTATTAATATATGTTACTTTAGTGAAAAATATCATAAACATTCCTTGGAAGCATTTTCATCAAAATTGCACATGTAACAAAATTGTACATGTAACCTACATGCAATTCCACAACCATAAAGCCAAAAAATCATAACTCTCCCCTGTTGAATTTTAGTTTTATTATGAGTTAAGTAAGTTCTTATATACTGTTTCCCTAATCAGCTTAAAAAACCGATCACCTGCCTCAGTTAATTAACATACAGTCATTCCTCTGTATCCTTGAGGGATTGGTTCCAGGAACCTCCCTCCCACTGATATCAAATCCATAGATGATCAAGTCTCTTATATAAAATGCTGCAATATTTGCATATAATCTATACACATTGTCCTGTATACTTTAAATCATCTCCGGATTTCTTATAATACCTTATAAAATGCCTACGCATCACTTCATTCATATAGATTCAATGTGGTACTCCATGCAAGAAATTCAACTTTTCCTTTTTTAAAACTGTGAATTTTTTTTTTTGGCTTGAATGTTCTCAATCTGTGGTTGGTTGAATCCACAGATGCAGAACCCAGGGATATGGAGACTGACTCTAAGTTACAGCCACAAGACCTCTGACTACAGAGAACCAGCAGGCATTCATAGGAAGTGGCTCTCCAGGGAGGAGAAGTAAGAATAAAGACTCTTCTACCTTAACATATAAAGGAGGGCCTGCCACCCACAGAGGCTCAACGACAATTATAAAGAATATCATATCATTTTATATGAGGCAGTCATGCCATATTTTTAAGAGCATTTAGCAAAATGGCCTAATTTAATTAACATCTTAACAAACACAATCATTTAAAATCTCCAAAAGGAAGCTACGAGAATAGTGATAACTTTATATCAATACAGATGCTTCGAATAGTTTGTCCCTTTAAGTCTTCACAATTATTCTATAAAACGGTAAAACGGACATTATGCTAGTATCTACATTCCATGTTTGGAGAAACAGGTACATCCCAGGTCACATGGCTGGGATTCACATTGGTCTGTGCAACAAAAAGCCTGGGCTCACCCACTCTACTACGTGGCTCCTTCTGCTCTCACTGGCTTATCAAGACCTCTAAAAACAGCACTGAGGTTGGATGACATGACCATTATTTTTGGAGAAAAATGACAGAAGAAAATTAGAAATGTAAATCAGTATGTTAGAAAGCACTGTAAAATGACCAACAATATTTAATAAATGAATAAATAGATCTTTACCTACTTTATCACTTAGTGTTTATTAGCTACCATCTTGGGGATAAGCCATCTTACATGTTTTAAAGCATTATATAGAAAGCATTTTAAATACTTATAGCAAGGATGTATAATCTCCAGACTAGGAGAAAGCTGGTTGTGTCACTGCAATAAGAAAGCCACAAAGCCCCAACTCTAGAAGCCAAATACATAGCAATGCTACAAAGTAAAAGAAGTAAGGGCTGCTTTGCCACAAGTAACAAAGATGAAACACTCATCTTGGGCCCTGATGGATCCCACCCTAATGTCAGGACTGCTCAGACATTCAAGAAGTTATAGTACTAAATGCTTTGCAAATATGTGAATATTGCCTTTTTTGGAGATAAACCTCACAAAAGAGTGAATTCACATTTTATTTATGGATCTTAACATACCTTTATTTATAGCAAACCTTTGCACAGTATCATCCAAAATCTCTAAATTTCGGTAAATAATAAAACCAGCCTATAAAAAAACAGAAAAATTTAAAAAGTATGCTAAAGATCACCGAAATAAAACAGTAAGTCCCATCTTCAGAAAAATCGAAGAGAATGATTCACAAAGCACCCAAACATGGAATTCAACCTATTATGTGACACAAATATCAATATGTCCTCATTTAATAATCATACCAATTGTGAAAATTGAGAAAGGTGCCTGAGCCTTAAAAGTTTGTTTTCACTTTTTCACACTCAATATTACACACAATATCCAAATAAAATAACTTAAAATGGAATCTAACAAAATGCAATCTAGTAAGAGAAATCCTACTTAAATCAGCTGAGAATGTTAGTCTCAAGTTTGGCGGTATCTTTTAAAGGAAAATTATCATCCAATTTCCCTAACAAAAGTGAATTGTTTGCTGGTTACAATTCAAAGGAGTTTCCATTCCTTTGATAGATGCAAAGGAGAAACAATAAAATATTCATCTACAAATGAAAGCATGAGTTAGGAGAAAACAAATTCACTGTGGAATAAAATACATTTCTTAAAAAACACACAATAGTGCTATATATAAAGATAAGCCCAGATTTCACTACATACAAACATGTAAATATAAAAATATATCTAATGGCAGCAACAAGCTAAATTTGGAGGCAATTTTTCTAAAATTTCACCACATTTTATATATAAGAAATAAGGCCAGTTTTAAAATAGAAACTGTACTATAATTATTTTCATTCTGAATTGTTTATATATCAAATCCATCATCAGTACTATTTATGCTTGCTCAGCCTGGATTTATTAGCCTTTCATGTTTTCAGCAAGTTCACATTTTTTAACATACAAATTAGACATTAATTTGGCTTCATGACAATGAAAATAAACTAGCATTGAACAATCTGTTGATTGGTACTTGCTAATTAATATCGAAAATGAATAGTTTCACTAAATGTCTTCCTAAGCATTTTTCAATGCCAAATTGATATAAAATATTTTGGTAGAGTTTCTGCCACTACTATAATAAAATTTTTCTAAAGTCATTTATAATAATGTTTTTAAAACACATCACAATTTCTAAAGATCTTTAAGCACGTACATAAGCATCAGTGGCTGCATACAGTTTCTGGTCCTCAGTGAGAGGAAATTTACTCCAATTGCTACAGCGGATAGACTTGTCTTTCAGGAGCTGTTTACCTAAGAGGTGTTTAACCAGACTGTTAAGGCTCCAGGTCTCTGTGCATTTCAGCTAGAAATGATGAAAAAGCAACACAGTAAAATCAGTTCCTGTTTTCAGGTATTACCAAATGATATCAAATGAACATACCACAAATAAAATTAGGAAATGTTATACCAAAATACAACCCACAGATAGCCTTCAACAAATTCCCTGTCACTAAAAGCCTCATATGCAGTCCACATTGTAAGAATTTAATTCTAGAATTTCCCTAATGTAGGTATTAAAAATCTTGGACTTTAAAAATATTGTTCATGAAAAAAAGTTGGTTAGTAGGCTTTCTACCTCCCAGCCAAATGAATACTTGGCTAAATATGAGAATTTAATTTAAGAACTTCATTAATAAAATATGTGAAATACAGGTGATGGAATTGATAGCCAAACTTCCACTAAGAGCACCGTATCACAAGAGCTCCATTATGCTCTCCCTTAAAAAAAAAAAAATTTTTTTTTAAGTTACTGGTATACATGGATTAAAAATATACACCTAAAACACAATTTTACATTTGCAAATATATGAAAGTGAAAGAGTACCAAGAACTGGGAGGAAGGAAAAGAGAAGGCTTGCTTAAAGAAACTGTATGTAATCCCAGCACTTTGGGAGACCGAGGCAGGTGGATCATGAGGTCAGGAGATCAAGACCATCCTGGCTAACACGGTGAAACCTCGTCTCTACTAAAAAAAATACAAAAAATTAGCTGGGTGTGGTGGCACGCCTGTAGTGCCAGCTACTCGGGAGGCTGAGGCAGGAGAATCGCTTGAACCCAGGAGGCAGAGGTTTCAGTGAGCCAAGATTGCACCACTGCACTCCAGCCTGGGCGACAGAGCAAGACTCTGTCTCAAAAAGAAAAAAAGAAACTGTCTGCCGGCCAGGTGCGGTGGCTCACGCCTGCAATCTCAGCACTTTGGGAGGCCGAGGCAGGCAGATTATCTGAGGTCAGGAGTTCGAGATCAGCCTGACCAAGATGGAGAAACCCCGTCTCTACTAAAAATACAAAATTAGCTAGGCATGGTGGTGCATGCCTGTAACCCCAGCTACTCAGGAGCCTGAGGCAGGAGAACCACTTAAACCCAGGAGGTGGAGGTTGCAGTGAGCTGAGATCACACCATTCCACTCCAGCCTGGGCAACAAGAGCGAAACTCCACCTCAAAAAAAAAAAAAAAAAGAAAAGAAACTCTATGCCAAGACATGGATTAGAACTAAAGGCTTTCCATTGTGGAAAACTGTGTAGCAATTCCTCAAAGACCTAAAGAAAGAAATACCATTTGCCCCAGCAATCCCATTACTGGGTATATACCAAAAGGAATATAAATCATTCTGTTACAAAGACACATGCACGCATATGTTCACTGCAGCACTATTTAACAATAGCAAAGACATGGAATCAGCCTAAATGCCCATCAATGATAGACTGCATTAAAAAAAATGTGGTACATATACACCATGGAATACTATGCAGCCATAAAAAAAATAAATAAGATCATGTCCTTTGCAGGGACATGGATGGCACTGGAGGCCATTATCCTTAGCAAACTAACGCAGGAACAGAAAACCAAATACCATATGTTCTCACTTATAAGTGGGAGCTAAATGATAAGAAAACATGGACACACAGAGGGGAACAACACACACTGTGGGAGGTGGAGGGTGGGAGGAGGGAGGAAGAAAATCAGGAAAAATAACTAATGGGTACCAGGCTTAATACCCGGGTGATAAAATAATCTGTATGATAAACCCCCATGACACAAGTTTACCTGTGTAACAAACATGCACATGTACCCCGATCTTGAAACAAAAGTTAAAAATAAATAAATAAATAAAGGTTTTCATTAAAGAACATTCACTTGGAACTTTTTTATTGCTACAAAAACATTATATAACAAGCTTTTTCAAAAAAAAATCTAACATTCAGATAGAAAGTACATTCTGTGTAACACAAAATAATCTTCATCATGAAAATTATATATATATTGCTTTTACCTTTTTATTGGCAACATCTGTCAACTCCACAAAATTCTTCAATTTGATATCAAAGTCACGTAGAAGTTTCCACTGATCTCCTTCAATTCCTACACCTGCCTTTTTAACTGCTTTATTTTCAAGCAACATTTTTAATCCCTGGGGAAAAACTGTAACATTTTCTTGTTATTTCCATAAGTTCTGTCAAGTATGATGGATTTATGTCCTACTTCTTATACATACCATGTTTATGTGTAAATTTGTATTTAACAGTAATTTTAAATTCAGAAACACATTGACCTTGAGTATTTCTTAACTAAAGCAAACAGTCCTGATTGATAAATGACAAGAAAAAATAATCAGTTTGAATGCCACTCCTGCTAGCAATAGCAGTACATATCCTGGTCATTTAGCCTCTTAAAATTTCAGTTTTCTCTTCTCTAAAACAGAAAAAATGTCAATGCCTCACAGGTATGTTGTGAAAATTAAATAAAACAAGGAATGTGAGTGAATCAGGTAGAACATAAATACTTAAATAAATTTGAGATAATGAGAGAACGGCCAGCTAATAAAAGAACTTAATTTTATAGGGATAAAGTTGACATATTACAATTATCAGCCATATAAAAATGAAATGTAGAGATACCAACCTGACATGGAAGAAACGTGGAACAAGTAACATTTGCTCTCAGAAACACACAACTGAATTAGTGCAACTTTGCCAAGTTTCCCTCTATTGTATAATGGTGGCCACTCCATGTCAAATCCCACCACATCCCCATCTGATAGACTCATGCTAAAGTGAGAAAAATAGTGTAAATTAATTTATGTTAAAATTTTAAACTTCTGCATAACTAAAGACATAATTCAAAAATTAAAAGGCAACCACAGACTGTTCAAGTTATCTGGAGCACATACAACTGACAATGAACAGCCAGAAAATATGTAAAATTTCTTGAAAAATAAGTAAGAAAAGACAAATTATTCAGCAGAAAAATGGAGAAAAATATGAACAGGTAATTCCCAAAAGAAAATCCAAATGACCAATAAATCCAAAAGATATGGCCAGGTATGGTGGTTTACCCCTGTAATCCCAGCACTTTGGAAAGTCAAGGCAGGAGGACTGCTTGAGACTAGGAGTTTAAGACCAACCTGTGCAACACAGCATGTCTCTACAAAAAAAAAAATTAAAAATTAGCTGGGCTTGGTGGCACACACCTGTAGTCCCAGCTACTCAGGAAGCTGAGGCAGGAGGATCACTTGAGTCCAGGAGTTCGAGGTTAGCGTGAGCTATGATCGCATCACTGCACTTCAGCCTGGGTAAAAGTTCAAGACCCTGTCTCTAAGAAAAACAAAAATAAAAAATAAATTTTAAAAATCCAAAAAATATGTGAAGACACTACTTCTCACTAGAAGTCAAAGAAATGCAAACTAAGTCTACGTGATTTCACATCTATCTGATTGGTAAAAATTAAGTTTCAGAATACCACGTGTTAAGAGGATATCTATCGGTGGTTCATGTATAAATTGGTAAAATCCTTTTGGAAAAAAACTTTGACAACGACAATATCTAGTTGAAGGTGCATAAACACTATGACCTGGCAAGTTTTGTCACAAATAAATGAAACCCTCAGATGTGTACAGACATGTTTAAGAATATGCATTGCAACACTGTTCCTACTGGCAAAAATTAGAAACAAACTAAATTTCCATTAACAAGAGAATGGATTGAACCAACTGTTGCATAATGAAACATAGTAAGATATAACAGTTAAAATGGAACTACACAGATCAACAAGAAAAATTCTCAAAAACGTAGTGTTGAGTAAAAAAGACAAGTTACAGAGTACACAGTTTGTTAGCATTTTTTAAAGTTTTTAAATGGGCAAAATAACATTATATAATATTTTCAGACATAAAATTATTAAGTACTATTATAAAAAACATGTGAGCAGCCAGTGGCTCACACCTGTAATCCCAGTGCTTTAAGTAAGAGACCAAGGCAGGAGGATCACTAGAAGCCAGGAGTTCAAAACTAGCCTGGGCAACATAGTGAGACCCTGTCTTTAAAAACTATAAATAAAAAATTAGCCAGGCATGGCAGCACACACCAGTAGTTGTAGCTACTTGAGAGGCTGAGGCGAAAGGATCACTCGAGCCCATAAGGTTGAGGCTGCATTGAGTATGATCTCGCCACCGCACTCCAGCCTGGATAACAGAGCAAGACCCTGTTTTTATTAAAAAGAAAAAAAAATGCACAAAACTCATAGAAGTTATCTCAGAGGGGCACAGAGGGAGAATCAGAAAGAACAAACACGGGGCTTCAGCTGTATTTTACTGTTTCATTTCTTAATAAAGAACTGAAGAAAACAGGCCAGGCGCAGTGGTTCACGCCTGTAATCCCAGCACTTTGGGGGGCCAAGGCAGGCAGATTGCTTGAGTCCAGGAATTTGAGACCGCCTGGGCAACATGGCAAAAACCCCATCTCTATAAAAAAATATATATATAAATTATCTGGGCATGATGGTGCATGCCTGTAGTCCCAGCTACTCAGGAGGCTGAGGCAGGAGGATCACTTGAGCCCAAGAGGCGGAGGTTGCAGCGAACCAAGATCACACCACTGTCACTCCAGCACGAGCAACAGAGTGAGACCCTATTAAAAAAAAAAAAAAAAATTGAAGAAAATTAAGATTTGATAAAGTGGGAGGAATATGCATATCTATTATATTGTTATCTATTGTTGTTGATACTTGCCTATTTAATAGTTGTTAAAAATTGAAACTATATTTAAAAAATAAAAGAAACTCAGCTTCTGCTTCAGGCCAACATGATATAACAAGGGAGGCCAGACTCACCCTCCCACCACAAACAAATCTAAACTTGGACAAAACATATAAAACAACTGTTTCAGATACTAGACAACAGGCAGTACAGGACTATGATCTCTAAGGGAAGGGAAATGAAGGGTGAACCTTACAGTTGCCCCACATTCTTCCTGGGACCCATTGCAGACAACAGAACAGGGAGAAGAATCCCAAGGAGAGCACTGAGTTGGGGAGACAGAGTTCAGAGCCCTGGAAGCTGAAGGACCTGGAACTCACGGGGCAGAGTTCTGGAGAGGAGGAAGCTAGGCAGGAAAAGAGCTCCAGAAATCTCCCTAAGGGACTCCTTTGGTCTTTGCAGAATACGAAGACAAGCATGCATAGACTAAAACTCTATGGGGCTGGGCAAACAACCATAAGCTGAATGATTCTTAGGACGGACTTACACAAAGGTAAGAGGCATTAACGTTCTGAAAAGTCAGAGAAGAGATCGTTGATCACCAGAGGCAGTCTACAAAGACTCCAGAAGGGTCACATCTTATTATAGGGCTAAATTACCTTTAGACTAAAGGCAAACGTAGACTTTCCCTGATCAAGCTTGAAAACAAGCTTCAAAACATAAAGTTGATCTTCAGGTAACTTAGATGTCTGACAAAGTTCCTTTCTTTAAAGGAAAACAATAAAATCTAACATTCCACAAAGTAAGATCACAATGCCTAATTAAAAAAAAAAAAATTAACAGCTGTAGGAATAAACAGGAAAATATAACCCATAATCAGGAGAAAAATCATCCAATAGAAAGAAAAAAACCCTAGAATAATGGAATTAACAGACAAGTACATTAAAACAGCTATTAAAAATATGCTAAATATGTTCAAGAATTTTGAAAGAAACATGAATAATGAGAGCCAAAATGGAAAAAAAAATTAAGAACCAAATGGGACTTCTAGAGATAAACAAAATATGTAGTATCTAAAAAAGAAATTCACAGGATGGTATAAACAGACCAGACACTACAGAAGAAAAAAATATAAGTGAACTTGAAGACAGGAAACAAAACTATTCAAGCTATTCAAAATGAAGCACAGAAAGAAAAAAAGGAAGAAAGAAGAAAAGACTGAAAGGAAAGAGCCTCAGTGGCCTGTGACACAGTATCAAGCAATCAAACTTGTGTGTACTAAGAGTCCCAGAAAGAGAAAAGAATAACAGGATGGGAGGAAAAAGGATCTGAAGACATTTTTCAAATTTGATTAAAGGTATAAGCCCACACAGATCAAAAAAATTCAACGAACTCCAAGCCAAATAAACACCAACCACATTACACAAGGGCACATCATAATCAAATTGTTGGAAACCTGTGGTAGCAAAAATTTAAAGTGTCCAGAGGAGGGGAAAGCAAACACAAAAACTCTGCCTGCCTTTTATAAAATACATATAAGTCATCAAAACTACAATTCTTCAAGTCACTTGTGCTAATTGCCTTCAGATATGACATACTACAGCAATGCTGAAGGTAAAATGGTAGAGTTAATATGTAATCATAAACAACAGATTTTACCTCCTCTGTGAAACTAATTCAGTATAATGAGTCCCAAAGTGGCCAGATAACTGTAGTAAAAGTAAAAACACTTGAATGTTATTTCTAGCTTATATCTATACCAGTAGAAGACCATTAATAAATAGCTTAACCTACCTCTGCCTTTTGTTTGTTTGTTTGTCTGTTTGAGACAGGGTTTTGCCCTGTTGCCCAGGCTGGAGTGCAATGGTGTGATCAAGGCTCACTGCAGCCTCAACCTCTCGGGCCCAAAACCTAGGCCTCCTGAGTAGCTGGGACCACAGACACCTGGCTAATTTTTAAATTTTTTTGTAGAGATGGGGGTCTTACTATGGCTGGTCTCAAACTCCTGGGCTCAAGCAATCCTCCTGCCTTGGCCTCCCAAAGTGTAGGGGTTATAGGCATGAGCCACTGTGCCCAGCACCTCTGCTTTTTTTAACCCAATATATAACAAAATTTTTTTTTTAAAAGACAGGTATAACCACCTCGGAAAATATCTGAATGAATTCCTTATTACTTGTTTTATGCTTTGAGAGCCTTAGATTGCACTATTGCAGTCCTAATTTTACAAGGCAACCTTTAAAAGTACTAACAGACATTTCTAATGTTTTTTGTTTGTTTGTGGGGTTGTTTTTTTGGATTTTTTTTTTTTGAGACGGAGCCTCACTCTGTCGCCCAGGCTGGAGTGCAGTGATGCAATCTTGGCTCACCGCAACCTCTGCCTCCCAGGTTCAAGCGATTCTCCTGCTTCAGCCTCCTGAGTAGCTGAGACTACAGGCGCACGCCACCACACCTGGCTAATTTTTTGTATTTTTAGTAGAGACGGTGTTTCACCATGTTAGCCGGGATGGTCTCAATCTCCTGACCTTGTGATCCACCTGCCTCGGCCTCACAAAGTGCTGGGATTACAGGCCTGAGCCACCGCGCCTGGCCTCTAATGTTTAGTTAGAACATTTTTTAAGGATCATTTGCTACAACTGTTACTAATTACACACAACAGAGCCGATCATAGCCATTATTCAATATTACTATGTTGATATTTTTAATGAAATATAAAGGTGCATTTAAAGGTTAAATAATTTTTGCACTTTTTCCCTAAATTGGTAAAATAAACACAGTATGTTCAGTAGCTCTATATATAACATCTTAAGTACTGAAAGTTAAAAAACTGTCGTGCTCGCTTCAGCAGCACATATATTAAAAAAGTTAAAAAAAAACTGTCTGAAGTAATAGAAAAGCTTATGAATGAACAAACTGACAGATTACAAATTAATTCAGTGACTTTTATTTGAAATGTAAAACTTGGTGATAGTGTATACATAGAAATAATTATCTATTGAACACACCTCACCTGTAAAACTCAGTATATTCACAAACATTACCATAATAGTACCTTCTAAGGGTCCAAATTCAAATAAAATCAGGAAATTCAAATCACTTACCTAATATCTTCTGACAGGAAAGAGCAATCACTAGCATCGTAACTATACACAATGGATCCAGTGAATTCTAAGAAGGGGAGGTCATCTTCAAAAACACTCTTCCGAACACATGCCTTGAGTTTAGTAAATTTCAAAACAGGCACAAAGTTCACATCAAATAACAAATGTTCACTGAAATAATAAAGTTCACTGAAGCATTCAATTTATAGTTCTAAGTTTTATCAATTAATGTTTTATAAACTAATGAAGTCATAAAGAAAACTTAACAAAGAAAAAACCATCCCATTGTGAAATTATTTCTCCTAACAAGTTTATTTTCAAACCTCTAATCCCATTTTCATAAAAGCATTTATTTTCCTGAGTTTTTTCTCTGGTAATTATATTCGTATTACAACTGTAATAATAATGTTGCCTTAAAATGCTGAAGACCGGCTGGCAAACAAAAAATTCAACAAAGTTAATGTTGTCTAAATTATCTGAACTAGAACAAACTGGTAAAGTCAACCCGAAAAAGAGAAAATATACAGTAAGAATTCTCATTTTGTAAACCCAATTAAAGTTTATTCCAGTTTACCCTTTCAACAACTAGGTCCTGGTGCATTTAGACAACAGCAACTCTGACCTAAACAATGACTTGAAGTTTACAAGTAACAACTGACTCTTTGCACAGTCAAATATAAATTAAATTTCTCACCCAAAAGAATAGTCAATGAACAACATACCTTTCTTTCTTCTACAGCACATCTTTTATTCTGCACATTCATCCATTCAGGACATTTCCGCTGCTGTGCAGTTGTTTCCAATTTTTTTTCACTCATCTTTGAAATGTCCTATTTGCAGAGTCCAAAAAACAATGTCTTCATGGGTAAATACAAAACAATATCTGAAAGAAAACTGAGAGGTAGTACTGTCAATATGAATGAAAACCAAACATACATATTTAAAGTAAGTTATGACACCTAGGTCCAAGCATAGGTTATAAGAGCTAGAATCACAAAACAAAACAGATACAATATGCTGCATCTAATAATTATACATTTAGTATTTCTTCCTCTTAAAACAAATCAGTCATTTTAATTGACTTGTATAATTCTGGTAGTTTCGAAATTCTATTATTTTATGACTTTGAGTCTTTCTCAAGAATAACCTTACCTCACTATCAATGAAAATCCTTGGGTATATGAATCATTATGAATTCCTGACATTTTAAATTTTCTACATGATTATTCTGTCTTAAGATCTAAGTAAATTCAGCAAAACTATTAGATTTATTCACAAATCTACTCAAAGACTTAATTTTGAAGACAGATAATAGCTCTTCTATATTAAGGATTTTTATTTTGCTCCTCACCTAGTAAGTGAACAAATTTCCCTAAGAATGAGTTTTTTAGAGGATTTTTTAAAAATCTGTTAATATCTTTGAGGGCACTCCTCAATGTAAACCAAAATTCAAGTATAATTAAAGAAAATACAGTGAATAAGAATCTCTCAAACGTGGTGTGTGCATTTAAAAAAAAAAAACAGAACATATTTGTTTTGTTAATAGTAAAATGGATCCGTACCCTGATATGACTCATACTCAAATAAAATAGCCTTAGTTCAAGGCTTAGTTCTTAGCAAATTCCTCAAACTTCAACTTTAGTTCCTATTTGTAATAAGGAGGTAGCAGTTTTTTTGTTTTTTGTTTTTTGTTTTGAGACGGAGTCTTGCTGTGTCGCCCAGGCTGGAGTGCAGTGGCACGATCTCAGCTCTCTGCAAGATCTGCCTCCTGGGTTCATGCCATTCTCCTGCCTCAGCCTCCTGAGTAGCTGGGACTACAGGCGCCCGCCACCAAGCCCGGCTAATTTTTTGCATGTTTTAGTAGCGACGGGGTTTCACCATGTTAGCCAGGATGGTCTCAATCTCCTGACCTCGTGATCCGATCGCCCACCTCAGCCTCCCAAAGTGCTGGGATTACAGGCATGAGCCACCACGCCCGGCCCAGGAGGTAGCAGTTTTTAATGTAACACTGAAGAGTCTCATGATGAAACAGGATGTTAATTACATTAACTACTTATGATTTGAGGGTAGTCTGTCGTATTTGATATTTAACAATATAAATTCTGACAAAATTAAACAATATGCAGCAACTATCCCAAGCATGAATCAGAAACTGAAAATACTGATAATTTATGGAACAAAAAATTTTAAAGAATACTTTTATCAAACAAATTTTCCATATAGAACAAACTCCATCGCTATTGTACACTGGGAAGGAAAGCTGGTTTGTAACTCATTCTTTCACCACTGGGGGAGAGAGACTGCAAGATCTCCACCAAAGTTCCCAGTAAACATCCCAATGACATCAAACCAGAAGGCAGCTTACTAAGGGTCTTTATTAGTAGAAAAATACCAAACAGTCCATATCTAGAAAATGTTAGCAAGAAAGAGTTCAACTATCTAGATTGTTTATTGTTAATAAGCCTGGAATTATGGATTTATTAATTTATGCTTGAAAATGTGGGGTAGTCAAATAAACCACATAATTAATAATACAGGAGTCCCAAAATCAACACACAAATCCTTTGTGCAATGTTTTTGCACATACTGCTTAAAACTAGAGTGTTCATACAAAACTACAACGTGTCCTAATGCAAAAGAAAGGTACATTTCTGTAATTTGTTTCTCACGGTTTGGGACTCAAAAAAAGAATGTTCTACCTGCAATTGGTGCTTGCCTATATTCACAGAATCATGATCAAAGTTTGCCGATGGGTACAACTCAACTCTTGGGGTTGCCACATGCGTCATATGTAGTGAAAAAATATGTAAAATACATATGCTTTATTAATTGTAAAGCATTTTATATATGTCACTGGTTATCAATAAGTGTATATTTTGTCACAAATTCAAAATCCTTGACAGGAGAAGCCAAAAGTTGATCCCAGATTATATAAGTAAAATCAGTTCTTAATCTTAAAATATATATTTATAAAGCTGGAAAACAAATTTCTGCTATACTTAGAGTAGACCTCATTGGCAAAATGCCAGAAAACTGAGGTTTCCACAAATAACACAAACTTTATAAAAACACCTGTAGACTTCTAAAATTTTGTAAGTAATTCATTTACACTGCCAAAACAGAAATAAACTTCAATAACTCTTTCCTTCTATCTATAACACTAAAATCATTTTAATTTGAAATATGTAATTTTTTAGATGTAAATACTCTTTTGCATGCAAAATTCTATCTAGATACTTCCAGGCAAAGATTTGAACGTAAATTTGTTTACAAACCTAATATCTTTGTCAAATTTACTTGTATCTTGGGATAGATAAAAAGCACACAGAACATTAATGTTGTGGAATAATTTGCAATAGGGAAATCCTTTACCATACGTGAGGATTGTAATTCCTGACGAGGTAAAGGTTATTTTCGGTCAAATTCACAGCATAAAATAATTTTTTATTTACATATGTACTCGCTATGTCGTTGAGCATGTATGACTTTGACATGTCTTTTTCTAAAATCATGTCTTTTAGCTTCTGCACAGCAAATCAGAGTGAACAGACAACCTACAGAATGGGAGAAAATTTTTGCAATCTATCCAGCTGACAAAGGTCTATATCCAGAATCTACAAGGAACTCAAACAAATTTACAAGAAAAAAAAAACAAACAATCCCATTAAAAAGTAGGCAGAGGACATGAACAGACACTTCTCAAAAAAAGACATTTATGCAACCATCAAACATGAAAAAAAGCTCAACATCACTGATCAGTAGAGAAATACAAATCTTTTTTGTATACAAATCAAAACCACAATGATATACCCTCTCATGCCAGTCAGAATGGCGTTTATTAAAAAATCAAGAAACAACAGGTGCTGGCAAGGCTATGGAGAAATAGGAATGCTTTTACACTGTTGGTGGGAATGTAAACTAGTTCAACCATTGTGGAAGACAGTGTGGCGATTCCTCAAAGACCTAGAACCAGAAATACCATTTGACACTGCAATCCTATTACTGGGTTATACAATTATATTACTGGGTATATACCCAAAGGAATATAAATCATTTTATTATAAAGATACAAGCACACACATGTTCATGTTCACTGCAGCACTATTCACAATAGCAAAGACATGGAAAAAAACCAAATGCCCATCAATGATAGACTAGATAAAGAAAATGTGGTACATATAAAATGGAATACTATGCAGCCATAAAAAGGAACACGATCATGTACTTTGCAGGGACATGGATGGAACTGGAATCCATTATCCTCAGCAAACTAACAAAGGAACAGAAAACCAAATACCACATGTTCTCACTTATAAGTGGGAGCCGAACGATGAGAATACATGGGGAACAACACACACTGGGTCCTGGAGGAGGGACAGCATCAGGAAAAACAGCTAATGTATGCGGGGCTTAATATGTAGGTGACAGATTGATAGGTGCAGCAAACCACCATGGCACACATTTACCTATGTAGCAAACCTGCACGTCCTGCACATGTATCCTGGAACTTAAAATAAAATTAATGTTTTTAAAAAACATGTATTTTATCATTTCATAATGCTTCACATTGTACCTTTAAAGGATTTTAAACCCCCCTTTAAAATAACGTATTATGATTTGCTTTGGACTTTTCCTGAAATCTTATCTACCTACCACTATCTACAATTTTTCAACCTTTATCATTATTTTAAAGGCTGTCTGGAATTTTTGTTGTTGTTGTTTTGTTGCTTAATTTTGGTTTTGGCCAGGCACAGTGGCTCATGCCTGAAATCCTAGCACTTTGGGAGGCTGAAGCAGGAGGACTGATTGAGGGCAGGAGTTCAAGACTAACTTGGTCAACATAGTGAGATCCCATCTCTTACCAAAAAAAAATTGTTTTTTATTTTGAATGGCTTAATTGGAATATATTTGTCTTTCAGTATGGAAACGAAAATTAATCTCATTCACAGGTGGTATAAAAAGTTGTTTTCCCTTTCACCTTACTTTCATCAGTTACTTTCTTCAGTTTCCTCTTTTTCTTTTTCCATTTTTTTCTGACTTGATGAAATTATCATGCATTCCCTTTTTCCTCATTATTAACGTTAAAATGCATTGGGTTCATGCTACACTCTACTCCTGACCAAGACTTTTTAACAATATTTTCTTCGAATTCTACATAGCAACCACTACAAAAAAGCAAATGGCAAAGGAGAAGGCTTTGCTTTCATAGACTGAAAACTCCTTTTTCACCATTAACCAGTATTCCAACAACTTAATCTCTTCAAATTGTATGTATTTCAAGGGTGCAAAAATTTTTTAAGTCTAATAGCTTCTCCTTTTCTTTAATTAAGAAACATGTTAATTTATTCTGATGATTTAAGTAAGCTTTGAGTAAACGTGAACTTTTTTATATCAAGTATTTCAAAATAATACTAAAGCTTTGTCACAGACACACTGACTTTCCTCTACTAGTACTATTAATTCTTCTTTAGGATTCAAATAACACCAATTAAACATCACTTAAAAAACCATTTTAACTTCACTTTTCCAAAGCTGAATTTTTGCTCTGAATCCATAAACTCTGTCATATACCTTAATGTATTTTCCACATGATCACTGCATTTTTTTATTGAGTGAATTCAAGTGTTCAAAATGTCAGTTAAGGATACCACTTTTTGAAGCCAGTAACTACACTTCAACAAATCTGCAAAGTAAGAATCGCTCACATGGAATAATTTAAATTTTTCCTTTTCGCTTATGAACCTTCCTTTGGACTGTCCACATAATCAGTAATAAAATAGCTCACCGCATTTCTTCACCTAAAGGTGAAAAGAAGGTACTGTAGGAGCTTGGATTTAGTTAGGTTCACCATTTGAATTTTTAATGTAATCATTTAATGTGAAATTCCAAACCACAGGCAAGTTTTAATTTACAACTGCTTCTCCATGAATAAGACAACCTGTTACTTGGAATAAAGTTTTAGATTGAACTTAATGTAAAGCTTTTATATCTTCCTGTCATTACCTGTCCCAAACTTCCACTCTTTTTCCATAGTACCTTGTATGTTTCAAAGTATTCATTTATCTCTTTGAATATTTCATCCCCAGTTGGTCTGGGGACTTCTCTTTGCCAAGCAAATAGTGTCTTCCAGTTCTTCAGGGATTCTATATGGTCTTCAAACTGAGGATCGTTACAAATGTTTATGAATTCATATCTGAAATGAATGCCTTTTTGATTAAATAATCTTCTGGATTAGTGTTGTGTCTATGTCATTTGACAAATCTTCAATGTATCTTCTAATAGAATAATTGAAAATGGCAGCTCTTCAATTTCTTTTGCCTCATTGGTCCCAAACACAGTGTTCCAAACAGGCAGGAAAAAAATAGCAGCCTCAGCAACCCAGCGAGGTACCTGGGATTCATTAATTGTGCAACCCTATAACTAGCTTCTTGAGCTCAATCTGATTATCATGTTTATCAACCTCATAATAATAAATTATGACTAAATAATTAAGTATGGTACATCCATAAAACAGAACACTACACAGTCATTAAAAATAATGTTCTTATAATTATTCAAGTGAAAAAAGCAAATTAAAAAATTAAGGCGCAGTGGCTCACGTGTGTAATCCCAGTACTTTGGGAGGCCAAGGCAGGCCGATGATTTGAGGCCAGGGGTTCGAGACCAGCCTGGGCATATGGCGAAACCCCGTCTCTACTAAAAATACAAAAATTAGCTGGACATGGTGGTGCACGCCTGTAATCCCAGTTACTCAAGAGGCTGAGGCACAAGAATCACTTGAGCCCAGGAGGCAGAGGTTGCAGTGAGCTGAAATCTTGCCACTGCACTCCACCCTGGGCAACAGAGCAAGACTGTCTCAAAAAAAAAATTAGACTCTAATTGTATAAAATAAATACGCGTGTGTGTTTGTGTGTAAGTCTGGAGCAATGTATACCAAAACATTAGTGGTTATCTCACAATTGCAAATGGTTTTTCATATTGTTCTTTATACTTTTCTATATATTCCAACTTTTCTATAAGAACATGCATTCCTTTTAACAATCAGGGGACAAAAGTATGTCAATAAAATGGGAAAATAATTTTTTAATGAATAATCAAGGCTATATTTTTTCATACTATAGAACAAGGGCCAGCAATTTTTTTCTCTAAAGGGTTAGACAGTAACTATTCTAGGCCTTACAGGCCAGATGATCTTTGTCAAAACTACTCAAGTTTGTCACTATAGCAAAGAAGTCATAAACAATACTTAAGCATAACAACGTTACAATGAAATTTTACCTATAGACACTGAAACCTGGATTTATTTAAATTTCATAAAATATTATTCTTCTTTTGACTTTTCAACCACTGAAAAATGTAGAAACCATTTAGCACACAGTACAAAAACAAGCAGCAAGTCAAACATGACCCACTGGACACCTTACCAACTTTGACTACAGAACACAGATAAAATGCTCTAAAACTGAAAGTTCAAGGCTGGCGTTATTAACAACCCATTGTGGTGATTTTTAATCTCCATAATCGCATTCTAAAATATCAATAAGATATGCAACTTCTTGGTGAAGGCTTTTTGATAAGTTAGTTGCAAAATGGTCCTCATGATAGCTAAACGAGTGGACCTATTCCATAAGGTTGGTAATACTAGTCAATTAAATGCTAAGAGATTATCTGTCAAAATTGTGAACTCTGTTTTGGAAGAAATTCATCTTAAGTGATTCTATTTGACAGCATTTAGATATTGGGACAAGTTGTCTGCTGAAGTCACTTCTAGTTCATGTCAATAGAAATCACGCCAATAAGATTTTGGTTAGAACGAATTTAGAAAAATTAAGACCAATTACATTCCAAATTAGCTAAGAAAGGGTAGCTTTTTAATCACTTAACTTTTAAGCCATACTCTACTTCACTCTTGATAGAGTAGAAATTCACCTCAAGAGAACCGTATTTTCCACTTAGAATAGTGTCATCTTCTAGAAAATAGACAAATTTAACACCAGTCTCAAGAGGCCAGTCTCAAGAGAAAGTTGGGTTTTGGTGGATGAACTCAGAGATTTCTTTGTTCATAAAACCTCTAACTAGGTAAGGAAATTAATACCTACTGTTACCATGGTAACTGACTTGCCTAATTGCTTGAGGGCTAAACTGAATAAAGTATCCCACTCTTTTTAAAAAGCACTAAAAAAAAAAAATTGTCAAGTTATATGACACATACAGATAATAATCTGAAGTTCAGGAAAAAATTATTAGTTAAATAATGCAATGCTTAACTCTGTTAGCCCGTTATACTGTTTAATGTGGAAAAATTTCCACTTACTATTTAAAATGGTTCAATACTATTTTATTCAAAATATGTAAAGGTTAATGTGATGAAATACACTGTTTTATAAATACTGATTACAATAAAAATGCAAGAATATTTATAATTACTCTGAAATTTGCAAACAAAATATCCTAAAAGAACAGTTGCAATACTTAAGTAATAATTTCAATTTCTCACATTGGGCACGTATGCAAATTTTACAAATATTCATTGAATTTCACAATGTTTCTCTGAAGAAGAAAGCTGTATCTACATCACTTTGCACAAAGGAAAACTAATAAGAAAGACTAGCTGATTTTGCAAAAGTTATGCAGACTGCTCTAGTGTTGAAAATTATACTATGAAGAAGCAGGAAGTAGAGTGGAAAGAAATCTGGACTGAAAATCAAGAAACCTAGGTTCTAATGCAGCTTTGTGTCAAAAAAAAAAAAAAAAAAGTATCCAAAACTTAGAAGACAAAGAGAGGGCAGTATGTCATTTCAATGTCATATAGGAGCACAAGCTCACCCAGCGATTATCAGTATTTCATTAGGGGACATATCTTTATTTGACGGTCATTTACTAATAATTTTAAAACTCAGACTCTAATATCCACATGTTAAATAATAAATTTTGGTCTCATAAAGGTGTAACTGAATCCTGTCCAGTAAAAAAGATAACCTCAAAGTCTATGGTTTTTATTGGCCTATAACACAGCTTTGTATCTAACCTAACAATCTTATTTCCAACTTTTTCCTCCAATGTCTATATTTATCTTTGCATCTCTCTGAACCAATGTTGTCATCCTTCTGGTTCCCTCATTAACACAACACATATGACATGTGTTCGTTCTATATTTGTACAAGAATTATCTTTAAGTTATTTGGAAAATTCTGCTTTGACACTTGGTCACTTAGTATCCATGTGACCCTGGACAAGTCACTTTATTTCTCTAAATTTTCATTTCCTCATTTGTAAAATGGGATTATATTCCCATTATTATATTACTTGTCTTATGATATTATATAATTATTATATATTATAGTATTTGCTTTCTTGACCACAAGATTAATGTAAAGATAAACAGCAATACACATGATGTCACTTCTTTTAAACTATAATTACACATGAGTTGGAATGATGACAGGACTAGTGATAGGTCTTTTACTTCTATTATACCTCATTCCCTATAGTATACTGGGATCCCCTTAGAGAGGTCAGGAATCTGTAGGTACAGATAAAAATAGCAAATCCATATGAATTAGATAAGATATATAAATTCACTGACAGCTAATTAAGCACTGAAGTACTTTATAGGTAGAATATTCTTTCAAATTACAAATTCAAACAGAGAAGAGAAAATGGATTCATTTATCCAATGCTTCTTTCTGACCCATTGGACCTCACTCAAAAAAAGTACTGAATTTCAAAACCCATCTCTTTTTTTTTTTTTTTTGAGACAGAGTCTAGCTCTGTTGCTCAGTCACAGCTCACTGCAGCCTCAACCTCCCCAGGCTTAAGCAATCCTCCCACTCAGCCTCCCAAGTAGCTGGGACTACAGGCACATGCCACCATGCCCAGCTAATTTTTGTATTTTTTGTAGAAATGGAGTTTCACCATGTTGCCCAGGCTGGTCTTGAACTCCTGGCCTCAAGCAATCCTCCCTACCTCAGCCTCCCAATGTGCTGAGATTACAGGCGTGAGCTACCTTGCTGGGCCTATTTTCTTTCTTTTTTTTTTTTTTTTTTTTTTTTTTTGAGACAGAGTCTCGCACTGTCGCCCAGGCTGGAGTGCAATGGCGTGATCTCGGCTCACTGCAAGCTCTGCCTCCTGAGTTCACGCCATTCTCCTGCCTCAGCCTCCGGAGTAGCTGGGACTACAGGCACCCACCACCATGCCCGGCTCATTTTCTGTATTTTTTTTTTAGTAGAGACAGGGTTTCACCGTGTTAGCCAGGATGTTCTTTCTCTTTAACTATACTGCAGAAACTATATTTAGGAGGTTTACAACTAGTCTGACAACAGAAATTCATACACTCATCTAACTTTTCATGTGTGTGGAAAAGAATATTAAAAAAGAGATTTCAAGGATAAGTTACAAGACTGGATTAATAAGTGTTTTTCAAATATTCTGACACAGAAAGATTACAAAACCAAAGCAGCTTAAGTACTCCAGCAATTCCGTTTGGTTGTCAATACCCTAATTTTCATTAGAATCTTTGGGCTTCACCAACACAATTATGTTATTTTTACTGAGAAGCAGCTTCCAGTCAAAAAGCCTTTCATTTTTAACAGAAAGCGCAATAAACTTTTTAAAAATTCTGGGCTTGATTTCTTTTATTATATTACATATTTTCTGAAAATGTAACCTTGCACATTGAGGTTTTATACTTACGTATATACTAGTAACTAATTTATACATTTATACACACACAAGCATATATATACACACACACAGATTGTGTATCTAGATACATATACATATATACAATCTATAGTTTATTGCAGAAGATATCATTTATAAGGTATTCTCCTGTACGGTTTTTGAGAATTTCTTTCTACTTTTCAATGAACCAAAAAGAATAAGAAGGGGTAGAGGAAAACAGAGAAAAACCAAAGAATGCATGCCAAAGCCCTCATTAAATTCTCTAATTAAAGAAGCTTTCAAGACTTTCATGAATCTATTACTACATTTCTGCTAATCTTAACTTCCCTCCAAACAGACCAAGCAAACAAACCAGAAAAGCTAAATAAAACTACCCATTCACATCTAGGTTAACTGTAGTAAGACGATGTAATTTTTAAAAGTAGTAGGATGATTTTTGAGAGACTTGTTTCTTTATAGGTATCTAACAATTTTTCCTAACTGTCAAATATTATATAAAGCACAATTTTGTACTAATAAAACCAAGTGAAATAAACTGTAAATGGAATCAAACAAATAAACACAATAAAATGCCATTAATTTTAGTTAGTAACAAGGGTAAAGGATAAAAGCTACGTTCTTTGCTGTGTCATAGTGAGAAGCCACACTGCCCATAAACCAGGAACATCACTTGACCTGAACTGAATCCATGGCACAGCGAAGTGCTTTATAACTGGATTTCACTACCCAACTGAATAATTCATTATTTTTAATGAATTTCCTCTGTTCTCTAAGTAGCTATAGCCAGTCAGCTGAAATCAACCATTATAAACCGGGAAATTGCAGGGAAAGTTTTCAAGTAAGTCAATTTAAAAAGTTGCTTAGGTTGTCTATTTTTCCTTTTATATTTATTACTGTTACTTCGTATGGCCTGAAATAAAATTTTATAGGATTCATCAGTAAGTGGATGTTAACGGTTGCCTTGCTAGCATCCGTTCCACCCTAGACCCTTAATACAGTACTGATAAATTTCATTCAGGTAAAGATCAGTTACCCACAAAGCCAATGTCCAATGCGCTTTAAGGAAGGTGTCCCACTCCCAGCCCACAGTAGAGCCAGTGGTCTAAAGGTAATCCAATTTCTCTTGCTGCAATGATGATTCAGAAACTCAGCCCTGGCTGGATGTAGTGGTACGTGCCAGCAATCCCAGCACTTTGGGAGGCTAAGGCAGGAGGCTGGCTTGAGTCCAGCCTAGGCAACATGGCGAATACTATCTCTACAAAAAATACAAAAATGAGCCAGGTGCGATGGCACACATCTGTAGTCCCAGCTACTTGGGAGACTGAGGTGGGAGGATCGCTTGAGCCCAGGGATTCGAGGTTGCAGTGAGCCACGATCTTGCCACTGCACTATAGCCTGGGTGAAAGAGTGAGACCTTGCCTCAAAAAAAAAAAAAAAAAAAAAATCAGCATTGCCAGGTAGAAAGAGAAACGCATAAATTTTACAGTAAGACCAATTTAAGTATAGGGGGAAGAGGGAAAGGTAAAAGTGGAGACTGGTAAAAAAGAAACTGGAAAATTAATACACAATTCTGGAAGCAGCCATAAATTTACCTAAAGCAAATCTTACATAGTAAGTTCAAATACAGTCTTTTCGGACAGGATAAGTTTATGTAACATGAATAAGAAGAAAAATCAGCAATTTTGTGATTGTGTAATTCCTGGAAGGAAAAAAGTTATCCTCCAGTCTAATTATTTTTCTACTGTATTTCAGAGACTCTGTTTTATGAATGAACAGCAAAAGCAAGTCAGGTACCAATAGGTGATGTCTCCTGCTTCACATCAAAACTTCCAGGAGCAGCTACAAAGCTTTGATATTTTTTTCTGATGGCTTCTATTATTCTTACTACAGACTACGAAGATCTCATACCTCTATCTTCTTGGTTTCAAAGACAGCTAAAGAGAAGGTGAATTTCTGCCCTCCACTGAGGAGCTAGCCTAAAACACTAACAGTAGAAGAGATTGGAAAAATGCAGAGATGAGAACAATAGAGTCAGAAAGAAACAGAGGCTTGAAGTAGGCTCAGGAGGGAAGGTCATTTTTCTCCTTTTTTTGGAGAACATGAAATTATTCTAATTTCTTATTTCCCCATGAAGAAACTGTTCAAAAGCCATCCTCTTTCTTAATCCTCCCTCATATTAAGCATTTTATCAAAGGAAAGAAAAAAAAATCACCTTTAAAAGAGTCTGATTGCTATCACTAACCAGCTTTTACAAAAGATAAGCCTAATTTTTATCAAAGCTCCAAAGTCTCCTAAAATAAATAATTTTTCCACAGGATCTCTTTGAAGACAAGTAATTTTATCTATTTGTTTAACAGGAGCAAGTAAGGTACCAGATGCAAAATAAGGATACTCAAATTATTTTTATCCTAGGATAAATTATTATCCTATCTCATTTTTATATATAAGACAGAATCAAATACAATTATATCCAAGTCCAAATTATACAATTATATCCAAAATTTATATCCAAAATCAGTAACAGCAAAAATGACAACCTGCCTGGGAATAAACCTAACATAAAATATACAAGATCCATTTTAAAGATAACCAGCAAATTTTATTAAGACAGTTAAAAAAGGACTGGATAAGACACACTGCGTTTCGGCACAGCCAGACCCAAAACTGTAAATATATTAATTAAATCAATACACTCAAGAAGCAATACCAAGAAAAAAAGTCATCAGAATTTTTCATTGAACCACGTGAGTTTACATTAAAGTTCACTGGGAAGAGAAAATACTCAAGAGCAGCAAATTTTTTTTGAAAAACAAGACCAACAAGGAAAAACTCACCCTACTAAATATGAAACTTTTAAAACTACAGTAATTAAAATAGTGTGTGCCAGGTGAGGTGGCTCACACCTGTAATCCCAGCACTTTCGGAGGCCGAGGCGGGCAGATCACCTGAGGTCAGGAGTTCGAGACCAGCCTGGCCAACATGGTGAAACCCCATCTCTACTAAAAATACAAAAATTAGCCAGGTGTGGCAGCGAGTGCTGTAATCCCATCTACTAGGGAGGCTGAGGCAGGAGAATTGCTTGAACCTGGGAGGCGGAGGTTGCAGTGAGCAGAGATCATGCCATTGCACTCCAGCCTGGGCAATAAGAACGAGACTCCCAGTCAAAAAAAAAAAAAAAATTAGTGTGGAATTGGTGTAAAAATACAAAAACAGATCAGACATAGCATGTCTAATCCCATATAGAGAAAACCTTGAAGACTGCAGAGACTATGGAAGGTGGTGAACATGTTAATTTGTTTGACTGTAGGAATCATTTCACTACGTATATGTGTATCAAAACATCATGTTGTACACCGTAAATACATACAATAAATAAATAAAACTTGCCATGTCCAGAAATAGATCCATGTAAATATGGAAATTTGACATACGATGAAGGAGACATTTCTTATCTTTGAGAAAAAACAAGTTATTCAAGAAATGAGGCCAAAAAACTGGTTATAATTTTGAAATATCATTACCAGCAAAAATTTAAAAGATTGACCATATGCAGTAATTACGAGAGAAGAAACTGGCATCACCATTTTGAAAGATGTTTCATAGAAGGCATCAAAATTTTAAATCTGCATAACCTTCAAGTCAGTAATTACATCTATCCTATGGAAATATTTGCACATATGCACAAAGACGTATGTAAAGGATGTTCATTACATCCCTTTGTAAAAGCAAAAATATGGGAAGCAGTTATAGGGTAAATTAATAGGTAAATAAACAATGACACATCCAAAATATGGCATACTAAGCTGCCAGTAAAAGAATAAAATAGAACTATACATATTAAGATTATTCTCTAAGATAAATGCTAAGTAAAACAGAGGGAAAACGAAGTGTCAGTGGTAGTTTAAATTTCAAAATAGAAAATGAAATTGGCCGGGCACAGTGGCTCACGCCTATAATCCCAGAACTTTGGGAGGCCGAGGCAGGCGGATCACGTAGTCAAGAGTTCGAGACCAGCCTGACCACCATGGTAAAACCCCATCTCTAATAAAAATACAAAAATTAGCAGAGCATGGTGGCGGGCGCCTGTAATCCCAGCTACTCAGGAGGCTGAGGCAGGAGAATCGCTTGAACCTGGGAGGTGGAGGTTGCAGTGAGCTGAAAACGTGCCATTGCACTCCAGCCTGGGCAACAGAGTGAGACTCTATCTCAACGTCTCAAAAAAAAAAAAAAAAAAAAAAAAGAAGGTCGGGCAAGCGGCTCACGCCTGTAATCCTAGCACTTTGGGAAGCCAAGGCGGGCAGATAACAAGGTCAGGAGATTGAGACCATCCTGGCTATCATGGTGAAACCCCGTCTCTACTAAAAACACAAAAAATTAGCCGGGTGTGGCGGCGTGCACCTGTAGTCCCAGCTGCTGGGGAGGCTGAGGCAGGAGAATGGCGTGAACCTGGGAGGCGGAGCTTGCAGTGAGCCGAGATTGTGCCACTGCACTCCAGCCTGGGCGACAGAGTGAGACTCCGTCTAAAAAAAAAACAAGAAAAAAGAAAATGAAATTCTATGTATATATAAATGCAAAGAACAATCCAGGAGGACCCTCAGACAGGGTAAGTTTACATAATACAAACAAGAAGAAAAATCAGATATTTTGCAATTATGGAAGGAAATAAGTTATCTTGTAGTCCAATTATTTTTCTACTGTACTTCAATGACTCAGTTTTATGAACGAACAGCAAAAGCTGGTGAGGTACCAATTAATAGGGGCCCCTACTGGTAACTGAATGGGACTGAGGTCAGGCATATGAAGGGGGAGTTTCAATACTCGATAGTTTGTTTCTCAGTAAGCATGATCCCCCCTCCCTCACTCCCTGCCTACCTCTTTCTTGCTGAGAGTAGTATGAAGGGCTTCTGTAAGTAATAAAGTAAATAACAGTCTATATTTTTTCAAATTGGAGTCCTGAGGTTAAACATGTCTCATGGTTTTAGTAAAGTCAAGCATAGGAGGAGGAAAAAGAGGCTGATTACCTTAACACTAAGAAAGAAGACGATAATGATCCATTGTGTACAGCAAATTTCAATAGCATCCTAATCTCCATTCAGCCCTCCTCACCCCATCCCAAAATGTGTAACAGCAAAGTTTTATGGATGGAACTGACCTCATCACCAAGACTACAGGTGAAATCCAACTGTCTTAAGGAAAATCCAATTCCCCTTGCTATACAACTGATTCAAGGATAGGAGCTATGATCAGGTCTCAGTTCTCTAGCCTCCATCTCCTGGCCATAATTATTGCTTCCAAGGCAGTCCAATTGCAACAAATTTCGGGACTCTCCTCTGGTACGGGAAAGGATGCTTTTGCTCCTGCTAGATGTGGTCATGGTTGATGCAAGTAGCCATCTTACAAGCATACAAGAAACCACCCTGAAGGTGTTTTCATAGAAGAGGGCCAAGAATAAGGCCAGAAAAATAGTCGGATCCCTGAGTGAACTTGCCTGAAGGCCACTCTACCTCAGATGTCTCCATGAAACAGACCAATAAATAACCTTTTATTGCTGAAGTCAGTTTGAATGGTTTTTCCATTACTTGCAACTGAAGACACTCTTGTTGACAGGATGGGATAATTAAAATGTAAGACCACTTCTTGATCTGACTTTTTGAAGACTGAATAGAATTCCATTTTATCTATCATAATTTAACAATTCCCTATTGATGATAATTAGGTTGCTTGCGAATTTCACCAAAAATAACGTTCAATGAATACCCTTGTGGATATGTGGGTATTGTAAGGCATTCCTATCATTTCTATAGGATAGATTCCTAGATATGAAATTACTAGGTCATAGAGTACTCTACTTCTCTGCTTACCTTCTCACCAATAAATTATTCACAATAGTATGCTAACCCCAAAAGGTAAAACTAGACAAAGAAGCAGCCCACACAGAAAGCCAAGAGAAACTTCCACAGTAACAGGGTTAACCTAAAACACTGGTGAAGGATTTCAATCTGACAACTATGAAAAGGTGCTTTAAGGCACCTACTACTCCTACAAGAAGAGTCTCATCAAAGAATAGAAGTCCATGAAGGGCTGACTATTAGTTACAATATAACCACATGTAACTCAACACCTAACTTTGTGGTGTTAGATATAAATCAAATTGATGGTATTTGAGTTGAGTGTTAATGGACCATCATCATCACCATGACCATCACCATCAAAACTATAGCCATTAATATCTATATCCTACCCTTTCCCCACTACTTGTCTAGTAGATCACAAGCTTTGATGTATAATATCCAAGGGAGATAGTGCCTCCCAGTCTTCTGACCAGCCCTCCTCCAGTGATCTTGTCTGCATCCTGCTCCACCTATTTATTCCTACAAAGATACTATGTTATTACCAACGACTGAATCCTTCCATAATCTCAATTCCATATATCCCACTCTCCAACCAACACCTCCTGTTTTTCAAGTTCATTCCCTCTAGAAACTCAATTCCAACAATCTTTTCATCTAACTGGGGCTTTTAAGGGCCCTGCTACCATATCATTGTCCTCACCCCTTGGGCAGTCCTTAATTCTCTTCTTGACTAGTTTAAACTCCAAGTTAACAGCCACTTCCTTGCATACTCCCTCAAATTCATTGCCCTTCTGGCTTTATTACTATCTCCTGGCAAAACTCTAACCCCGAATAAAAAAGAACTCTTGACCTACTCTGTGCCTGTACCTATGCAGCTGAATGAATGCAGCAGGTGAAAAGCACAACCATTTTGACTGGTCTCACCTTAAATTTGTGACCACCAGCCTCAAGTGGGCCCTTACTACTTCCTGGCAATCCTACAACTTTTCCCTAATCTATTTACTATCCTCCCCTCCTAAGACTATTTTATACCTTCTCCTCTCCACTTAAACTTCATATCTCCTCCACCGATCGTCACTCTTAGCTGATGATCTTGCTTCCGATTTCACTAGAAGCAATCAAAAATGAATTTCCACAGGCTCTTACCCTGAAATCTATATCACATAATTATATTTGTACCCATATACTCTACTGTGGTGGTTAATTTTATGTGTCAATTTGAGTGGGCCATGGGGTGCCCAGATATTTGGCTAACCATTATTCTGGGTGTGTCTGTGAGGATGTTTCTGGGTGAGACTAACATTTGATTCAGTAGACTGAGTAAAGCAGATTGCCCTCCCTAATGTGGGTGGGCCTTCAATTTGTTGAAGGCCTGAATAAATAAAAAGGCTAAGTAAGGGAAGATCTGCTCCCTCTGCCTGTCTTTGAGCTGGGACATTGGTCTTCTCCTGCCTTCAGACTTGGACTCAGACTGGAACTTACACCATAGGCTCTCCTGGTTCTCAGGCCTTCACAACTGGCCTGGAACTATACCATTAGCTCCCGTGGGTATGTCTCCTGGCAGATCTTAAAACTTTTATAATCTCTTCATAGATACAGAGACAGAAATACAGATAGAGATGGACACAGAGATATAAAGATCTCCCATTGGTTCTGTTTCTCAGGAGAACTCTAATACATCTACCTTTTCTTATGTAACTATGGATGAACTATCAGTACTCCTACATCCAACCTCTCCATGTGTGCAAACCTCTCATCTACTCAAAGACATTTTCTCGAAGACATCTACTCAAAGACATTTTCCCATCTCCTACATCATCAACTTTTTCCTCTCTACTGGTCTGCCAGAAAAGACCCATCAACATATACGCAATTTTTTCCAACTAAAAAAAAGAAGAAGAAAAAAAAACTCAACTTTTGGCTAACTGCTCCATTATTATTCTCCCCTTTGTAGGAAAACTACTCAAACGAGTCATCTATAATAGCATCTCTGTTTCCACTCCTTTAATCCTCTCTTAAACCCACTGTAACCACTCCACTCCACGAAAAGGGCTCATGTCAAGGTTTCCAATGACTTTTATGTTGTCAAATCCTATAGCCAATTCTCAACGCTCATCTGAGTCAATGTACCGGCAGTAAGTGACACAATTAATCACACCCATCTTCTTGAAACATTTTATCAGGTTTCTGTGATAATTCTTGAGTCTCCATCTATATCAATCCCTTTTCAGTATAACAATCCCTTTTCAGTATACTCTGCTGCTCCTTCTTACCTCCCCAATCTCTAAACATCACAGCATTCCAGGATTCAAGTCACAGACCTCTACTCTTCTCCCTCTACACTCACTCCCTTAGAGTCTGCTGGCTTTTAAATTAGCTGTTATACACTAATGACTTCCAAAGTTATATAAACAGCCTAGACCATTCCTCTTAACTTCAAACTTTGATAGCCAATTATTTACTGGATATTTGAATCTCTAATTGGCATATTCCACTCAATAGATATAAAGTTTCCCCAAACTGCTCCTTTTGTATATTTCCCATCTTAGTAAGTCACCTTCATCTTTCTGGTTGCTCATGCCAAAAGCCTTGGATTCATCCTGACTCATCTCCTCCTTTCACATTCTGCATCTAATCTGTCAGCAAATACTGTTGGTTCTATCTTCAAAACAAAGCCAAAATTCGACCTCCTCTCACCACTTCCGCTGCTACAATGTTGGTTCAAGCCATATTACCTTTTACCTGCTTTTCCCTATGGCCTATGCTCAAAACAGTAGCAGAGTGATTCTGTTATAAGATAACACAATTTAAAGGACTATATAACATAAGTGACTGAAATTTACCCCAGAAAGGCAAGGGTGGTTCAACATAAGAAAATTAATCAATATAACACATTACATTAAGATAAGGGAGGAAAAATACATGATCATTTCAATTGACACAGAAAAGGCATTTGACAAAATCCAACACCCTTTCATGATAAAAACTCAGAAAACTAGGAATAAAAGGGTATTTCCTCAACATGATAAAGGGCATTTATGAAAACCCACAGCTAACACCATACTTAATGGTGAAAGACTGAAAGCTTTCCACCTAAGATAGGAAGCAAGACAAAGATACCCACTTTCACCACTGCTTTTCAACATCATATTGAAAGTTCTAGCCAGAGAAATTAGACATGGAAAAGAAATAAAAGGCATCCATAATGGAAAGGAAGAAGTAAAACTATCTCTATATACAGATGACATAATCCCATATAAAAATCTCAAAGAAAGCTACTAGATCTAATAAGTAAATTCAACAAAGTTTCAGAGTACAACATCAACGTTGAAATATCAGCTGTTGTTATACACCAGAAATGAACAATCTGAAAGGAAACTAAGAAAGTAACTGCATTTACAATAGCAGCTAAAAGAATAAAATACCAAGGAATAAATTTAACCAAGGAGGTGAAAAACGTGTACTCTGAAAACTACAGAATGCTGCTGAAAGAAATTAAAGAAAACACAAATAAATGGAAAGATATCCCATGTTTATGCATAGAAAGACTTAATATTGTTAAGATGTCAATACTACCCAAAGTTATCTACAGATTCAATGCAATCCCTATCAAAAGGCTTTTCTGCAGAAATGGAAAAGGTGATCCTCAAACTCATCAGAATTGCAAGGGACCCCAAATAGCCAAAATAATCTTGAAAAGAAGAACAAAGTTGGAGGACTCATGTTTCCCAATTTCTAAACTTACTACAAAGCTACTGTAATCAAAACAGTGTGGTACAGGCATAAGGACAGAAATATAAATACAATAGAATAGAATTGAGATTCCAGGAGTAAATCCATACATTTACCACCAATTGATTTTTGACAAGGGTGCCAAGTCCATTCAGTGGGGAAAGAATAGACTCTTAAACATGTGGTGCTGGGACAACTGGATCTCCATATGGAAAAGAGTGAAGTTGGACCCCTACCTCACACCATATACAAAAATAACTTAAAATGTATCACACTAATATACAAGAATTTACTTAAAACTCCAATAGAAAAAGTAAAACTATAAAACTATTAAAAGAAAACATAACAGAAAATCTTCATGGCATTGGATTTGGGAATTAGGTATGATGCCAAAAGCATAGGTAATAAAAGAAAAAACAGATAAACTGGACTCTATAAAAATTTAAAAGTGAATCAAAGAACAATATCAAAAAGTGAAGAAAACCCACAAAATGGGAGAAATTATTTGCAAATCATACACCCAATAAGGGTTTAATATTCAGAATATATAAAGATCTCCCACAATTCAACAGAAAAAAAAACTCAATTAAAAAATGGGCAAAGGACTTAATAGACAGTTCCCAAAGAAGACATATAATGGCCAATAAGCACATTAAAAGATGCTCAACATCATTAGTCATTAAAGAAATACAAAATAAAACCACAGTAAGATACCACTTCCCACCACCTACTAGGATAGCTATAATTTTTAAAAAAGGAAATTAAGTTTTGGTGAGCATATGGAGAACTGGAACACTTGTACACTGCTCCCATGGAAAAACAGTTTTAGCAGTTCCTTAAAAAGCTAAACTAAAAGCTTACCATGTGATCTAGTAAGTCCACACGTAGGTATATTCCCAAAAGAATTGAAAATAGGAACTCAAACAGATTCTTGTACACCAATGTTAATAACAGCATTATTCACAATAGCCAAAAGGTGGAAACAACCTAAGTGTCCATCAACATATGAATAAATAAATATGGCATATATATAATATAAACAAATGGAATATTATTCAGCCATAAAAAGAAATCGAGTTCTGATACATGCCACAACATGGGTGAACCTTGAAAACATTATCCTCACAAAAGACTCTGAATAGCCAAAGCAATGTTGAGCTAAAAGAACAAAGCTAGGGGCATCACACTACCTGACTTCAAAATATACTAAACTCTAGTAATTAAAACAGCACGGTACTGGCATAAAGAGACACACAGATAATAGAACAGAACAGAGACCCAAGAAATAAAACCACATATTTATAGCCAACTGATTTTTGACAAAAGAGCCAAGAACCCACAATGGGGAAAGGTCAGGCTCTTCAATAAACGGTGTTGGGAAAACTGATAACCATATGCAAAAGAATGAAAGTAGTCAATTATCTCTCACCACATACAGCATCAACTCAAAATGGACTAAAGACTTAAATGTAAGACCCCAAACCATGAAACCACTTGAAGAAAACACAGGAAAAAAGCTCCCTAACATTGGTCAGGGCTAGAGGTTCCCAACCCCAGGGCCACAGATTAGTACCAGTCCATGGCCTGTTAGGAACCAGGCCACAAAGCAGTAGGTGAGCAGCAGGCAAGCAAGCGAAGCTTCATTTTTCTTTACAGCTGCTCCCCATTCCTCACGTTACCACCTGAGCTCCACCTCCTGACACATCAACGGTGGCATTAGATTCTCATAGCAGCGCAAAACCTACTGTGAATTGCGCATGCAAGGGATCTAGGTTGTATGCTCCTTAGAAGAACCTAATGCCTTATGAACTGTCACTGTCTCCCATCACTCCCAGATAGGACCCTCAAGTTTCAGGAAAACAAGCTCAGGGCTCCCAGTGATTCTACATTATGGTGAATTGTATAATTATTTCACTATATATTACAATGTAATAATAATAGAAACAAAGTGCACAATAAATGTAATGCGCTTGAAATATCCTGAAACCATCCCCTCCCTCCTGTGGATGGAAAAATTGTCTTCGATGAAACCAGTCCTTGGTACCAAAAAGGTTGGGGACTGCTGATCTGGGCAATGATTTTTTGGATATGACTTCAAAAGCAAAGGTAACAAAAGCAAAAATAGACAAAGGGATTACATCAAAATAAAATGCTTCTCTGCACAGCAAATTCAACAGACTGAAGACAGAATCTACAGAATCGGATAAAATATTTGCAAACTATACATCTAATAAGAGGTTAATTTCCAAAATGTTTAAGGATGTCAAACAACTCAATAGCAAAAAAATAAAAAAATTAAAAAACCATATTTAAAAAATGAGCAAAAGACCTGAATAGACATTTCTCAAAAGGAGATATACAAATAACCAACAAGTATATGAAACATTGCTCATCAATAACCATCAGGGAAATGTAAATCAAAATCACAATGAGATATCACCTCACACCTGTTAGAATGGCTATTACCAAAAAGACAAAAGATAAGTGTTGGCGAGGATGTGGAGAAAAGGGAACTCCTTCCTCGCTGTTGGTGGGAATGTAAATTATTACTAACATTATGGAAATAACTCAAAATATTAAATGTAGAACTACAAGCGGGTCCAGCAAATCCACTACAGGGTATATATTCAAGGGAAATGAAATCAGTATGTCAAAGAGCTATCTGCACTTCCATGTTTCCTGCAGCACTATTCAACAATAGCCAGAATATGGAATCAAGCTAACTGTCCATCAACAGATGAGTGGATAAAGAAAATGTGATATACATATACAATGGAATAGTATTAAGCCATAATAAAGAATGAAATCCTGTCATTTGCAGCAACATGAATGGAACTGGAAGACATTCTGTTAAGTGAAATAAACCAGGCAGGGAAAGACAAATATCGCATGTTCTCACTTATATGTGGGAGCTAAAAAATTTGATGTCATTGAGGTAGTAAGTAGAATGGTGATTACCAGAGGCTGGGATGGATGGGTGGTGGGAATGAAGAGAGGCTGTTAATGAGTACAAAAATACAGTTAGATAGAAGGAATATCATAGGGTTTGAGAGCTATATAGAGACAAAAAAATAGGTAAGTGATTGCTAGGAAAGCGGGTGGGATTGAGTACTAATGGTTATGGAGATTCTCTTTTGGGTAATGAAAAAGTCCTAAAGGTAATTGTGATAAAGGTTGTACAACTCTGAAGACAAACTAAAAACCATTGTATTGCACACTTTAAATGAGTGAATCATATGATATATTAATTATATCTCAATAAAGCTGTTTAAAAAAGAATTCTGAGTGGAATTGGCCAGATACAAAAAAGACTAAGATGGCAAATTTTATGATATCTTACTCCAATTTTTTAGAAACATAATTCAGATCACGTTTCCCTAACAACTCTCCAACAGCTTCCCATCTCCCTCAGAATGAAAGCCCCAATTTTCAATATAGCCCATAAAGTCCTACACATTCTGGCCCCTTTCCCTTTCTGGCCTGACCTCTGACCTCCTCTCCGCTCTGCTCCAGCTCACTAGGCCTCTTAAGTTGCTCTCTGAACATAAAGAGGCAGGTTCCCCCAGGGCCTTTGTACTTTCTTCTCCTCCAGAGAACGTCAAGGTAAGTTCTCTCACTTCCTTGAGCTCTGGACTCAAAAATTCCCTTCTCAGCGAGGACGTCCCTGACCACTTATTGTAAAACTGCAGCTCCCTACAGCCCCCCACCCACAACACACACACACACTCTTCATCCCCCTTTCCTTTTTAATCTCTATTTTCACCTTCTGTCATCCTATAATTTTACTTTTTGCCTGTCTCTTTCCACTAAAATGTAAGCTCCAAAAGGAGAGAGATGTTTGTCTGTTTTGTTCATTGTTGGTATCTCTAGTGCCTAGAGCAGTCCTTAATAAACATTTGTTGGATTAATAAAGGGAGACCACTGTGGGGGAAAAAAAATAAAAGAAAATAAAATTTTAGCTGAAGAATGCAAGCCCCTTTAAATTATCAGGCCCAGAGAGGCATTAGAATGAAAAAACAGTCCCGTCTCACTCCCGGTCTGAGCTGGATAATTATCTCTTAAAGCCCACCTGCTATATGGGCTCTAGACTGGAACCAAGAAGCCATAAAATGCCATATGCTGGACACGATAACTCATACCCTATGAGTTACAGTGTACAGCCAATCACTAAGCAATGGTATCTCTGTAAACCAATAACAATTCCTGACCAACTTTGTCTCAGCCCACTCTTCCCCTTCGCCTTTAAAAACCTGCTTGTAACCAAGGCTGAAGGAGCACTCCCCAAGGCAACTGGGAAATGAGTCCTGGGCAGCTGTCCTCATTTTGGCTGAAGTAAACACTTTAAATTATAATTTTGTGCCCCAGCCTCTTCCTTTTAGGTAGACACCACTATTCAATGACATCAAGATCTGAACTGTCCTACTTATCCCAATATCCCACCCCTAAAAAGAAATGTACCGAACCATAAAAAGCCTGAAGTACTCCGACTTACAGACTCCTGTATTAGCATCCTAAGAATTATATTACCCTCTTCAATAGGGAGTAGTATTTTTCATATCAAACCTAGCCTGAGAACAACTGAGATTCAACTAGGAAAAAAAGAAAAGAAAATCCATTAAAGACTGAGTGATTTGAACTCAAAAATATCCATCATCACTTGCTAAATCATAGACAGCAGGTTATTTCCCTCGACTTTGCTGTGCAGACCTGTAGTGGCTCAATTTCTGCCATAATAAAGGCCGTACTAGAAAGAGCAATCCTAACTAAGCGCGCAAGGTAAACATCAAGCTGGGGCCGTCAGGGGCGGGGAAACACTTTCTGAATGGCGGAAGCTCCGAGAGACGCCTTTCCCAGCTGCTCCAGAGGGGAAAGGAAAAGGGAGAAAGTCTGTTTTTCCAGAATCTCCCAAACACAGCCCAGGGGCCTGCTCCGCGGGCCTAAGCGCCTCCACGTGTCTCAGAAGCCTAGCACTATAGATACCCCGGGGCACGGAGCTGGGAAAACGGGAATAGGAAGACACTTTACCCCGAGAAGATCCAGTCCAACAGGTCTTCTTCAGCCGGATGACTGTGGAGCGCCACCACAAGCAGGGCCTGCAACCCAGGCATCCAGGCTAGACACCAAATCAGCAAACTTTATTCCCGCGCTGCCGAGTACAAGCCGGCGCCTCCCCGGCGCACACAGTACACATCAGCTCCGGGAGACCTACCCGACCCGCCCCTCCAGCGCCGTCCCCGCCCCCGTTCCTGCCCCACCCCTTTCCCCGCCCCCGGCCCGGCTCGCCTTTCTCGCGGCGCTGCAACCCTCCCACCACAGCCCATCCAGCCCCGCCCAGCGCGCCGCGGTGCGCATGCGTGGAGGCCCTCGCTGCCGCTGAGCACCTCGGGAAGTGTAGTCTCTTCGCAGGTGCGGCTGGGCAGCTAGAGTCCTGCATCCCGGTGGAATCCGGAGAAGTGAGAACATTCCCGCCGCCCGGTCCTCATTCCCATCTTCCCACCTGTCCAGTCCCCTCGCACTCCCGCTGCACCCCACGCGCCGGGCTTCAGTCAGAGAGTGCACTGAGGAAGAGCGGAGACCCCCTCTTCCCCTCAGCAGGCTGTGCCGGGGGAGGCGGGGTCCACCGCCCGCCCCCCGCCGTCGCTCTCCCCGCCTCCCCTTCCCTCCCCTCCTGGCGGGTGCGGGGCCGGTGTCCGAAGTCAGGCGGCGGCCCCCGCAGCGGCCGCAGGAGGGGCGGCTGCGGTGGGCGCCGCGGGCGATGCCCCTGCCCGGCTGCTCCGGCGGGGGGCAGTGCGAGCGGCGGCGGCGGGGGAGGAGGCGGGGGGCGGCGGCTGCGGCGGCTGCAGCAGAGGGGCCGAGAGCTGGCGGTGGCGGCGGCGGTGGTCGTGAAGGGCATCGGCGGCGGCGGTGATGGCAGAGATGATGTGAGTGCCCGCCGGCTGGAGACCTGGGGCCGCGGAGCGCGGGACGGGCGGCGGCGGCGTGCGGGAGCGGCCCCGGGGGCGGCGGAGGGATGCGGGGAGCGCGGGCAGAGCCGGAGCGGCGGCCGCCAACCGGCCGGCAGTGGCTGGAGCCCCGCGCTGCGGCGCCGGGGGAGCCGGGCCCGGCGTGGGGGTCGCGGGCGGCGGCGGGGCGGTCAGGCCGAGGGGCGTCTGCGATTGTTCTCAACACCCCTCCCCCACCCCATCCCGTGTGTCTGTTTGTTACTTGCAGCTGAAGATGGAAAGAGCCAGGCGAAGGGGAGGCGGCGGCGGCCGCGGCCGCGGAGGCAAGAATGTAGGGGGCTCTGGCCTAAGCAAGAGTAGACTCTATCCCCAGGCCCAGCACTCCCACTACCCCCACTACGCGGCCTCAGCCACCCCTAATCAGGCCGGGGGCGCAGCCGAAATCCAGGAGCTGGCCTCCAAACGAGTGGACATCCAGAAAAAGAGGTTTTACCTAGACGTGAAGCAAAGCTCCCGGGGCCGCTTCCTAAAGATAGCCGAAGTCTGGATAGGGAGAGGCCGGCAGGACAACATCAGAAAGAGTAAACTGACCCTCTCCCTGTCTGTGGCAGCGGAGCTGAAGGACTGTCTAGGGGACTTCATCGAGCACTATGCCCACCTGGGCCTGAAAGGCCACCGGCAAGAGCATGGCCACAGCAAAGAGCAAGGCTCCAGAAGGAGGCAGAAGCACTCGGCACCCTCCCCACCAGTCTCGGTGGGGTCCGAAGAGCATCCTCACAGTGTCCTGAAAACAGACTATATCGAGAGGGACAATAGGAAATATTACCTAGACCTAAAGGAAAATCAGCGGGGTCGCTTCCTACGGATTAGACAAACCATGATGCGGGGGACTGGCATGATAGGTTATTTTGGCCACAGTTTGGGCCAAGAACAGACTATTGTCCTCCCAGCACAAGGAATGATTGAGTTTCGTGATGCCTTGGTTCAGCTGATTGAAGACTATGGCGAAGGAGACATAGAAGAACGAAGAGGTGGAGACGATGACCCGCTTGAACTCCCAGAGGGGACTTCTTTCAGAGTGGACAATAAAAGGTTCTACTTTGATGTGGGCTCTAATAAATATGGAATTTTCCTGAAGGTAAGTGAGGTGAGACCACCTTACCGTAATACTATTACTGTTCCATTCAAAGCTTGGACAAGGTTTGGGGAGAATTTTATCAAGTATGAAGAAGAGATGAGGAAAATTTGCAACAGCCATAAAGAAAAGAGAATGGATGGCAGAAAGGCCAGTGGTGAAGAACAAGAATGCCTCGACTAGAGTGAAATTGAACTCCATCAGGCAAAATTTAAAATCACAAATTGGCTAAAAGTACTGATCCATTATCCTTTGAAGAAGTTTTTCCTCTTTTTTGGCCCGTTGTTATTAGTAATACCTCTAGTAGTTGATACTTCAGGAAGTCTGATTCTCATGTTATGTTACACATAGATCACTATAATTCTTACGGGAATTCCAACCTTCCCAGAGCTAAATAGTTTAGCTGCTTCAACTGCTCCAGACTATTGAAGTATGCAAATCAGCACAAAATGTGACATTCTGACATTCTAAATACCATAACTAAGATTTACATTGCACTATGACATAATCCCGAAAAAAGATACATATACTTAAATAGAAGTGTGACTTTCCCCCAAAAGTATTTCAATTCTACTTCATTAAAAGCTGCTAAGCTTACCTGTAGGGCAGTTACCACAGAAACAGAAATTGACCTCCGGTATATATAAATATTTACTTATAAAAGTACAAGTAGACGTATATTGTCCGTTGAATAACTGAATATACCATCAAAGGATCAAATCTTATTACCTAATTAAACCTTAAAAATATAATGTCATAATATTTCTTAAGAATACTATAGTATTCTATAATTTCAAACTTTGTGGTAACCCTACATTTTATAGTTGCCATATCAAAGCCATGGGAGAGTTTTAATTCGTTATTCTAAGTTTAGTTACAATCCCTTCTTTACCTCTACTTAATGTTCCATATATTTTTATTGACTTTCCAAAGTTTCAGGAATTACTTTTATGTCACATTGAGTGGGAGGCTTCATCCAATGGCTTTGCTATGGAAATCTTGGTGGTGTAGCTTTTCATGCTAATTTAAAGATTGCAAGAGGTTTCTTCCCCAAAATATATCATGGACTCAAGGTGTTATACTTTATGCTTCTTCTTTAACACTCTTTCAGAAGGGTTGGTGTACCAATTAACTGATATAAAAATATACCTGTAATAATATATTTTAGTAGCACTTTTGCAATTGCTACCCTTAAAACCATGTCAACACTTCCAATATAATCCTGAATTTTACAGGTGTTTTAATTCTGGAGGGGGTGGGGATTTTTTTTTTCTAAAAATAATTTAGAATACAAATTTCCAGTCTGAGAAAAATATTATTTGAAGATTGGTTATAAATATATTTGAAAGGAAAATTCAGGCATTTTCCAAGGTGCTCTTTCTGACTTTACACAAGACTCACCCATTTACCTGTATTAAAAATTACTTTCCAGGAAGTGCCACAGCAATTTTTCAACACCTAAGCAATTTTTTAAACAAGTGGATATAGTGTTATATGTGTACCAACCCATCCTGTATTAATTGACTGAAATTACATCTATTCAGCTATATTTTCTTCTGAATGAAATTATTGTCTTTTATCTTGGCTTTATTCACCTCCCACACAATAAGTCCATCTAATCATATTTAAGAGCCAGAACACTGATTTCAACCCCCAAATATCACTCTCATTGATGAGAGCTGGCTGCATGGATTCAAATCAGAATGTAGCTCTTCTTTTATATGCTAAAAGTAATTTAAAATTATATCAGCGATTTTTTTCTTCCAGAGTTTTGTCCCCCAATACCTTTACGTGAGGTCACTAAGAAAACTTGATGGTATGAATTAAAAAAATTAATTTCATTGGTTTATGTTACTTAAGAACAAGCAATCAGTAACCCCGACATATATACTAGTGTTGGTTTGCAGATTGTATTTCACATTTCCTCTAGTAGCGTGAAGGAATCTCATTAGTTCATTATAATTGTGGACCATCTGGATCACTATGGAACAACTGAAGGTTAGGAGATAATGTTAGTACTAGAGCTAATAGCACATGGTGGGTGTTGAGACTCTAAAAGTAGCAAGGATTTTTAAACAGTCCTAACTGTAAAATAACTATGTAGGCTTGCTAAAAAAGTAGTTTTTGGTCTATGAAGGAATGATGTGCACTTGAATTACTGTACTACTGATTGTTATTGCTGCCCATCATAGTGCCTATTAATAATAATCAACCTGTCAGATTTTGGCAAACTGGAGCTGTGAATATTCTAGTATTTGATTGTTCCTATCGCTATTGCTATGAGTGTATACACTCTCTTAAAGTCTTCCTTTCTAAAATATTTATATCCATTAGGTCTAAATGATTTCCTTTTACCTTTTGGGTCTGATAAGATTTGGGTATGTGTCTATATCTATATATATACACACAGACATATGTATATACATGTATACATATATATGTGTGTATACATACATACAATACCATGTCAGACTTAAAGATAAATATCTTTAACTCATTGTATATAAACATTATTAAATTTAGTTTTCCATTAATTATTTAAGTAAAGAATTAGTTAAGCAGCCAGATTTTCTACTTTGTATGTATACTTCAAAGTTTTTACCATCTCAAAGCTGCAGATTAAATAGATGCATATATACTGGCAATTGAGTATACTCTAAAATTATTAAGCCTTCTGCCAGTCCTTTTGTTTCATTTTTTTCATAGTTAATCATTCAAAAATGAGATGATGCTATGACTTTTTGATACTTAAAATTCCCAAGAATTCATTAGCCGTAATTAAATATGATCCAGTTCAAAACTCTGGTCTTAGGACATGTATTGCCATGTATCTTATAAAATAAGCTACTATTCTTATCTGTGCAATATGCATTTTATTTATTGTCATTTGTAACATACATGGAGCTGCAAGTGTTCATGGTATCCTTCAAAATAACAGAATCCCTGCCTTGAAGACATTAAACTCTTAAGGCAACTGGAAGTTAGAAGTTAAAAAATGAGCATGAAAGTTAGTAACCAAAAGTACTAGTTCACTGTATAATTCTAAAACACTGATGATGTTTGCACCTAATAATCCAAGCATAATGTGGTACAGGCTCAAACTGTAGTAATATAAGCTAATAGTATGAAATTTGGAAACGGGTTCCTCTTGATAGTTGGCAGTGTGCTCCTAGCAATCGAAAGCAGCACTAATCTGTTGCTTTATGCAAAAGATGCAATGTATTATAAAGATATTAAAGTTCCTCTACATTTTATAATTTTCCTTGTTAAAGCCCCAGACTGCCATGTCCCTGAAACTTGAGTCAAACACAAGCTTATTTGCACTAAAGAGCATGGCCAAAAAAATAAATGACAGGGTGGAAAAGCTAGTTGGAACCTCTTGAAATAATTGGTTCTAATATGAGAATTTCACATTTGTCTATTTGAAAGCTGTATGGTCCAGGCAGACAATCTGTCAGTTCACTAATTTAATAATGCACTTTACCTTTTGTATATAGAAGATGTACATTTATGCCACTTGACAGGTGGGATGTGTTTCAATAACTATGTAGCTAGAATCTATAAGGTGATCCCGTGCATGCATATGTTTGTGTTGGAACTGTTGTTGTAACAGGTTTCCATTAAATCAGTGTAATGGAGAAGGGTAGAAGATGCTTTTGAAACAAATCCCAGTATATTTAACAAAGAATTTTAAAGTAGAGTTCACATTTGATGTCTTAAGAACTAGAATAAATAAAATACTATTTCTAACCCAAATTCTTATTACAGTTGAGACTATATTTAGTTGAGATTCCCCACAGTGCCCTGACAGTTAATTTGGGGAATTTGTCTAGACAAAATTTTTTTCAATCATTGTTTCATTGTTGATATGTGTTTAAGTAATGAATAAATATGCAGTACATAATATTATACTCAAATTAAAAGTGTGGTTAGCTGATGTGGCATTATTTAAAGAACATTCAGACTAAAGAAGTAAGGTTTCAAGTTAAGGAAATGCAAGGAACCTATGAACAGTCACTAACACAAATATGATATCTCAGAATTCACAGAAGTACTAACCTTCCCCAACTAAAAAGGGTATTGGGGGATTTAGTGTATCCTTCCATCTTAAAAGCTTCTTAAGATGTACATTTGAAAACTAGATAACTGTTGCTTAATAATACTTTACTGAGAAACACTGTGTACTAACAATTCATCAAGAGTGTGCTATATTTACTGAGTTCATTTTATATCTATAGATAAGAATAAATTATATAGTCATCCTACCTTAATATAATCATGTATTTATATTGTAATTTTGCAAATATTTTCCATAAAATAAACATTTATCTGAGCTGCACAATTTGAAGAGGATGAAACTGGAATATACCCTCAGATGCTCATTTTAAATAAGCAGCTACCATTGAAAGCTGATGTATGTATTATCATTCCTTTAAATTTGGGTTTATGGTATATTTTAATATTTAAATGAATAGGACTTAATTTGAATTTTAAGTGGTTTTCTGAAAATAATTTTTTCATAAGTGTGAGCTTTTTTTCCTTCTTATCTCCAAATGTTTTTCATTGGAACTATTTATGAAATCCTATTCAAAGCTTTATGTAAGGGGTTTGCTTAGTCACCACTTAGTTTGAAGTCTGTCTTTACTAAAACACCAAACATCTTTGACAACATACAAAGAGGAGTTAACATTGATTCTATGCCTACAGAATAATACAGGTGTAATATTTATCACGGCCTGAAAAGGATCTTAAATCCTTCTGAAATTTCCTTAAATATTTCTTGAATTTCAAAGAGAAATGGTGGCTAATGGCTAGCCCATCAGAGAAAAAGAATAAGTATGTTAACATGCTGTTGAAACAACTCATAGTCCACCATACTGTAGCAATGAAGTTCAGGGAAAATGTGTTTTTCCCAACTTAATATCATGTGAAAATTGGGTTTTCAGATCACAGTAACTCTGTCGTAAAGAAAATATACCCAAATTTAGTAGGTAGAGCTTAGAAAAATAATATAAGTATATATTTTCATGTATAATGGAAAAAATCCGTACTTGTTATTAATTTGACATGCTATTTTAAATCATTTAAATTTATTTTGGTAATGAGATTTTAATCAATATTTTTGAATAGGGAAAAACATACATATAGTACAAAATGGAAACAGTACAGATGGGTAGAGGGTGAAAAGTAGCAACCAATGTTAGCAATTTCTTGTGTATCCTTCTAGAGTTACTCTGCATATACAAGTATATGTGTATGTATATATATATATATATATATATATTCTTTTTAAAACATACAGATGAAAACATATTATATATACTATCTTGTACCTAGTAGATTCAATTTCAGATCTGTCATTTTAAGTGACTTTTTTTTAACTTAGATATCATACTTGAGCTAGTTAACATATCACTTAATTTGAAATATATTAACTATACCAAGGAAATATCAAGGAAATTTTGAATGAATCCCATTGGTATTTACTTAAAGTGCAAATATATGTGTATTTTAAATATACAAATATTCAGTTCATCCTACTAGTTTCCTTTCTCTCTTCCTAGCCATCTTGCCTTCCTGTATTCCCCTCACAAATATATTGGTCTTTTTCCTGAAGTAGTGCACTTCAGGAGTGCCAGGATATTAAATAATTTAACCAAGTGTTATCTTAAACCGTATTCCCTAATGAAAAACACCCATATTTAAAAGCTTTAATAAAGTATCACGTTCAGTCAATTTTTACTAATTCTGTTACTATTATCTTTATCCAAAGACCTTGCCCTTATAAGAGCAAATGAGTATTAGAACTATAGTAAAAAGGTATATTTCTGTTGAAATACTTTATTAGCATGAAGCCTTTATCTTTATGAGAAAGGTATAATGTTCATTTAGCAACCTCATCAAATCCAAGTTTAAGCAAATAGGTAACTCTAGACCCGATTGTTTAAAGCATTGATTTTTCACTGAAGGACCAAGAGTCTGTCAGTAGTCTTGGGACCAAAGGCAGTGGGATGATTTGGGGAATGAGTAAAAACTGGAGTGCTGTGAGGTTACAAGTACAGCTAAACTGTCTCTCTGGTGGAAGAATATAAAATGGTCAATATAATTTTTTAATGAAGTTAGCATTATTACTAGTCCTATAAACATAAACAAAGCTGCCTTAATAGTTTTGTGAGCACCCGTCCCCAAAAATCATAATTCTCTTTTCATTCCCATCAAGAGTGCATTTTGATATGACTTTTCTATTGACCACCAAGAAAAAATTATCTGAAAAATGAAAGATCCCATACTTGAGTCCTGAAAGATGCTATCTAATTATGAATTAAAGCAACCAGAGTAAAAGATCCAATACAATTGTAAATATCTTTAAAAATGTGGGTTGAGGAAGAAGAATTTTTTCATGGATTGGTATCCGTGAATTTTATGAACATGTCATAAGGTTTAAAAATTTAAAGCATTGCTTTAAACTTTAGAATAATAACTCTATATTTGGTAGCATAATGTCCTGTTTACAAAATGAAAGAGGTGTTGTTAAAAGATAAGATCCTCTTAAACATATTTTAAAAGCATAAAAGTTTGCTCCCTTTATTTTCATGCTGAATAATTCATTATAAAATTCATTAAAAATTCATCTTTAGGAATGAATTTTGCTTAAATTTAGGCTAAAGCATATTAATAATTTCCCATCCTTAATTGAAGAGCTTCCCATGTTGGTGCTTTCTGGTAAATTATATTTTTCAAACTTTATGTTCTTTTGAATATTTCTTATGAAAAATTACATATTTTTATTGAGGCCAGTGACATCCACCAGTAAATAAAAACATAATGAATTAGTGCTGCTATAGTGAAGTTACTTTGTGATATGAATATGAAGAAAAAAACTCATTTAAATGGAATATATACTTTCCTGTTTAATATTGTTTACTTATTTCTGATTAAGTAGCAGTTCTCTGTCTTCACATTTTACCCTCTTAAACTTAATTTTTGCAAAAAATTTTTCTATTCGGTTTTCATTTTCCTAGGGAAAGGGAAAAATTGTCCCTGATGAAAAGTGTTTATAGTATTTAAAAGAGTTGCTCAAAGTGTAAGACTGGGGAAAAAAAGCTTATGTTGTTTTTTTTGTCTTTATCAAAATAATGGTATAAATCTGATTATCTTACTTGATCTGATTAAAGTCAGGATTACTTTTATCAGAAACTTTTATATTCAAAACATATTTAGTATTTTATTTTTCTTAAAGAAAATGGTTCTCTTGGATAATACAGAAATCTTCAGGATTTTGTTGTGGATTCAATGAGGTTGTTGCCTAGAGGTGGCAAACAGAAAAGAAAAAATAGAAAAGAGAAAGACAGTGGCTGATTATTTTGCTTGTCTGTAACGAAATTCATCTAAGAGAAATAAGTCATTCTCAAAACTCAACCTCTGTTTAACCTTTAAAAGAGCATTTGAGAAAGAATAATAAGACGTAATTCTGCCAAGGTGCGGCCTGACCCTGAGTAAATCATTCAACTTCTGTTGGATGATTTCCTCATGTGAAAGATGAACAGTATTGTGCTGGAAGCTAAGGTTCCCTCCTACTCTAAATGTTTAAAATTCTGTATCAGTGGACTGTGAAAGGAAAAATAGATGGATAATACCAGAGTTGGAAAGTGTGAGAGTTTATCTGTTTACATTAAAAACAACTATAATGATGCAGCAACCTGTGATGATACCCAACGGAACAATGCAAAAAAATGTCAGTTTTATAATATGTATGTATTTCTTTAGCCACACAAAATAAAATTTTGTTTCTAGTCCTTATTAAGACCAAGTTGTTGTATACTAACTACGTAACTATCCTAAACTTTAATTTTTTAAAAGGAATATTTTTAAATATTGATTATTTCCCATCTCCTTATTATATCAAATATCTCATTATTTGGAAGGAGCATTGCTTTTTTCTGCATATTCTGTAATCATTTTTTATATTCTGCATGGCAAAGGAATTTTACAGATTAATATCACTTCCTGAAATGCCATTTTTCCTAAAATAACCATAGATCACATTGCCAAATAATACTGCAGCTGTCATGGTAGTGGTCCCTACTGTCTTCGATTCCTTTTTGTTGATCCTGTCCAATATCCTATGCTAGAAATAATGATGTCTGACAAAGACCATCAGAAAGGATACTGACCTGTGAACTGTATGGTTCTGTTTTAGAGGACTTGTAACTACTAGGGTATGCAAAGATTAAACATCTAATGGTTTGGGGGTTTTTTTTAGCCTTAAGAAACGTCAAAGGATGGTGATTGGAAAAGAGAAGAAGCAGCACACAAGGGTTTTGTCTTAGAAGCATTTATTTTATTTATTTATTTATTATTACTTTTTTTTTTTTTTGAGATGCAGTCTCACTCTATCGCCCAGGCTGGAATGCAGAGAAGCATGTATTTAAGCACCCCAGTCCTCAGCTATGCAGTGCCCCGCCACTGCCAGTGAAGAGGCTTAAAAAAGAGTGACATGTTTCTCCCTAGACCTCTCTTTTAGTGCCTATTTGTTTATCAGAGACTCCATTTAAGGGTAACTGAAGTGTATTTTCAAGTGCATATGCATGTGTATTTTGCTAATTTCAAAAGTTTCTGTGCACATAAATTCCATTACGGAAACATTCCATATGATAACTAATCTTTGCCCTGGTGGTGGTTCAAAATAGCAATTTGGTTGGTCTGTTTTCAACAAATTCTATAGAATGAATTGGCTGTTGTTAGAAAATGTTTTCTCTCTTTTCTCCTCCCTCTTCTCAAAATAGCAGATACATTTTAAATCCTTGATTGCTTCTTTTTCAGTGGTGTTTGAAATCTAAGTGGGATTTGAGAGAATAGTTTAGTTTGGCAGTTCTTTACCCTTGCCATTTTGTAGAAACTTTCCTCAGCTTCCCATCAGATATTCTAAGCAACTTTACCAAAAGAAGTCACCTACGTGCCAAAACTGCCGAGCAAAATAAAACAACAGAGCCATAGAAAATGATGTAGGAGTAAGGATAAAGATATATACAGACACCCAAATTCACAACATTCCTTATCATTTGCTAATTTACTTCAGAGACTGTTGTATTTTATTTCTTGGTTCTTCAAACTAGCAATGTGGTTTATTCCAATGATTTGTCAGTCTAGAATGTCAATAGAACAAAATCTTTTGCTGCTTAGTAAATGTTCCAAAAAGGGTATCTCATGTTATAATCAGTTGTAAAAATAGAATTCTAAAATTCCATTCATTATAATCCTCTTTCCTTCTTCCCTCCTGTACACTGTACCCTATTGGAAGTGGGTAAGGGCATTAATTTCTTTCACTATCACATGGACCCACTCCATCCTATTTATTTGTTCAGAAGACAATTGAAACATAATAGAGACCAGAGCTGCTCTTTGAAAATCTAGAAATTGCCCTGTGAGCTTGATCTATAGACTGTAAGAAAGAAGGGTTACTACTTCACTGAACTGTTCTCCACGCTCTTGCCAGATTTCTATATGACAGTTTAGGATGAATAGAAAACAGATTTGACTTGGGATGACATGAACTGAAAGGTCAGTTCCTCCAGCTTTTCAATACACAGTGCATCTTCAGAAAATATTTTTGACGAGCATGATTGACAGGTAATTTCAGAAATGAATTTAGGCTGGGTGTGGTGGCTCATGCCTGTAATCCCAGCACTTTGGGAGGCCAAGGCGGGCGGATCACTTAAGTTCAGGAGTTCAAGACCAGCCTGACCAACATGGTTAAACTCCGTCTCTACTAAAAATACCAAAATTAGCCAGGCATGGTGGCACGCTCCTGTAATCCCAGCTAGTCAGAAGGCTGAGGCAGGAGAATCGCTTGAACCTAGGAGGCGGAGGTTGCAGTGAGCTGAGATGGCACCACTGCACTCCTGCCTGGGCAACGGAGTGAGACGCCATCTCAAAAAAAAAAAAAAAAAGAAAGAAATGAATTTGGTCCCTAGAGAAGTTTCACCATGACCATTTTAAAAGAGCAGGTGGTAAGAAAAGGAAGAGTCAATTAAGATTTATTAGTAGTAATAACTATTGCTTATGGACCACCCACTGTATACTAGACATAGCTGGGCCCCTTATAGCTACTATTCCTAATCCTTATAACAACCCTATTATCCCCATTTTCATATGATTTTCCAGAGGTTTATAAACTGGTTCAGAATATCAGAACTAATGTATTTGAACCCAAATTTACACCAAAGCCAACGATTGTGCCCGTTCAGTTAGGCCAAACTGCCTTTCAGATTTCCTATGAAGCTGATCCTTCCAACTCTAATAAAGCACAGTCTACCCCCAGCCGCCACTATACATCTGCCTCAGCTTACTTGGAATTATTTTATCCAAAACCGTCCCCTATATGTGGGACTAGTCTCACCAAAGAGACACTTGGCTTATATGAGGATTCCATTGGTTAAAGTTGGTGCTAATAAATACAAGTTATTTGATCTTTAGTTTACAGATAAAACCTCTAATCTTGATCAACTATTTCCAATAAACTTTTTAAAGGGATCATAACTTTTTAAAGGGATCAGATCATAAGAATGTAGAAGAGCTTCACAGTTTCATCCCTAAGGGCAGAGAGGAGACAAATTACTATTCACCATGGGTCTACAATTTCATTTTCATGAACCAAAAACAACTGGTTACGTTATCTTAGTTTCAAAATAAATCTTATCAATATTTTTGGAAGTTTTATTGATTTCTTACAACTTTTTCCTGCCATCTTATTGATGTCTCACAACTTTTCCTGCCATACTCCTCCCTATATCATTCCACTCATTTTCATATTTAATTACCAAATTTCCTCCTCTTTCTCTTAATTCCAGTACAATAAACAGATAATTCTCCATTTACAGATACATATTTTTCCCCATTACTATAGGGCACTAATTTTCAAACTTCAGTGTGAATACAAATCATCTTGATGGTTTGTTAAACCACAGATTGCTGGCCCCAGCTCAGAGTTTCTGTTCAGTAGGACTGGTGAGGTGGGGAGAAGACCAAGAATATGCATTTCTAACAGTCCTAAGGAGAGTGGATGCTGTGATCTAGGGGGACCGCACTTTAAGAACCACACTGCTGTCAGCTGATGAGATTTTACCTTAGCTACAGAAGATAGTGATGGAAAAACTCGGTCAAAACAACTAGGGTATCTGGGTAGAAAGAAGACTGAGAGCTACTCCTTCTTCTGCCTTGACAAGCTTACAAATCTTGAAACAAGCAACTTTTTAATAAGTTGACCAGAGTTTTGTAAAAAATTATTTTCTTCCCTTTTGAATAACCTTTCTGATTCCCTCTCATTTTTCAACAGCTATCTTGAGAGAAATCTGATAGGAATTAACAGTTATGAAGCCTCATGTGAAAAGCTTAGCTTTTAAATATATGGAGACTGATGCATATTTTTAATTTATTTTGTAATTATAGTATATAAATCTTGGTAAAGAAAAGTGAACAATTTCTCTACCTAAGAATTATTAATACAAGTTTAATGACTATTAAATATTAGGACTTAAAAGACCTTGGAATTAATTTAATCCCTTAGTTTTCCATTTTGTGACATACATCATGTAGCTCAAATTGTTCATAGTTACTAGAATACGCTAAGTAAACAGAATTTAAAGGCTAGAGCTTAAATTGCTGATTATCTCAAGATATATAAATGGTGAGAAATATACTAATTTCTTCTAAAAGCATATCGCATTTTTACCATCTTCCTGTATCCTCTCTGTACGTATAGAATGGAGGAACTATATACTGTACTGTGTTTATAGTACCTTTTTTTGTCTTCAAACTCTGCCTCCCAGGTTCAAGCGATTCTCCAGCCTCAGCCTCCCGAGTAGCTGGAATTACAGGCGCGTGCCACCACGCCCAGCTAATTTTTGTATTCTTGGTAGAAACAGGGTTTTGCCATGTTGGCCAGGCTGGTCTCGAACTCCTGACCTCAGGTGATCCACCCGCCTTGGCCTCCCAAAGTGGTGGGATTATAGGCATGAGCCACCACCCCCAGCCTACAGTACTTTTCTTTAGATCAGCAATTGAACTCACTGCTTTAAAATTAGAGATATTGGGCCAGACATGGTGGCTCACGCCTGTACTCCCAGCACTTTGGGAGGCCGAGGCGGGTGGATCACAAGGTCAGGTGTTCGAGACCAGCCTGGCTAACATAGTGAAACCCCATCTCTACTAAAAATACAAAAAATTAGCCAGGCATGGGGATGACAGAGTGAGACTCCATCTCACAAAAAAAAAAGAAAAAAGAGATATTGGCTGGGCATGGTAGCTCACACCTGTAATCCCAACACTTTGGGAGGCAGAGGCAGGCAGATCATTTGAGGTCAGGAGTTCAAGATCAGCTTGACCTACATAGTGAAACCCCGTCTCTACTAAAATACAAAAATTAGCCAGGCGTGTTGGCAGGCTCCTGTAATCCCAGCAACTTGGAAGGCTGAGGCAGGAGAATCACTTGAACACAGGAAGTGGAGATTGCAGTGAGCCAAGATTGAGCCACTAGACTCCAGCCTGGGCAACAGAGCAAGACTCCCTCTAAAAAAAAAAAAAAAAAAAAAAAAATTAGAGGTGTTTCACCTGAACACTCATTGAGCCCATTTTCTATAACTAACATATTTTTAAATAATTTATTCTATGCTTGACAACCTTGTAGATATTCTGTACTATAATTAATATGTTGATCAAAATTAAAGCCATATATATATATATATATATATATATATATATATTTTTTTTTTTTTTTTTTTTTTTTTTTTTTTTTTTTTTGAGACAGAGTCTCGCTCTGTCACCCAGGCTGGAGTGCAGTGGCGCGATCTCGGCTCACTGCAAGCTCCGCCTCCCGGGTTCATGCCATTCTCCTGCCTCAGCCTCCCGAGTAGCTGGGACTACAGGCGCCCGCCACAACGCCTAATTTTTTCTATTCTTTAGTAGAGACGGGTTTTCACCATGTTAGCCAGAATGGTCTCGATCTCCTGACCTCGTGATCCGCCCGCCTCAGCCTCCCAATAATAAAACCATATTTTATGTCTAAATCTATATAATATCTATAACTATATATAAACCTTAATGCTGTCATTCTAGTGGATTACATTGTATTGAAGTATTAAATTAATTCATACATAGACATTTGGCAGTTCTGCAAGTTCATTGACTTCTCTTAACAGCTACTACCTTTGAATGATTAGCACTCCAGAACACTGAATGAGTTCCTAATTGTGAAAATGATTAACTAACTGCTGACATAACAGAGATAGTCACAAACTCAAATGGATCATTACAGGCAATGTAACTTTTTTAAAAATTCTCTATTCATTTGCATTATGGCTACAAGATAAATTTTAGATTTAAAAAAATTAAGTGTTAGAATTATACTTTGAGTAGGCTTCAGGCAGAATAAATTTATAGTAGACTTCAGCTCAACATTAGGGCAAACTTTAAGGATTGCATGACTTCTCTGCTCCTGGAATTAATTATTTAGGCACGCACTGAATGTGGGATGCATAAAGGGAATTAATAAATCAGAAAAGGTGAATTGTTATGGCTCAGATTCTTCTCCACTCTGAGGGATTCAGAATTTATTGGAAATAATCATTGGAACTTTTGCCTTCAGGCCTTCTGTTAATTTACTGGTTTGGATAAAGAAGTGTGATTTCAAATTTTCTAATATTATTGTGAAAACATATAAAGAAAAGAAATCCTTCTTCCCATCCTTTGTTATTGCAAAACAACGTAAGAACTAGGTTTTAAATTTTCATGAACTTTATTAATTAAATGACTAGTTAAATAGAATTTATGAAATTTATTCTGTAAGATTAAGTCTACCTTTTATAATCTTCAAAGAAACTTTTCACTTTCAATCTGTTTTCAAAAATATGAAGGAATAAATTTAGTATTTATAGTGCTATTTCAAAAGTACCTGCTGTCGGTTTATTTAGAATGACACAAGAGGCAATAGGGTAAATTGGAAAACCAAATTATTGGATATTATCAAATTTTTTCTTTATAAAATTCACATTAAATTCTGTTTAAAAGTCGAAACATCTATAATATCTTTCTCCATTTTTTCTTGCACTGCTAATTAAGGTGGAAAGAAGCAACATCGTTTGCTAATTTCATCTTAAATTTTTTGTTTTAGACAACAAGTTTCCAAGTAAGTTCATTATTGCTACAAATGCAATCATATCTAAATTCAGGACCTAGTGAATTCATATGAAACTCGATTCTGCCTGGTGGTGTCCACTTTTTTCTTGTCACTTCTTCTAATCATCTGTGCTTTCTTGTGATACTGTAACATTTCCAGATTTCAAGTGGGCAAATAGTAGCTTTTATGGAGAGATCTGAGTGATTTAAATGTTATCACACAAACATCTATAAACTATATTGCACATTTCTAAATATTTGGCTAAGCAAATTTTATTCCTCCAGATAAATATTACATACCCTTTATATATAATAGATAGATATAGATATAGATATATAATCTCTTATAGAGAGTATGTGTAATATATATTAAACATACATATATTGCACATGCATATATATACAATTTTTTACATATATATGTAAAAATTTTTAAAAGAGATCCCAATCCTATTCACCTTTTTCTTGTCCCTGGAGAAGTAGTGGTAAATGGGTTTCATCTCGCTTGTATTTGCAATTGATTGGCTGCCCTAAAGTGCTGTGTTTGTATCTACAGGGAGAGGGAAAAAACAGTGTTCATGCCAAATATTTGCTATTTATCATTCCTGCTTTAGAGACATAAAAGTTTTCATTGTAGCTCTAAAAATTTCTAGCTTAGCCAGATAGCTGGCAGTTGCAGCACAAACTACCATGTGACTCACCTGGAATGTGTCTCTTCTAATATGTGAAAGAGATTATTTGAAATCTCTTTCCTTTTTTCTTTTTTCTTTTGATCATCTCTCCTTTAAAAGAGCAGAGCATCTCCACTATGCCTCTGAGAAACTAGAATGATGGCCATGATGATGTCATCAAAGATACTCTTAAGTATTAAACTCTACATTTGCTTCTAATGAGTTCTAACCCCCATTAAAATGACAGCAGTTGCATCCTTTAAAATTTAGTCCAGTGATTCTCAAACACAAGTGTGCAGGTGTATTAAATAAAAATACAGGTTTGGTCCCCATCCTCAGAGATTCTGATTTGATTGGTTCAAGAGAGGGGTTCAGAAATTGGCATTTTTCATCGTCTTACTCATTCTGATACAAGTGGTCTGGAAGCCACTCTTTGTCATTCACTTAGACTGTGGACTTGCGTTCTTTCTTTTTTTTTTTTTTTTTTTTTTTTTTTTGGTTCTTGGTAGACTTGCATTCTTTCTTCCATATCGTTTTTCCAGCACAAATTGCTTAAGTTTTAAATACTGTCAGTCATGACACCATGGAATGATGATTTTTTTGGTTACAATATTAATAAGTAGTATCCAGGGCTCACTTTATTTTATTTATTTATTTATCTATCTATGTATTTATTTATCTATTTATTTATTTATTTTTGAGACAGAGTCTCACTCTGTTGCCCAGGCTGGGGTGCAGTGGTGCGATCTCAGCTCACTGCAACCTCCACCTCCCAGGTTCAAGTGATTCTCATGCCTCGGCCTCCTGAGTAGCTGGGACTGCAGGCATGTGCCACTGTGCCTGGCTAATTTTTGTATTTTTGATAGAGACAGGGTTTCACCATGTTGGCCAGGCTGGTGTCAAACTCCTAGCCTCAGCTGACCTGCCCGCCTTGGCCTCCCAAAGTGCTGGAATTACAGGTGTGAGCCACTGTGCCTGGCCTTGGTTTGTTTGTATGTTTTTGTCGTTGTTTGTTTGTTTGTTTTTGAGACAGGGTCTTGTTCTGTCACACAAGCTGGAGTGCAGTGACCCAATCACAGCTCACTGCAGCCTCGACTTGGCAGGCACAAGCAGTCCTCCCACCTCAGCCTCCCAAGTAGCTGGGACCATAGGTGCATGCCACCATGCCTGGCGAATTTTTTTTTATTTTTTGTAATGACAGCATCTCTTTATGTTGACCCAGCTGGTGTTAAAGTCCTGGGCTCAAGCATTTCTCCCACCTCAGCCTTCCAAAGTGCTGGGATTACAGGCATGAGGCACTGCACCCGGCCAGGGCTCACTTTAAACACAGAGAGGCTAAATGCATAAATCCAGGTGTTTAAGATTTTGTATGCTATCATATTGGCCAGCTTTCTGGGCAGTGATTACTGGAAATGCCAGTTTCTCACCCGCCTCCTAAACTCAAGTTCTGTCTGTCTGGTCTTACTTGACATCAGTCCACTGGTTTCATACTCCCTGGATTTCACAACCAAACATTCAGAGTCTTCAGAGCCAAGCGACTGGTCTTTCAGTCTCAAAAGTTGACCCTTTACGTCTCAAATGACATTTCTCAACCTCTTTTTTTTTTAAAATATATATGCAGTATAAACCTATCATTTATCAGGAGTAGAAAAAAATTGCCTTAGTCAATCTAGTTAATCTTTGAATGCCTCACTTCTGGTGGTGGTGTGTTTGTTTGTTTGTGTGTTTGTTTTCAATTGTGGTTAAAAAAATGCATAGCATAAAATTTACCATCTTAAGCATTTCTAAGTGTTCAGTAATGTTGTGTTCAGTAGCGTTAAGTATATTCACCTTGTCATGCAACCAATCTCCAGAACTTTTTTGTCCTGCAAAACTGAAAAGCTATATCCATTGAACAACTCCCCATCTTCCTTTCCCCCGCAAGCCTGGCAACTACCATTACACTTTCTTCTCAACCTTTTCTTTAAAATAAGCAATATGTTTTCTTAACCTTTCTCCCATCCATAATGGGTTTACAGTTATTGCTATTTAGCTCTCCAAGTATAAAGCTTATCTCCTGTATTGTTAGAATTCTCACATGCAAAAAGATTTACAATTACAAAGCAATTGTGCTAATAAGATATGCTTATAATCTTTGAGTGAAGGTATTTTATCCTGGAAGCTTTTCCACTGATTTACAGGGGGAGGTAAGCCTTTATTCCTCTTGAGACCTATGGATCTCACTTTATGCTTCCTGGCTGGTTTGGTATTTTATTTGTTTGTTGAAGGTTTAAGTTTAGAGTTACCAGGGCAATTAGGCTTAAATCCTAGAATTTCCTTGGCTTTTTCCTGTCTACATTCTAAGACTGTTTTACCATAACACTTTATAACGTAAGTAGTAGATTGGAAGTTTTTCTGGAATTTGACAAATTAGTGTTTACTAAATGATTTAATAATCTTTGCTTATTCAGTATAAAATGGTTTACCTTTAAACAGCTTTAATAGAAACACAATTTGGGAGGAAATAGGTAAAAAATAAAAATGTATTTTTCTGCAAATGAACTGTTTCAAATGTTATTTTCAAAATCTTTGGCAGTAAGAAAATACTCAACCCGAGAAATAAATTTTTTAAACTCTTATTCTGTAAAAGTTTTTCTTTTGAAACATTTCTCTTCCTCTGTTATTAAAATTTTTTTAAGAAATCAATAAAAGCTTAAAGTCTTATAAGCAATACACATCTAAATAACCAAAAATGCTATAATTATGAGTATGCTGCTTATGATCCTCCCATAGGGAAAAACATCTGTCTTTTCTTGGCCTAAATTATTTCAGAGCTAGCACAAAAACTGATTGATCATGACTCTTGGATAATGATAACTAAGTCTTCGTTTCATGAATTTAACAATTTGTATCAGTGCTACCTTATGAGTTTTTCAGAAAAATGCTATTTGTATTGAACCATTTTAAATAATTCCATAATCTGGAATAATTCAGATTTTTTTAATGATCTGCTGCAACATATTGGTATTATTGAATCTCATTTTTTCTTTGATTTCCATTATAAAATTAGAAATATTTTCTGGGAGAAAAAATACTCCTTGAGTTGAAAAGATTTAGTGAAGGAGTTGTGTTGCAGCTGATTCAGTAATGTTCCAGGCAATTAACCTTTTTTTGTTTTCAGCGCTCCTCTCACTCTTTAAGATCTTTCCTCATTGATCATCATACCACCCCAAAATCACAGAAGTTTATTTAATTCCATGCGTTCCTCAGAGCACGTGATGTCAGAACTTAACCTCCCCTCAATTTTCAGCTTCTAACCTAAGCTGGACACTAATATTTTGCCAGTAGGAACCTTTTATTTTTTGAGACAGTTTCGCTCTTGTTGCCCAGGCTGGAGTGCAGTGGCGCGACCTCGGCTCACTGCAACCTCCGCCTCCTGGGTTCAAGTGATTCTCCTGCTTCAGCCTCCTGAATAACTGGGATTACAGGCGCCCGCCACCATGCCTGGCTAATTTTGTGTTTTTAGTAGAGACGGAAGTTTCACCATGTTGGCCGGGCTAGTCTCGAACTCCTGCCTCAGGTAATCCTCCTGCCTCGTGCTTCCAAAGTGCTGGGATTACAGGCATGAGCCGCCGCGCCCGGCCAGGAACCTTTATATGGTACAATGAATTCCAGCCTGAAAATTCCCCAAGTTCTGAGCCTTTACTTCATACATATTTACCAAATATATCAATTATTATATTAAACTTAGAATGAAGAATGACTGTAAGATTTATAATGACTAAAGTTAGTTTGCATTATTTTTCTTCAAGCGTTATTAAACCGTACTCCTCTTTAAGCAAGTTTTTGGGTCACTAGGTAACTATGTGATTTGGTTTGTTGATCACCATTTATTGTTTGACTCACTTTTTCAAAGGCCCAAATATTATATTTAATGACATACCAAGCTCTAATTCAAGCAGTGCCCTCTGTTAAGGTGATTTGCATCTGACTTGAAGCATATTAAATAAAATCTACATTTTATTTGATGCAAATGTTTTATATTTATATAAAAAATTAATCTTGGGTAAACACAACTTGATTCTTAAATTAGATTCTTAATAACTCAATTCTAAATGATTACTTATTAAATTTGTCACAAAATAACTATAAAGTGAACGTGAATGCTACATTACTCAGTATATCTATGCTATAATTAATAAACTCCAAAAATTAGTTGTGTATTATTTGGACTACTATTTCAATCATTCAGAAATTTGTTTTAAAAAATCCTTGCAGTCTTGCTGCTGACTTCATAGCGTGCAGTAGTGTGATATGGAGATGATGCACTGTCTTTCAGAAGCCTTGGCTCTATGCCTTCTAGCTGGGCCTGGGGCAAGTCATTTAGCCTCTGTGGACCCCAGCTTGCTTATCCATAAATTGAGGGAATTGGATCAGAGTGATGATCTCTAAGAACCCCTTCAATTTCTGTATCCCTGAAGTCAGTGAAACTTCTCTTAAAGTTAGTTTCTACTTTCTTCTTTGGCCTTTTCTCATTTTCTTCCCACTCCCCTTGGTTTCGTCTCTCATCTGACATTTATTGACCATCCTTTCCTTCTTGGCATGGTTCATATTTAGTTATGGCCACTTTACAGTGTTGCAGTATGCTGCTTCTCTGCCTAATTTGCCCAGTTCCCATTTTTACCCTGCCATTTTAATTTTACATATAAATTATCTTGGAACTAACACAAAAACTAGTTGATCATGATATATTATATATATAATCAATAAGACTTATCTTTTGGCCCTGTACACAAAAGTTTTAAAGAGGCAATTCTTCCAGTTCCAAGAGATTTTTTTAGACACACAACCTAAAACTTGTTGGAGTATATTTTAAACTTAAGTTTCCCATTTGAAAAATCCTAACTCCTTAACTTGCATTTAAGTTTAAAAGCAGAGACAGTTTCTTCCTCTTTTGTATTCCCCTCTCCACCTTGCACTGGGCTGATTACTTAAATCATCTCTTTTCACTTAATCACCAGCATTCCTGTTCCTGTTTTGTCTTTGAAATCTTGTTGCTTCAGAATCACGGTACTTAACAGACAAATCTAAATGGCGACAATTGTTAATGAAAGCGATAGTTTTAAAACCTAACCAAAAATGCTATGTCATCTTTATTTCAAAGATGACTCACAATTAAAGGATGATTTGTTGCCTGCACACCCTAAATTTTATTTCAGAAATATTCTTTCCCTTGCTTAATGGATAAGTGATGTTGTTCCTCTACTCATTCAATGGACATTGAGTAGCTACTTTTTGCCAGGTTCTGTGCTAGGGTCTAGGGATACAATAACTTAGGAAAGACAAATATTTCACTGCCATTAGCTTTAAGTGTGCCATGTCCAAAGTTATTTGATTCAAAGCAGCTTTTGGAGCCTAATTACAGTATCATTTTGTTCATTCAACAGATATTTATTTGATTATCTGCCATGTGCTAGACAGTTTGTTGGTACATATGGAAGTGTATTTAAAGCTATCTAGTATAAAATGCTATGCATTATTTTTCCCTTATCAATTTATCCTTTAAATATGATTATCTACATACTGTCATAGTGCTCAAAATATATTTCATTGATGCAGATTTAGAGAAATACAATGATACTATTTTAAACAATAATTCTGTCTTCCTCATTCCAAATCTGCCTTGATGTCCTAGGGTGAAAATAACTATTCTGTTTCATTTCATGTGCCATTGTGTTCAAGTGGTAATGACTACCTGAGTCCTAGGTTGGAGATGATTGTGAAGCTCCATTCAGGCCCATGGTAAAAGACTGCGATGATTTCTGTATGTTGATGGGGCAGTTAGATGAGGAAAGCAAGGAGTAGCTATATACATGTCACATGTTAGCCCTTCCTGCCCCAGGCTTTTGTATTCATCATCACTAATTTTATTTCACTCTCATTGCATATTCAGTATATTCACAAATTCTTTTTCTCCTCATATGTTTGGATTGACAAAAATCCATCAGTGTTCTCAGCTATGATGACTATCTCACCAATGTCTTAGCCAACCAAATGAGATTTACTAACACCTCTGTGTCAGTAAATCCACAGTTGTAATAATTTTCACTGTAGAGACATTGCAATGAAGACAATTAATAGATAAATTCAGTTAATCATGAGTACCAAAAATTTGTCCTGAAAGTTTTCCATAACTGGTCATTAATTATGAAATATTTTCTAATTCAATTAAATATAAAAAGAATGTGTAATTTTAAATTATAATAATTTACATATACGTTAAAATCATTTTCCAAGTTCTTTTTTCTATTATACCTCATTTTACCCTGATGAAACTCCTGATTTAGATTAGTTCAATATCACTGTCCCCACTTAACAGATGAAGAAAACCAAAGCCCAGCAGGTGAAATGGTTTGCTGTAATCACTTAGCTGCCTAATAAAAATACCAGGGTTTTAACAAGCCCACTGCTCATTGAAGCCTTTTATATTAATAATAACATAGAAATTTAAAGAGGTAAACTTGAAATCAAAATTTGGCAAAATTAAGCATATATGTTTATAGCTCATTTAAAGAGTTTTTTTGAAATGCATTCTAGGTATTTTGTTGCTTTCATCACATCTTTAGGCTCAATTCTGCACTCAGTAAACTCTTGGTTTTGGCCCTGGCAGAAGGCCTAGCAACTCATTGGTGCTCATGTCTGTGCACCAGCTGCTTGCCGACCTCAGCCTCTGCCTCAAACTCTGAGCCTTTGTCCTCTGTGCTTAAGACTCCCTGCCTGAGCTTCCCACCTTAGCTAACCTTCCAGAACTTGACGTTTCCTCACCTGTTAACCCAAGTCTTGTCATGGCACCTGCTTTGCAGAATAGCCCTCTAAAAGTGATATCGTTTAGAGGATTTAAGATGTAAAACTACATTTGCATAATAAGTTTGGTTAATTAAACAGCGAGTAAATCTTTTCCCTGCATTCCATTTTTTATTATTTTTTTATTTTTTATTTTTTCAAGACAGGGTCTTGCTTTGTCACCCAGGCCGGAGTGCAGTGGTGCAGTGACGGCTCACTGCAGCCTTGACTTCTGGGGCTTAAGTGATCCTCCCGCCTCAGACTCCTGAGTAGCTGGTACTACAGGCATGCACCACCATGCCCAGCTATTTTTCCTATTTTTTGTGGACACAGGGTCTCACTATGTTCCCTAGACTGGTTTTCCCTCTACATGCTTATGAACAAGAGATAAATGACCACATGATAAGTTAGAAGCAGACTTTTTCAGAAACCTGTTTGAAAGGAATGATCCAGGTTTTATGAAATCAACTCAAGAACCCACTGTTCTTCATCTGCATCAGTACCATCATTACAGTTGTTGACAGTGAAGGCCCTAGAGCACTGCAGTATTCTCATTTGTGCATGCAAAATTTAATCACATTTATTATGTTGTATTTATTAAAGCAGAAAATCGAAATAATACATGTTAGAAATATTTCCATTTCAATAGGATTAAAAGCATACTGTTAGCTAGGAATTGCTGTTAAGTAAATGACTTCGCTCCCTGACATTCCCAGTTAACCATGGTTTTGTAGCATCACTGAGGAACTGGCAGGCTAAATTCTGAATTCTTACATGCAGACTGAATTATTCTGGTGGTTTTTGTTGTTTTGTTTTGTTTTGTTTTGTTTTGAGACAGAGTCTTACTCTGTCACCCAGGCTAGAGTGCAGTGGCACGATCTCAGCTCACTGCAACCTCCACCTCCCGGGTTCAAGTACTTCTCCCACCCTAGCCCCCCGAGTAGCTGGGACTACAGGTGTATGTCACCACGCCCAGCTAATTTTTGTATTCTTTGGAAGAGATGGGGTTTCACTGTGTTGGCCAGACTGGTCTTGAACTCCTGACCTCAAGTGATCCACCCATTTTGACCTCCCAAAGTGCTGGGATTACAAGTGTGAGCCACTGCACCTGTCCGAATTATTCTGTTTCTGTATTTATGGCCACAGAAGTTTCATATTGGCTAAATCTGCACAAATTATCATATAGTTATAAATATAAAAGTCAGATCAATATGGCTAAGATTATCACAGAGGAGCTTAATAGGAGTTCCACACTTGCCTTTTGCCGGGAGAAGAAAACAACAATGACTTTAATCCACTTCCTCTACCCCCTTAAGCAATGGCAGTAATTTCAGCTCTATTTTTAGGTATTGGATCCCCTAAAGTTATCAGGCAATCTCAGTGGCCTAGTATAAAGTGCAAACAGAACAGACCTTGGTGTCAGCCAGTCCTGGGTTCAAGTCCAAATTCTGTCATTTATTGTGAAATTTGGAGCAGTTTATGTAACTGTATAGAGTTGTGAGAATTCATTCATCATTTATTGTATATTCATCAATCACCTACTATGTGCTGGTCAATCTTTAAAGTTCAGGGAATTATATTGATAACAAAACATAAAGTTCCCTGCCCTCACAGAACCTAGAGTAAACCAGAATTCTCTTAAAAAAGTTAAATGCAACCAGGTGCAGTGGCTCACGCCTGTAATCCCAGCACTTTGGGAGGCCTTGGTGGGCCTCACTTGAGGTCAGGCATTCAAGACCAGCCTGGCCAACATGGTGAAACCCCATCTTTACTAAAAATACAAAAATTAACCAGGCGTGGTGGCACGCAGCTGTAATCCCAGCTACTCGGGAGGCTGAGTCAGGAGAATCGCTTGAACCCAGGAGGCGGAGGTTGCAGTGGCAGCGAGCCGAGATCATGCCACTGCACTCCAGGCTGGGCAACAGAGCAAGATTCCATCTCAAAAAACAGAAAGTTAAATGCCTTCAGGTACATAAGGCTGTTAACGAAATGTCACATAATCAAAGCATTTAACAAATATTAGTTAACATCATTATTAATTCTTCCCAACCCACGAAATGGATGGTTCCCTGGAAAGTATAACAACATTATGCAAAGTTCAAAGGGAGCCTCCTTTTACCATAGGAACCTTTAGGTGTAGCAGCTGCAAGGGAATTGGGCTGCTTATAATCTCATAAAACTGTTTTCAGTCAAATATAAAAGTGCACAATTGTGCAGGCAAAAATTTCTTGCACAGGAAACAAAAAGCACTAACTATAAGAGAAAAAAACAATACATTAGACTCCATCAAAATTAAAATTTCCTACTCATCCAAAGACACCATTAAGAAAATGAATAAACTATCCACAGACTGGAAAATAATTGAAGCATAGATTTATTCCTGGAGGAAATCAGAACAGCTTTGTTTTTTTCTTTTTTTAAAAAAAGAGAATCATTAGGCTGTTTGCATGATTGAGGGACCAATTGCTGCAGCGCTAAAAGTATTACATTCACCTACTTCCTAGTACCTACAGTTTTTCTCATCTAGATCTACCATCGATTTTGATGGTTTTTTGCCTGAAGGTGTCTTTGGGGGTAATATGACACCCTCATTTTACAAGAGATAGGAAAAATATTTGTATGACTTTGACATCATTTAACTAGTCTTTCAGAACTTGAACTATATTAAGTGGTACTTCCACTGTTCAGTGTCTGTTTTTCTTATTACACTGATTTTGCTTCAGAATCAGTGAGATTATATAGACGTCATTCAGAATATTTGTTTTTATCCTTCAACTCGAAGAGTTTTCTCACCTCTTTATTTTCAAGTTGAAAACATTATTATAAGAGTATGTTAGCGGGTCATTTGACTCTGAAAAAAATAGCTTTTTAAAGGTTGATCACACTTTAATCTTCAATTTCAGGATAGTAAAGAACCATTATAATTTAGGCCCCAGTGACTGTCATAAAACAGCTTTTACCAGACCACCATCTTAATACTGATATTTTCCTCTTTCATATTTGAACTATATTTTTTTCTATAATCTAGCTCTTAGAACTCTATTTTCCTTTGATACTAATGATTCCTCTTGCCCTCAGAAATGTTTACATGAAACAGCACATGACTGTCCTTTTTGTTGATCCCAAAACTTTTTATTGTTCATTCTAGAGAGGCAAATAATGTCCTTCAGTGTCACTAATTGAGTTTTTAAAAGGAAGATTTGATAGCTAAGAATCTGTTGTCTTGTATCAATTTATCATTTTTACAATTGGGTCAAGATATATTTATGCAATTTTTATGTTAATAGCATAATAGCAGTAGCAATATAATGTGTGGCTTGGGAGTTTCAGAGCTTTTTAAAAAAAACTAAGTATGTGCCTATGCTTTTCCTTTTTAACCATATTGAATGTGTAATGTTGAGTTAGAAGACACTGTGTGAGGTAAGAAATGGCAGTTCAAGGGGAACAAGAACATTCGTTTATTCAGTCAACAAATATGGATTGAGTTCCTCCCATAGGCCCAGCATTGTACTAGGGAAATTGCTCACTATTTTTATTTTTCCCCTCTAACCTAAGGTGGAGATGATAATGAATAGTAAAATTACATGTTTTAGATGTCTTTGTATGTTATAGGTGGATTTGGGACAGCAAAAGCCTTTGGTGTGTTTCACTTGGAATTACAAAAAGAAGTAAATTAGAGAAATAATTGTCTGACTTCTGATGATAGGGTGTTTTTGTTTTTGTTTTTGTTTTTGTTTTGAGACGGAGCTATTCTCTTGCCTCAGTCTCCCGAGTAGCCGGGACCACAGGCGCCCACCACCACGCCTCGCTAATTTTTATATTTTTAGTAGAGACAGGGTTTCACCATGTTGGCCATGGCTCGTCTCAATCTCCTGACCTTGTGATCCACCCTCCTCGCCCTCTCAAAGTGCTGGGATTACAGCCGTGAGCTACCACACCCAGCCTTCTGATGACAGTTTTAATTTTGTAGATGAATTTGGCATGACGTGGATGAATTCTGTCAAGGTCATTATTGTTTTCTTCTCAAAACCAATAGAATTTTCTCACTTACTTATTTTTAGAATTGTCAGGTAGTGTAATAAAGTTATTTCTGTAGGAAACTGGGAATTCATTGGCTATTTGACTCTGAATGTAACCTCTTTAAAGCTGATGAACGAGTGGCCCCTTATATTTGAAGTGGTAAGGTAGTCATAAGTTAGGCTCCCAGACACTGGCATTCAACGTGATTTTGAAGTGTGATAGACCATGTATACACTTGATTGTGCACCAAGAGGCATAAGGTAAAATCTTGTTTCCTTCCCACCTGTAAGTGTTAAGTGCATCAGTCTCCTTTCTCTACTGGTGGTGTCCTGTTGCTCCACTAGTAGCCCCTGATATAAAACCCGTGTCCTCCATAGATAATTAGTCATGAATCCCTTTCCAGGGCGTGTTGTTCTCTATGTGGTGATTTGAAGGGAGAAGTTTTGAAATGAAAAAAAAAAAAAAGAAAAAAGAAAAATGCTAAGCAATTTCTGATGCTTTAGAAGGAATGTCGTGTTTCATTACAATGCATTTTAACATTTTTATTAAGATATAATTTAATAAAATGCTCAGATCTTAGCATGTCATTCAGTCAGATTTGATGAATATGAAGACACATTTCTGTCACCCCAGAAAGTTCCCATGTACCCCTCCTCAGTCAACACTCCCCCGACCCTGACTTCCAAAAGCAACCACTGATCAGATGTCTATCACCACAGATTAGTTTTGTGTATTCTGGAATCCCCTGTTAATTGCATGTATTTTTCTTTTCTTTTCTTTTCTTTTCTTTTTTTTTTTGTTTTGGTGACAGGATCTCACTCTGTTACCCAGGCTGGAGTGCAGTGTCACAATCTCAGCTCGCTGCAACCCCCACCTCCCAGCTTTAAGCAATTCTCATGCCTCAGCCTCCCAAGTAGCTGGGACTACAGGCACATGCCACCACGCCCAGCTAACTTTTGTATTTTTTGTAGAGATGGGGTTTCACCATGTTGCCCAGGCTGGTCTCAAACTCCTGAGATCAGGTGATCTGCCCATCTCAGCCTCCCAAAGTGCTAGGATTATGGGCATAAGCCACTATGCCTGGTCTGCGTGTATTTTTCTCTGTTTGGCTTATTTCACTCAACATAATAATTTTGAGATTGTCCATGTTTTTGAGTCTGTCAGTAGAGTGTTTCTTTTATTGCCTGATGATACTTTTTTAAAACAGGCAAGAAATAAGCAGATCGTCACTGAATATCTTGATTGACACATAACTACTATTAAAATCATGGCAGCAAACCTGTAGTAAGAATGCAGGGGGAGAAAATACCCTCTTATATTAATATTAAGTGACAGTACTTCTAACATCCAAACAACTCTCCCACCTTAATTAGCGTTATATGCATCAAGAGCTACTCTTTTGGAAGACTCTAAATTACTAAAAACAGAACCTGAGTTCGCATCAGGAATTGTAATAGCCGTAAACCTATGACTGTTTCCATCGCTTTATAGTTCTGCTTTGACTTCAGAAACTAGTTTGAAAAATAATCCCATTTAAGGATATTCTTTTGTTTTGTTTTTTTTTGAGACAGAGTCTTGCTCTGTTGCCCAGTCTGGAGTGCAGTGGCACAATCTTGGCTCACTGTAACTGCAACCTCTGCCTCCCTGGTTCAAGCAATTCTCTTGCCTCAGCCTCCCTAGTAGCTGGCACCTGCCACCATGCCCAGCTAATTTGGGTTTCACCATGTTAGCCAGGCTGGTCTCGAACTCCTGACCTCAAGTGATCCACCCACCTCGGGCTTCCAAAGTTCTGGGATTACCTGCGTGAGCCACTGTGCCCAGCCAAGGATATTTTTCTTGTAGTATCTCCATTATCAAAACGTGCTGGAAAGGATGTTTTACTTGTTTATCAATATGGTGATGCCTCAGGAGCTTTTAAGCCCTCTTAAAATTATGTAATATAGACCTGATGAACTCAGTTTTATTATTAGAAACTCATTTTGATCTGTAATTCCAAGCAAATATTATATAAATGAAACAAGAGTAGATACAGTAAGAGCAGCATCCAGATTGCATTTTTCTTCTTTTGAAAGTCCTAATTAAATTGTTTGCCATGTTATGCAAAGATTCATTGAGATTCTGGGGAGTGGCAGTAAATTTAAGCAAAGATTATACTGTGATTCTGGGGAGCCATAGTAAATTGTGTATCAACAAATCTAAAGGGTGAATTTTTACTTTCTGCTTATTGTCTTTTTCAAGAAAATTCTATAGTTACCAAAAAGGTGGCTGAATTTTGACATAATAAAGGAGAAGGTTGAGCTGGCCTTTGGCTAGTCCACCCCTATTCTTACCATCTCCACCTTCAAGACTGAAATAAGGAGCTGCAGGAGCACAAAGAGATCCCAAAACATTGTCACATACCAATAGCCACTTTCTTACTTTTACAAAAAGTTAGTATGGTGTTTTTTTTGTTTTTTTGTTTTTTGGTTTTTTTTTGAGATGGAGTCTTGCTCTGTCACCCAGGCTGGATTGCAGTGGGGCGATCTCGGGTCATTGCAACCTCCACTTCCCAGGTTCAAGCGATTCTTTTGCCTCAGCCTCCCAAGTACCTGGGATTACAAGTGGGCACCACCATGCCCAGCTAATTTTTGTATTTTTAGTAGAGATAGGGTTTTGCCATGTTGGCCAGGCTGGTCTCAAACTCCTGATGTCAAGTGATCTGCCCACTGTGGCCTCCCAAAGTGCTGGGATGACAGGTGTGAGGCACTGTGCCCAGCCAGTTTTCTGTATTTGTACAATTATTCAGCCAGAAAAAAAGTAGCCATATAGTACTATAATGCTTATATCACTTCAGTGGGAAAAAAAAAATAATGGTACCCAAAAGAAATAAGAAATATAGCCTGATTAGTGAGAGAACACTGATAAAGTTTCAGATTATTCCCGTTCTTGAAATATTTCTCATTCGCTTTTCTTATTTCTTTCACCTACGACTAAAATACACGTGCTTTCCTTTTCCCCTATCATACTTACTTTTTTGTTCAGGTTCCTAAGTTGTTTTACCATCTTCATATTTCATTCTGATAATTCCAAAAATACTGAAATGAATCCTCCCTTTCACATGACCTACTTTAGTGTAGAATTTGGCCTAAGTCATTTCTCATACAAAAGCAGTTACATTTGAATTACCAAGAGAATCTTGTTGGTATAATTTAACCCAGAAGGGCAACTCACAGTGCTGTCATACTAAGCCTCAAGGATATATCTTCTCAAGATTGATAAGTGCTTTTGAGCAATCGCTCAAAAGTATGAATTGAAGTCTCTAAACAGTTCATTATCGTTTTGGTTGTAGTAATTAATTTTAATTAAACTGCCGATAATGTTTGTTCCAGATGAAAAAATGAGGATATGGTCTTTGTTCCCACTTGAATATGAACACTGCTATCCATTTAATGTTAGAAAGATAAAAGAGATCTCGGCCGGGCACGGTGGCTCACGCCTGTAATCCTAGCACTTTGGGAGGCCGAGGCAAGTGGATCACCTGAGGTCATCAGTTCGAGACCAGCCCGGCCAACGTGGTGAAACACCATCTCTACGAAAAATACAAAAATTAGCCAGGTGTGGTGGTGAGTTCCTGTAATCCCAGCTACTTGGGAGGCTGAGCCAGGAGAATCACTTGAACCCAGGAGACAGAGGTTGCAGTGAGCCGAGATCATGCCATTGCACCCCAGCCTGGGCTTCAGAGAGAGACCCTGTCTCAAGAAAAATAAAAATAAAGTAAAATATTTTACATGGTATCATTGCAAAAGAAGGAGTAATGGTGGTTTAAAGAAAACGTTTAATACAGTTATTCAAGAGTTCCAACACATCAAACTTTTGGGATTTAACTATCCTTTTTTAAAAGAAAATATATTTTGAATACTGTACAGATTCCCATCTTATCAGAGGAAGAACCAGTTAGCATAACATAGAATTTTAGGGCTAGAAGAGACTTTCAACATCATCAAGTCTTACCTCTCGGTATTCAATAGTTCAATATAATTATTATCTTTTTACAGGTCTTAGCTTTCCTGCCCTAATTTCCAAAACAATGAAGAACTAGTAGTCCCCAGATCCCCTTTGTATATATGTATAACTGCCTTTTCATTCCCTCTGATAGTCTCCATATTCATGTTAATGATTGCAGCTATGAGGATTATTTCCTTGATTCATTATGCCTGAATTAGCTTAAGAAAAGAATAGTCTACCAGAAGCACAACTTTTAATTTAAATGTTTGGCAAAGGTAAAGATGAGTAATTCAGAGTTTTAGAAGTAGTTGTAGTAATAGTCAATTGTGTCATTGGTTCTCTGGAAAACACATCATATGGATTTTGCCATAGCGATTCAGGCGTGAGTAATACTACCCTATTCAAGAGTAATACTACCCGATTCAAGAGTACCACTTCAAGAGTGAGTAATACTACCCTATTCTTTAAGACAAGTAATACTACCTACCACATTGTATGGGTGAAGCAAAAGTGGACCAGCACAGCTTTTTGTGGGGGTTAGTGGTAGGAGAGTGTTATAGTGAAGTTCTTTGTTCTGTTTTCTCAGTCTCATTTCTCATTCATTCATTAAATCAATAGATATTTATTTTGCCTGTGGTATGAGCTAACCATTTCTCTGGGTCTGGATAATATAGCAGACAACAAGATCCAGTCTTTGGCCCCAAAGAGCATACAGTACGGGTACTCACAACATGGACAATGCTAGATAACTGCCCAGAGAGCAGAGAAGCTACATGAGATCATTATAAACCTGTGCACCTGAACCACTGCACAAGCAATGCATTAACTTTGCCTTGCTCATTGGGATATGGTGAGAAATAACTGTTATAATTAGTTGTGAAGCACTTTGGAAATGAAAAGAGCTACAAAGCAACTGAATGAAAGAAAACAATATTAAATTATAGGGTAGAAATGATTCTCATAGGTATGTTCAGTATTTATGTCAACGATATAGGACTATTACCAGGGAAAAGCTATTTTAGGTAAATACAATTGCCTAGCTTTTACAAAGTCAAGAAAATACGTGTGTGTATTAACAAGATAAATTGTGGAATGTTGTATTATTTTGGGTATTATGTGAGCTAAATATAGTTGGAATATCACACATACTATGAAGTTTCTATAAATCTGCAGCTTCTATTAAGAATTTCTGTATTTCAATGTTTATCGGAAGTATTTCTCCAATATTTAAATGCTGAAACTATCCAAGACTATTATTCACAAACAACGGATTATATTTTAATACTCAGAAACTGTAGGAAGGTTTGTTAAATAAGATGAATATCCTGTGATTAACTTGCCAGTATGTTGGGTTCAGTGATTTATTATGCCTGGTCTTTTCTGATTTTAGTTAATGTTTTTAAAGTTTGTTAATTCTCTCAGAAGATGAGGATGCCAATTTATATCCCATTATACACCCTCAAAAGATGAATTTATAGAATGGGCCATGTCTTTAACATGCTTCTATATAGTCATTCTTATACCTAAGATTCAGATGCTCAAGGAAGGGACCCATTTAGACAGTTATTTAATGTTCTTTGACTATGAACTAATCCTAATTTTAATTTTAGTACTTTTATGTTCTTACCAGCTTTCACCCTAATTAAATGGGGCACTACACCGCAGAGTTTAGCCTGTGGTGTAGCAGAGCCCAGGTCATCTGTCACAGAGAATCGTAATCTTACATTCTCTCTCTCCTCTGAACAATAGAATTTTGAGGTGGGGGAGAATCTTAGTTTATAATGAGGCAACTCTAGTTTTATCACACTCAGAAACAACAAAAATATTCAAAATTTAACTTTCTGTGCATTCCATTTATTTGCAAATATATATCAGTATGATTATTACATGAGTAAGAGATCTTCATTTTTTACTGTCATCCCTGATTTGCCAAATTTGATGGAGAACCTCCACAGAGTTGCATATTATTTTATTTGTTCCACATGTTGGTGCTTTGTTCTCTACTGTCCTTTTGTCATTATATTATCTCTGAACATTTCCATTTAGTGTTTCTATTTAGAGTAAAGAAATAGAAGCATGAAAATTAATAACCCATGCATCATATTTTTTGCTGGACTTTATAGGAATGACCAGCTAAGGCTAGAAACCTCAGTGTTTAATACTGTTTTCAAAATTTGATTGTTACATATATTGTCATTTCAGTGACTGGAGACAAGATGTATATGTAGACAAATAGATAAAAACAGGGTAATTAAACCAGTGTGGTTTTTTTTTATTTTAAAGGAAAACACATACGACTTATGTACATTGCATGGCAGAGTATTACTAAAATTCGCCTAAACAAACCGTCACGATGTTTTCAGGTTTTATGGTAATGCTTTGACTATATAGTATTTGGATTTGAATCCTCATAATCACAAAGTCTCTTAGTTGTTTAAAACAAAAAACAAAGACTATACTGATTCTAGAAAGTATCATCTCCTTGATTATATTTGTGCTAAGTGTATGAATCTGTGCTATACCAGTATGAAAAAGGTAAAACTGTATATATATTTACATTTTGAAAAGTAGCATTGTGCATTTTAGAAAAATATTTGTCAACTTGTGGCACTTTGGCAAAGGAATGTGCAATTATAAAGGTTAATGCCACTTTATTTTTTTCTAATTCCCAGTAATTATTCTTACTAGGCTTTAGAGTCAAAATCAAACCCAATTTTAAGACTAGCACTTTTTTCCTACTGGTAATTCCTGTTTTTCTAATTACACAAAATGTTTAACTTAAACTATTCTTTGCAATGAGTTTTAGCTTTCCTCCTCTATCCTAATTTCAAAACCTTTAATTTAAGAACCATTTAAAATTAATCCAGTGGTAACCAGAAGAATATTTTAGGTATCATGACCACTTAATCTTGTGCCTGATTTTAGTAATTTTCTGATAAAAATAACTGAATTCCTGAAAAAGAATATTCAAACTTTTTAATTAGTTTTCATTGGTCATAAATAATTGAGTAGTTGATGTCCATATAGTCATAATTTATCTAAACTCTGGAGCTGCCAAGACAACTAAGTACACAGAAGTGCTTAAAACACACCCATATCCCCTAAAGAGAAATGACAAGACTTGGAAGCATCAGAATTCTGTATTATTATGAGTATCACATATATATATGCTATTTTATATATACATATATACCCATACACATACATTCTGTTAGGTTACCAGTATTTTACTGTCATGCACCCATGGGTAGTAGAAACAAAATAAAAATAAATATAAATGTTTAACTTTAGGTGTTGGCACCAATATAGATTATGCATAAACTGTTGCAATAAAAGATACTCATTGTGCCTGTACCTGAAAAATTTACCTTAGGTTTTCTCTGGCCTTTTTTGTTTAGGCCTGCATGATCATTTTAAATGTAAAGATAGCAGGATATATGAATGAATGGATAAAATGATGGCCCTGTTTGCCATGGGATTAACTATTCTGTTGAATTTTCTGAGGGGCATTGGCTGCTGTATATTACGCCATAAACTATATTGTTCAGAAGCAACATGAGTGTATCACAGCATTTAGAAATTATACATCCTTCGCTTTCCCCACAAAATGAATTCAGAATCGACATTCAAGTTTATAATTTTAAGCTGCTAATTATAAAAATATATTAATACCTTAGGGATTGAAGATTACATGAAATAAGAACTACAAAAGAATGCTAATTAATAACATAACTCCATATGCTATCAAACTTCTGATAGCACTGAGTTTCTTATAAAGCCTTAAAATATTTTAATGATAAATTAATTACCTGGAAAAGAAGGCACTTTATTACCTTGAACTAGCTATTCGTCTGTATAGAATATGTCAAAAATCCCTTAAATTATTCTTTATCCTTTTATAAATTTATCCTAGTTACATGTTTTTCTGAAGCCTCTTATGGTATAATGTGTTAATTCAAAAACTATTGTAACTTAACAGAAAAATTGTTACCAATATAACCAATGAACAATACAGAAATAAAACTCAAGAATAACAAAAGTATATGTGATAACAAGACTGTTAGTCTAAGTTAGTCTACAATCATTTGAGATTTTAAAATGTTGTAAAATTTGAAGGCTTTTTCATTGAACAATTTTTGGACAGTTTTTATTTTTAAATCTCACTTTTAATTGGTACTGCCTTGTCTTGAAATGTTGATCAAATGTAAAGGCAATCATAATTATTAAGCCAGTCCATTATAATTCAATTTTGTTTTAGTTGAGATTTTTTAGTGTAATTCTAAAACATTAAAACATCTGTTTGTTTCTTTTTTGCTCAAGTCAGCCATGCCTGGTGAACTATCAAATTTAAATCATCAACATGGATGTGCTGCTGTGTATAGCTGTTTCCTCTTCAGAAAATTAGTGCTTGATTTATACAAGGAATTTAGTTCAGCAGAAAAAGCATAGGATAATTTTTTCAAAAGGGTTCAACCCTCTCAAGTGAAACCTTAACATCTTTCTGACATTCATAAGGATAGGCTTTTATCCAAGAAATTTTTTCAACAGAAAATTATTTCAAAGTGGACAAACTCCACTTTCTTTTTTGCTTGAGGGGCAGTACACTTTTACAAAAACACATTTTTCTGTAAGTTTACTTATCTTTAAGTCATTCTCTGTGGTGGCCATTTTTCCATCTCTAATTTTAAATGTTTTACTAAATGTACGTGCAGTTTCATAGACAGTCTGATCATTACATGATTACAGAAAGGAGTCAAGTTTATCAGAGGTCTATCCTTGTGAAGGGGAGACCAAACACAAATTCCATGTCAGTTGTTTGGTTTGGTTCTTTGTTTTCTTTTAAAAACAAGATATATTAACCCAAAGGTGTGTTAATGTCATGGCATGAACAATCTTCAATGTAGACCTATTGAGTATTTTGTGATGCTGAGTAACAGACGTTTCTCAACTCTCTGTGATGCTAAATATTTTCCTTAGGAAGTTTTGTTTAATGTTAGATTGTTGTTCTGAAAGATGTTGGTCCTAGTGGGATTTTTTTAAACTTGGAAAACAAATAAACGCATGTATTACAAATATAGAAATGGTGAATTGTAAACTTACCATATAGTACTGATTTCTATTTTCAAAAATGTTTTGCTGTTAAATATATACAACATAAAATTGCTGCCGTACTGTAATTGAGTACTTTTTCCTAAACGACCCTGTTATCACTATTCCAGAATTAGAAGGTGGGCAGATACATGATTGATTCATGTGTCTGCATAGATGCTTCAAGGTATATTCTTCTCTTGGTGAGTAAAATTATATTTTCCTTGGCATCAATGCATTGAGATCTGAATATACCTGTATCTATCAATCCTTATTACACATTTCTTATGCAGTAGCTTCAAATAGGCCAAAATTGGCCTAGACACAACTAAAAATTGAGGGTTTGTTACATGCTTTCTAACAGAAAGGTTTTCAACGAGATTAATTATGGGTTTGTACTGTGAAAATAGTGGAACTCCCTTGAAAACTTCATGTTTGCTAAATTCAAATTAATATTTTTTCTTTAGCTCACAAATTACCCCAAATCCAGAGAGAATATCAACCTTTTTCACTGTTGTCAAATCAAGCATAAGGAACAGCCCCATGATACTACAAAAACAGTTGAGGAATAAGGAATAAATCTCTTATGTTACACCTCAGAATAAAGGCATTCGGTGAAAGAAATGAACTGAAGTTCATCATGAATGTAAGGCCTCAGTACTTGACATTCCTCCACGGAAGGGAAGACAAGTATCAACACCACTGGCATCATTTCCAAACTGATCTTATGTTGAATAATTTCCACCACATTGAAGTACCTTTCGACTCTATCCAGTTTTTGGGTTTTGTTTTTTTTAATTCATCAAGCCTTTCGTTTTCAAACCACCATTTGTCAGCCTTGAGGTAGAGAGACATATAGATTTGAAAATACTTTCTTAAGAGATCATGTAACTATATAACTCTGAATTTAAAAATTGAGGGGGGAGGGATAATTTCAACCCACTGCCTCTTACCAGAAACATTTTTTTAAATCTGTAACTGCTTTAGTGTTAACAGGGTGCAAGGTGGTTTTTGTCCCGTATTGTTCTTAAAAGGTTCTCATTTATTGTGATTGTATTGTACTGTATGAGAACAAATCATAAATTGCCTTGTATTGTTTATAATAGACCATACCACGTACTACTTCAGTTTTTATGTTCCAAGTTTTTCAGTGATGCATGTTAACAGTTAGGTCCTAAAATTCTGTGGTGCTAATTCTCCCATACCCAATGGTGCTTTTGTGGATGCTAACTGCACACATGCTGAACAAAGCTTGAAGTTTAAAACTTTCCTCCCTTCCTCTGTTTATATGAAGTAAAATGAAATAACTTGAATTTGTCTCAAAGTATCACTGACAATCTAATAAACTTGTTTATATGTGTGATTAGTTTGGATTCTTAATTATTTTAAGGAAAGCATCTCAGCTCTATTGGGCCCCAAAAGTTGATTTTGTGTTTATTTCATTATGTCATTTGTGCCCCCAAATTCGTGGTATCTTTATAAATTTCAATGCAGTTTGTCTGGCTTCCAAAATCATGTTTAGGTAGGATCTATAGAAACTAGACCTATCAGAACTGGAAATAAGTAAGTTGAGAAGATCAAAAATGTGCCAATCCAGTCTATTACAGTGCCTTTATTGTAATTTATTAATAAGGTTTTATCACCTGGTTGAGCCGGGAGATAACACTTGCACGAAAGCAAGTATGCCTTCAAAACCTTTATTGCAACTCACATGACATTGAAAAGGCCATTTCTATATGCTGATATTAAAAGTTCCACTTCTCATATATGAAAATAGGGACAAAAAAATTAATTTTGAATTTTCCAGGACAAACTGACATCATATGCCAGAATGTCATAGTAGATAAACTCATGACAATGGTTTTATTGGATTTTTATCTTCTGCATCTATATTAAATCACAACAGAAGGCCAAGTGAACCTGCTAATATCTTCATGAGGGCAGAGGGCTGTTTCTTCCAAGCCAGGGATAAATTCAATATAAAGGCACTATGTAAATTTGCATTCCGACCTTGGTACTTTGCCTAACTCAAGGGTAATGTTAAAATTTGAAAAGAAAAAATCGAAACAAATGTATTAAATCTCCTTGAGCAACAATCATTGACCATAAATAGAAGATGATCAAACCTATCAATCAGTCAAAGAATCTAGCAGGTATGATGACTGAAATGATATTCCCATACCACTATGGTTCTTTATTATATAAAGAGTTTCAGGCCCAGTAAATTTTTGCCTCAAATAGCTATTAAATTGTGTCTAACTTCTAACATCAGAAAATGAAGTTTAGAGAATAGTGCCAGTGTGAACCCTAAGCTTGCTTCTGTGACTATCTGAAATAAATGCAATATTTACTAAATCACAGCCTCTCACCAAAGATATTTCTACAATATATTTTTGTAACTACCTTAACTGTATTCCATTTTATGAAAACTGGTAAATAATAAATGTACTACAAATTAATTGCACATTTTCTTTTGGAAGAAAAATCTGTTTAATCTACATGAAAATATCTCTAATTTTACACCCACAGTCAACCAGATTTCTGTATTAATTTTCATCATTGTTTGTCCCATCAAAAAGATTATCCTGAAAAATGCATATCAGCTTTCGTTGGTAGTGGTGAAATTTTTTAAAAAACTTATCAGCCTTAAATAACATGAATATATTTTGTAAGTTTTGTTCCTCTATAAAAATAATGTAGTCCCTCTCTAAGTGAAACCATTTTTTAAATTACGTAATTATATCCATTTTCATTGCATTATTAGCATTATTTAGGTAAGTTGTCTTTTCTGTTCCTAAAACAGTAATTTTCCCTTAGAGACCTTATGCTCAAGGTGTTTTCCCTAAATCCTTATGGGAAAGCATTTTCAAAAACAGACCCAAATGTTCTCTTTCCAGTAAGGAAAATCTTTCGTAATAAATTCCATGTACACTAAAAGCATAACAGTACTTGTATTAGGGAAGTAATTTTTCTCATCAGAAATTGCTTTGAGTTTGAAAATGGCCAATAATAATAAAAAGCCAATCTGCAGTCTACATAATTTCAGATTTGTCTTCATGCGATCTTTTTAAAAAACTGTTGAAGTAGGTGCATACTGACTTGCACTAGGACTAAAGTTATTTTTCTTACCTCCTACTTTATCCTTTATCCTTGGCAGGGATTCAAGAGAGGTGAAAAGACTTTTGGAAAATAACTAAAAAGTAGTACAACACACACAAAATAAGGGAGTGGTAGTTCATAGGACTGAATAAATCATGAAATTCAGTGAATTCAGCACTACACATATTATGCCAAATTGTTCTCCTCTTACACTTTTCGCGAAGCAAATTTCCCATCATAAAAGACTTAACAAAACACTGGAACATGAAGATCAAAAGGACTGAATGAAAAGGCTGGCCCTCAGTTTTGTGCATTTGGAAGGTCAGGTTTTTTTTTAGCTAAGAAGACTTTGATGAAGGAAGAAGTAAAAAAGAAAAAGAAAAAAAGAAACTCGGTTTTGTTAGTTCATTCTGAGTGAATTCACAAGAGATTCCTTTTAAACAAGGTCATAAAGAAAACATCTTGAATATCAGATATTCAATGGAGAAACCAATTAACTTACAACAAAAAATAAATTGGTACACCCAGGGAGTGGATTGGAAAGAAGCTGTGCATGACAAGTGAACTTTGAAGTTTGCTTTTATACTTTTTGAATATTATTTCATGATAAGCTTGTATTATTTTATAATTTATAAAGTACTTTTTTTTTTAAAGGAAAGAAATCAAATGCTAGACTGACTAGAATACCTATATCAACTGGTCAGCACATTCTCTTTCCAGTAGGAAAATCTGCCTTTTCTTTCTTTTTTTGAGACAGCGTCTGACTTTGTCGCTCAGGCTGCAGTGCAATGGCAGGATCACAGCTCACTGCAGCCTCAACCTCCCAGGCTCAAGCAATCCTCCCACCTCAACCTCCCAAGTAGCTGAGACCACAGGCACGTGCCACTATGACTGGCTAATTTTTTATTTTTTGTAGAGACAGCATTTCCCTATATTGCCCAGCCTGGTCTTAAAGTCTTGGGCTTGAGCAATCCTTCCAAAGTACTGGGATTACAGGCATTGAACCACTGCACCCAGCTGGAAAATCTACTTCTAAAACCTGCTTAATGTCAGAACATTGATTGGCAAGCATAAAATCAGGTAAAGGGGAATGACTAATATTCATGAATGGCATCATGTTATGATGGGCTTCATGATACAGACCTGCCAAGAAACAGGAATAACCACATCAGCATATTGGCTCAGAGCACAGTCACCCCAAGTCAGGGATGGAAACCACTAACAAATCCTTATGCTTTAAATCTTTTTTTCTAGATTCCATGTGACCCACCATCTTTCAGTGTGAAAATTATTGCTTATATGATTAAGCCACATATTATCTTGCATTTAGTATCACTTTAGGATTTTCAATGATAGAATACTGTTTTATAAATATCATTCATCATTAAGCATTAACATTAATCATATTACATAATCATATCATTACATTAATGTATAATCATTGTTATTATTTTGCTTGTTTGTTTGTTTTTGAGAAATAGAGTCTCAGTCTATCTCCCAGGCTGGAGTGCAGTGGCATCATCATGGCTCACCGCAGCCTCAAACTCCTGGCCTCAGGCAATCCTCCTGCCTTGGCCTCCCAAAGTGCTAGGATTACAGGCATAAGCCACTGTGCCTGGCCTGTTATTTTTTATAATCATCATTAATCATTAAGTATCATTAATCATTCACTCTTATTATAAATATCATTCATCATTAACAAAAGTTTTACATACAATAGCTCTCTGACCATGACCCTTCTTAATAGAGATTTAGGGAACATCCAAATTCAGCAGAAGTGACTAATGAAAGATCAAGATGTTCCTCCTTTAACCCTCATGGTAGACCTTGCCAATAAACGATAGCAACTGGGAGCAGCTCACACCTGTAATCCCAGCATTTTAGGAGGCCGAAGCAGGCGGATTGCTTGAGCCCAGGAGTTAGAGACCAGCCTAGGCAACATGGTGAAACCCCATCTCTAGAAAAAATACAAAAATTAGCTGGGCTTGGTGGCATGCACCTGTAGTCCCAGCTACTCAGGACGCTGAGGCTGGAGGATCACTTGAGCCCAGGAGGTCGAGGCTTCAGTGGGCTGTGATCATGCTACTGCACTCCAGCCTGGGCGACAGAGCAAGACCCTGTCTTAAAAAAAAAAAAATAGGCCATAGTATTTATTTCAAATGGCCAGATACAGCTCTAGAGTCTTTCTCAACTCAGCACTCTCCTGGCAGCTGCTCCCAGTTGACTACACTTAGCATGCAAGATTGACATAGTTGCCTTTCTACCTTAGACACCCACCAGCACATATACATGCCATCTGTGTTAGTCTGGGTCCTCCAAGAAGCAGATTCCAAGGTGGAATTAGATGTGCAAGAGATTTATTAAAGGAAATGCCAGTGAGGGAAAATGGAGAAGGAGCTGGTGGAGGAGACATCAGACTCAGATGCAAGTCTGCCCCTGTGAGGAAGAGAGGAGGAAAGAGGAGGGAGGTAGAAAGGAAGTTACTTCTTAGACTGCAGCACAATTATAAGCAAGTTTCAGCCAGGCCTAGGGGGAGTCCTTGAGCCAAAGTCACTCTTCAGAAGAGGCCAGCATCTTGAGGGTTCAGCCTGCTTAATATCCCTGTCACACCCAGTTATTGGCTGGGAGCAGCCTAGGAGAAGCCCACCTGCAGGGCAAACGTGACGATAGATTTCAGAGCACCACAGCTGGATCTGTGGGCCAGTTGGGTGGAGACTTAGAGCTGTTCAGTGCCCATAGGAGTCTGTGGTGGCTATGAAAATGCATCTCTCAAATTTCCTTCTACCGGGAGCATAACTGACTCACAAGCTATTTCTGTATTCTGTGATGCTAGTCTTTGGATGGTGTGGTTTTCATGTTCTACTTACACCATCCACCTCCTTTGCTGTGAAGTGGTCCCTTAGTTGGATGCCTCTGTCTCTGCTGCCATGGCCACTCTATTGCTGTGCCCATCCTGCCAATTCTGAGGTGGCCAATGGCAGTCTGATTCAGGTCAACTGTCCGAGTCACTTTGTCAACTTGGTTGTTCAGTGCCTCTCCCATGATGGATGGCTTCTGGTGGACATTAACATGTGATACAAAACTCTTCACAGTCTGGGCTGGGTGTGGTGGCTCACATCTGTAATCATAGCACTTTGGGAGGCCAAGGCAGGTGGATCACTTGAGGCTGGGAGTTGGAGACCAGCCTGGGCAACATGGTAAAACCCCATCTCTACTAAAAATACAACAACAAAAATTAGCCAGGCGTGGTGGCGCATGTCTGTAATCCCAGCTACTTGGGAGGCTGAGGCAAGAGAATCGCTTGAATCCAAGAGGCAGAGGTTGCGGTGAATCAAGATTGCACCACTGCACTCCAGCCTGGGTTACAGAGTAAGACTCCATCTCAAAAAAAAAAAAAAGTTTTCACAGTCTGTGCCTGCTCCCATATGTGCACCCACAAGCTTCTACCCCAGGCCTCTTCGACCCTGTCTTCCAGTCCTTTTCCTCCCAGGCTTCTGGCCAGATAGCCAGACCATCGATCACTGCCCAGGAACTGTAAATATGCTTACCCAGGCCACTTCTTCCTTGCAAAGTAGATGACCAGGTACACTGCTTCCCATTGGGAAGATTCTCCCTCTCCACTGTCTTTCAAAGCCACCTCACCAATTTTCAGTTTGCATCTACATACAGACCCACCTCATCTATAAACCAAGTTCAGTCTTTTCCCTCCTCCTGTAGCTGGTCCTATGAGAACTTCCACATGGCCTTATATGTGAGAGGGGAGAGGGTGCTGATGAATCTATTGAAGGTGAAAGGAATAAGGCGGTTTGGACTGCCTATGCGATCATAGCTCACAGCAGCCTCAACCTCCTGGGCTCAAGGAATCCTCCCACCTCAGCCTCCCGAGTAGCTGGGACTGCAGGCACGCACCACCATGCCTAGCAAATTTTTTTTTAATGGAGACAGGGTCTCTCTGTATCACGCAGGCTGGTCTCAAACTCCTGCCTCAAGCGATCTTCCCACCTTGACCTTCCAACGTGCGGGTATTACAGGCATGTAATAACAGCTTCTCAAAAGGTGTGTAGCTCTCTGCAGTGGTTGGCATGATCTTCTTCTAGGATCCCAGGGGCTGCAAGGTGATTCTCTCCCTGGGGTTTGATACAAACTCTGTCTTTTCCTACTGCTTCTTTTCCCTACACTGACATTCCAAAGGCTTGGATATGCCCAGTCATGCAGACTAAGAACTAAGGCCATTTCACCTGTTGCAGTGCCCTTTCCTGCTCTGAGACCTACTCAAAGCTGGCAGTATATGTGGCACAGCAGTATTCTTATCTGTGGAATGTGTTGTCTCCTGAACCCAAAGAGGTTTGCCAGGATCCTCAGCTTACTGTATGGAGTAGGGATATAAGAGATGCCCGCTTCTTTTTTTTTTTTTTTTTTTTTTACTTTGGTGAAGATGTCCTGGCATGCCCTAATAGACCTCCTAAATAATGTCACTGAAGTGGCAGGAGGCTGAATGTTCCTAGGGTTCATTCTCAAGCCCCCACTTCCCTCAGCCTCTTTATCCCTTCCTCTGATCCTATGGACCAATGAGCAGTGTTGCTTGCACTGCAGCCTGGACCTGTTGCAGACGTCTTTCCTGCTAAAGGCAACTCAGAATTTTCCCCTTCACTATGCATTGGTCATCACTCTTCCCAGACTTCTAAGAACCACCCTCACGGTGAGTTTGCCCTGTTCCCTGGGGTCCTGGCCAACGTGTTAGATCTCAGTTTCTGAGAAATTTCCATTCCAAGCCCTTTGATCAAGCACTCTCAAAGTACAGGCCAAGGTGCCCTCCTCTGGCTCCCACTGCCTTATTCTTGTGGCTCATCTGGTGCATAGTCTCCTTTTTACTTAATCGTCCCCAGCATGTACCCACCCATGTTATGCTGGGACTGAACCTTAAGTATCAGGTGAGAGATGAGGGCACCTACTGGGAAACATGTGTTGCCTTGTGAAGGAGGGGCCTCTGCAGCATCTTCTTACACAATAGAAGCACTAGCTCTTACCAGAAAGGATGGGGCACTTGTGCAAGCCCAAAGGATTGGGAAAGAAGGTGGCAGTCTGCCTAGACAATATATTCAAGGGCCTCCATCTACATACCCTCATCCCAGTTTTCAGGGTCCCAAGTTTTCCCAGAGTCCCAGGTGTTCCCCGAAACCCCCCAGCCCCCACCGCTGGCAACCTATTCTTCACTGAATATTCAAACATCTAGGGATCTCTGCAGTTCTAACTATTTGATTTTCACCTGTTCCACTGTGTCTGCTCTCCCACACTGCAGAAGTTAAGGGCCTTCTTGTAAGATGCCAAAAAGCCTCTTGCCTCCCACACTTAGCCATTTACTGCTTGCTTAACTGCTCTCATTATCCCTTAGCTAGCAGCAATACAACTTAGCAGTAAACAGCCAACAATTCTGCTGTCTTTGAGGACATTTTTCTCTCCATAAGTTTCAAATGCTTCAATCATCACATCTGCAACATCTTTCCTCCCCACCAGGACATCTTCCCAGGTCACCATCGATGAAACCTTTCACCTTTGACTCACCACCTTATGCTACTGACTATCCACACCCCACCTATCAACCAAGTTAATATCCTCTTTGCCCACTGGAGGGTTAGTAGGTCAATTCCAAATCACAATCTTACCACCTGTTTTCTTGGATCATTCTTGATACTACTTTTGGTAGCACAGGACATCTGAGAAGCCAAAGCCAAGATAGGATTAGACACATAAGAGATGTACTGGGTCAAATGCTGGTGAGGGAAAATGGGGAGCTGGAGGAGGCTGGGTGAGACATCAGACTCCATTATGATCCCACCCCTATAAAGGAGAGAACAAAGAGCTTAGTTTGCAGCATTGCAATAAGGAAGATTCAGCAAGGCTAACAGGGAATGCTTAAGCCAAAGGTACTTTTTAGAGGAGTCCTATGTCTTCAGAAATGGGCCTGCCTTAGTATCCTGCCATGAGCAGTCAATGGGAACAGTGAAGGGGAAGTGGAGCCCTGGCCTGAACACAGGAATGGAAGTCAGAACACAGCAGTTTGTGCCTTTAGTTACTTACCCTCCCTGAAGTAGGAGATCAGAGAGGCACACTCCCAGGGCTGCCATGCCATTGCATGGAGGCATTTGAGATCACAAAGCAAATCTCGGGCATTAATGAAATGGTCAGGCTTATTTTGCTCGGTTTGAGAGGGAGATAATTTGTATTCCTATACTCAAAACTGGAGGAAAACAATCACCCTAATTAGAATTGGAACTGACCATAAGTAATAAACTTAAAAGTAATATTAAAGTATTAGTGAATACTCTTAAGCTCAATTGTCAATTTTCTATTGCAAAAAAAATCAAATACTTTAAAACTTCAGAGACTATTTTGGGAGGCTGAGATGGGAGGATACCTTGAGCCCAGCTGTTCAAGACCAGCCTGGGCAACATAGCAAAACTCTGTCTCTACAAAAAAATGAATAAATAAATTAGCTGGGTGTGGTGGCACATGCCTGTGGTCCCAGCTACTCAGGAGGCTGAGGTTAGAGCCACTTGAGCCCCCAGTGGTCAAGGCTGCCGTGAGCCATGATCGCACCACTGCACTCCAACCTGGGCAACAGAGCGAGACTCTGTTTCAAAAAGAACCAAAAAAACCCAAACTATTAATAAAGGGTATTCAATTAGGAAAAGAGGAAGTCAAATTGTCCCTGTTTGCAGATGACATGAATGTATATCTAGAAAACCCCATTGTCTCAGCCCAAAATCTCCTTAAGCTGATAAGCAACTTCAGCAAAGTCTCAGGATACAAAATCAATGTACAAAAATCACAAGCATTCTTATACACCAACAACAGACAAACAGAGAGCCAAATCATGAGTGAACTCCCATTCACAATTGCTTCAAAGAGAATAAAATACCTAGGAATCCAACTTACAAGGGATGTGAAGGACCTCTTCAAGGAGAACTACAAACCACTGCTCAAGGAAATAAAAGAGGATACAAACAAATGGAAGAACATTCCATGCTCATGGGTAGGAAGAATCAATATCGTGAAAATGGCCATACTGCCCAAGGTAATTTACAGATTCAATGCCATCCCCATCAAGCTACCAATGACTTTCTTCACAGAATTGGAAAAAACTACTTTAAAGTTCATATGGAACCAAAAAAAAGCCCGCGTCGCCAAGTCAATCCTGAGCCAAAAGAACAAAGCTGGAGGCATCACACTACCTGGCTTCAAACCATACTACAAGGCTACAGTAACCAAAACAGCATGGTACTGGTACCAAAACAGAGATATAGATCAATGGAACAGAACAGAGCCCTCAGAAATAATGCCGCATATCTACAACTATCTGATCTTCGACAAACCTGAGAAAAACAAGCAATGGGGAAAGGATTCCCTATTTAATAAATGGTGCTGGGAAAACTGGCTAGCCATATGTAGAAAGCTGAAACTGGATCCCTTCCTTAAACCTTATACAAAAATCAATTCAAGATGGATTAAAGACTTAAACGTTAGACCTAAAACCATAAAAACCCTAGAAGAAAACCTAGGCATTAGCATTCAGGACATAGACACGGGCAAGGACTTCATGTCTAAAACACCAAAAGCAATGGCAACAAAAGACAAAATAGACAAATGGGATCTAATTAAACTAAAGAGCTTCTGCACAGCAAAAGAAACTACCATCAGAGTGAACAGGCAACCTACGAAATGGGAGAAAATTTTCACAACCTACTCATCTGACAAAGGGCTAATATCCAGAATCTACAATGAACTCCAACAAATTTACAAGAAAAAAACAAACAACCCCATCAAAAAGTGGGCAAAGGACATGAACGGACACTTCTCAAAAGAAGACATTTATGCAGCCAACAGACACATGAAAAAATGCTCATCATCACTGGCCATCAGAGAAATGCAAATCAAAACCACAATGAGATACCATCTCACACCAGTTAGAATGGCAATCATAAAAAAGTCAGGAAACAACAGGTGCTGGAGAGGATGTGGAGAAATAGGAACACTTTTACACTGTTGGTGGGACTGTAAACTAGTTCAACCATTGTGGAAGTCAGTGTGGCGATTCCTCAGGGATCTAGAACTAGAAATACCATTTGACCCAGCCATCCCATTACTGGGTATATACCCAAAGGACTATAAATCATGCTGCTATAAAGACACATGCACACGTATGTTTATTGCGGCATTATTCGCAATAGCAAAGACTTGGAACCAACCCAAATGTCCAACAATGATAGACTGGATTAAGAAAATGTGGCACATACACACCATGGAATACTATGCAGCCATAAAAAATGATGAGTTCACGTCCTTTGTAGGGACATGGATGAAATTGGAAATCATCATCTCAGTAAACTATCGCAAGAACAAAAAACCAAACACCGCATATTCTCACTCATAGATGGGAATTGAACAATGAGAACACATGGACACAGGAAGGGGAACATTACACTCTGGGGACTGTTGTGGGGTGGGGGGAGGGGGGAGGGATAGCACTGGGAGATATACCTAATGCTAGATGACGAGTTAGTGGGTGCAGCGCACCAGCATGGCACATGTATACATATGTAATTAACCTGCACATTGTGCACATGTACCCTAAAACTTAAAGTATAATAATAATAATTAAAAAAAACCCAAACTATTTTAAATTACAAATATCTCACATATATATCTTATCTATTGAATGAAAACCATTTCTTTCAATATACAAAAAGCTAAGTTCGTACAAATAGAAAGTATAAAATGATTTTCACTTAAAAGATGATTTTAAAATGATTTTGATATGACATATTTAATAGCAAAACTCTACTATTCGTTTTCCACAGTTCAATGAATAGTCCTCCAAATTAATTATATACATATATTAACATATGAATATAATTAAAAAAATCTTTTTGTATGTCCAAGCATATATGTGTATGTATATCAATTAATTTGGAATATATATACATTTTGAGACAGAGTCTTGCTCTGTCACCCAGGCTGGAGTGCAGTGGCACAATTTTGGCTCACTGTAACCTCCACCTCCCAGGTTCAAGTGATTCTTCTGCCTCAGCCTCCCGAGTAGCTGGGATTGTAGGCATGTGTCACCACACCCAGCTAATTTTTCTATTTTTTTTTTTTAATAGAGATGGGTTTTTGCCATGTTGGCCAGGCTTGTCTCAAACTCATGGCCTCAAGTGATCCACCCACCTTGGCCTCCCAAAGTGCTGGGATTACAGGCATGAGCCACCACACAGGGCCTTAATTTTTAAGTAAAATTATGTTTTACTATACCTAATTATGCTATATCCATATTACTTTTCTTAACATTACAACTTTTGCTCTTCACAGCTTTTTAAAAATAATACTTAAAAAGATTGATTAGCCAGGTGTGGTGGCAGGTGCCTGTAATCCTGGCTACTCAGGAGGCTGAGGCAGGAGAATCGCTTGAACCGAGGGGACAGAGGTTGCAGTGAGCTGAGATCATGCCATTGCACTCCAGCCTGGGCAAAAATAGCGAAACTCCATCTCAAAAAAATACATATATATACAAAAACTAGCTGGGCGTGGTGGCGTGCACCTGTAATCCCAGCTACTTGGGAGGCTGAGGCAGGAGAATCACTTGAACCCGGGAGGTGGAAGTTGCAGTGAGCAGAGATCGCACCACTACACTCCAGCCTGGGTGACAGAGCTAGACTCTGTCTCAAAAAAAAAAAAAAAAAAAAAAAAGAATGGGGAAGAGATATTAAAGCAATCTCAAAAGATGAAGCAGTGATGTTGGGGAATCATCCGGCTACAGCAGATGTGTGCGCACTGATGATGTGCCTCCAGGACGAAGGACTGGGTGCTGCTCAGATGATGTGGTTGATGGATCATATTTTTAAGAACACAAACTTTGGAATTGTTTCTTTAGTTCACGGAGACTTTTTTATAAGACAGGGAAGATGTTATCGTGACCAACAGCTGCTGCTTCTCAAGAAGCACTTAGAAAGTAATTACAGGAGCAGAGATTGAAAATGAATTATTTCGTTTCCAGAAAGGGGCTTCCTCAGGAAGAGGTGAGAAACAAGTCAGGCATTTGCAGAGAAAAATAACTTGCCATTTCTTACACATGTTACTCTGTAAAGATCTGTGGCAACTAAAATTATTCTGAATGCACTTGTAGCACAACAGGGAAATGGAAGTCCAGCAAGAGGAGATGCTAAAGAATTAGCAAATCAAAAGGCCTCCAGTGGGTAATAGATACAACGATAGCTTATCCTAAAGCTGAACCTATCAATATTCAAACCTGGATCCTTGGGTTCAGGAAACCAACAGTCACACATGTACATTACAGGATCTTTCCAGTTAAAGATGTATCTCTGGAGACTGGTGACCTTACCAATGGGATCTATCTATGGTTTACTGAAAAAGAGGACCTCTTATCACATTTTTATGAAACAGGAGCTTTTCCACCTTCCAAGGGCCATAAGGAAGCTGTTTCCAGGGAAATGACCCTCAGAAACATGTGGATATTCCTCACACAGTCTTTTGCATTTTTGTCAGTCTATATGTGGTACAACATCATTCAGTATTTTTACCATTGCCTGTTTTAGGAATTGACTTGGACTTGTGAAGGTCACCATAGGAGTTCAGACTTTCTTTCATAAGTGTGCATTATTTTACATGTGTGAATCAGAATATATTTTAAAAAGCAAGAGAAATTCTGTGGATGGATTAATATTTATCACCCTTTGGGGTATTTTAAAACTCTACTGAAATGATGATTAGTAATAAAAAGAAATTGATATGTACTTCATATAACATAAAATTCGCTATTTGAAAGTATGCATTTGGTTGTTTTATTATATTCACTGTGTTGTGTAACCATCACCATATCACCTAGAATATTTTCATCCTTGCAAAAAGAAATGCCGTATCTATTAGCAATCAGTCCCAATTCTTCCTCTCACTCAGCCTCTGTCAGCCACTAATCCACTGTCTCTAGGGGTTCCCCATTCTGGACATTACATATCAACGGAATCATACAATATGTGGCTTTCTATGTCTGGCTTCTTTCAGGTTAACCCACGCTGTAGGATATACCAGTACTTCATTCCTTTTTATTCCTTTTTATTCCTTTTTATGAATAATATTCCATCATATGGCTATAGCACTTTTTGTTTATCCATTTATCAGATGGACATTTGGGTTGTTTCCACTTTTTGACTATTATGAATAATGCTGCTATGAGCATTCATGTACAAGTTTTTACATGAACATGTATTTTCAATTCTCTTGGGTATATATGATACCGAGGAGTGGAATTTCTGGGTCATATGGTAACTCTATGTTTAATTTTTGGAATAACTGTCAAACTGTTGTCTACAGTGGCTGTACCATTGTATATCTCCAGCAGCAAGCAAATTATTTATTTATTTATTTATTTATTTATTTATTTATTTATTTATTTATTTTGAGACAGGGTCTCACTCTTTCACATTGGCTGAAGTGCAGTGGCATGATCACAGATCACTGCAACCTTGACCTCTGGGGCTCAAACAATCCTCCCACCTCAGCCTCCTGAGTAGCTGGAACTACAGGCACATGCCACCATGCCCAGCTAATATTTTTTTTCTCTTGTAGAAACGGGGTTTCACCATATTGCCCATCCTGATCTTGAACTCCTGGGCTTAAGCAGTCCGCCCACTTTGACCTCCCAAAGTGCTGGGATTATAGGCATAAGCCACCACACCCGGTCTATTTCTTATATTTAAAATAACTTGGTATCTTTCTGTGTGTAGACATGAGTAAAATTCTTTTTAGTATTTTATAATTCCATCGTATGAAGGCATCAACATTTATTTAAATAATCCCCTAATAATGGGCATTGCATTGTTCACAGATTCTTACAGTGTCAACCAAGGCTATATTAAACACATTTTACACATATCTTAAGTGAAGTGTCTTGGTCATAAAAGATGCATGTTTTAATTATTTTATTGCAGCATAAATGACATACAAACCATTGTGCATATTTCAAATGTACAATTGGGTAAGTGTTGATTATGTATACAACCATGAAACCCTCACCACAATCAAAAGAATAAGCACATCCTCAGGATCTAGGAGAATTTGAAAAATAATAATAATAAAAAATATATTGATGACCCAAAAAAGTTTCCTTCCCTGGCCAGGCGCAGTGGCTCAAGCCTGTAATCCCAGCACTTTGGGAGGCCGAGGCGGGCAGGTCATGAGGTCAAGAGATCGAGACCATCCTGGCCAACCAACATGGTGAAGCCCCATCCCAGCTACTGGGGAGGCTGAGGCAGGAGAATCGCTTGAACCTGGGAGGCGGAAGTTGCAGTAAGCCGAGATCACGCCACTGCACTCCAACCCCAGCAAAAGAGCGAGACTCCGTCTCAAAAAAAAAAAAAAAAAAACTTTCCTTCCCTCTCTGACACCCATTCTGAGCCTATCACCAGGCAACCACTGACCTACTTTATATCAACATAGGTAACTTTGCATTTTCTAGAGTTTTAAATTGACTCATATAATATGTACTATTTTTTAATCTGGTTTCTTTTACTCAGCATATTTATTTTGAGATTCAGCCATATTGTTGTATGTATCAATAGTTCATTTATTTATATTATCCCATGGATATGGATATGCTGAATTTATATGGATGCTGAATGTGTTCATTTATTCATTTATTGATGAACATTTGGCTTAATTCAGTCTCTGGCTATTAAAAATAAAGCTCCTATAAAAAGTTGTATTCAAGTACTGTTATGTACATTTGCTTTCACTTCTCTTTGGTAAACACCTAGGAATAGAATGACTGGATCACATGGTAAGTATATGTTTAACTTTTTAAGAAACTCTCAAACTATTTTCCAAAGTGCTTGTTCCACTTTACATTCCCACCAGCAATCCTTCAACATCCCCACCAATACTTGGTATGGTCGGCTTTTTAAATTTTCACCATTCAGATAAGATGTTGAGGCATCTCTTGTGGTTTTAACTGACGTTTCCCTAATGACTAGGGATGTTGTGAATCTTTTCATATGCTTATTTACTATCCGTATATCTTCTTTGGCCGAGTGTCAAATCTTTGTCCATTTTTGGTTTGCCCATTTTTTGATCGCCTTGTTTGCATTTTAAGAGTTCTTTAAACAAGTTCTTATATAGGATTTGCAAACATTTTCTCCCACTCTATGGCTTGCCTTTTCATTTTTTTTTAGCAATGGCTTTCAAAGAACATTTGAATTTGATTTCATTTTGACAAAGCTCACCTTATCAATTGTTTCTTTTGTGAACTGTGCTTTTGATTCCATAGCTAAAATCTCTATGCCTAACCCAAGGTCACAAAGATTTTCTCCAATGTTTCCTTCCATAAATTTTATAATTGTATATATCATGTTTAGGTCTATGACACATTGTGTACACAGTTTTAGCACATAGTTTAGGATATAGGTCAAAGTTCATTTTGTTGCAAAAGAATATCAAGTAATTCTAACACAATTTGTTGCAAAGAATGCTCATTTCCATTGATTTACCCTTGCATCTTTGTTGAAAATCTGTTGTCCATATATGCATGGCTCTATTTCTGGACTTTCTATTCTATTCCATTGATATATTTATATATCTAGGTGCCAACACTCCATTGTCCTGATAAATATGTCTTGAAATCGGAAGCATTAGTCTCTCAACTTTCTTATTCTTTATAACATCATTTTGGCTATTCTAGGTCTTTTGCATTTCCAAATGAATTTGAGAGTCAGTTTCCCAGTGTCTAAAATAAAGCCTGATGGAATTTTTGAAGGGATTGCATTCAATCTATATATCAATTTGGGGAGAATTGAGATTTTAACAATATTGAGTCGTGAGTGTTATATACCTCTCCATTTATTTAGCTCTTCTTTTTATCTCATGAGCTGTAGTTTTAAATGTATACATCTTGCACATCTTTTTCCAGGTATGTTCCTAAAATTCACAATTTTTATTTTACTCTCATTCGTGTTGTTTTTATAATTTTTCTTATTGTTCATTTCTATCCTATAAAATATAATTGATATTTGTACATTTTGTATACAATTGATTTATTTTTGTGTCTTGCAAACACATATGTGTGTATGTATGCATGAATTATTGGACTAGACATACTTAATAGTTGGCAGAATACTCTACATTTGTTACTTGGTTTGGGGTAAAATTTAACAAAATGGGAACTAGAAGTGTCCCCCTACCACCTTGGAATGATAGTAAGTTAAAAAACAGTATCATATCCAGGGAGGAATGTCAGAGATTAATTCTATTCTTAGAGACCTAAAGGATGCAGGGATTAGTGGTTCACATCAAACATCCACTTACTTCTTCAATCTAGCTCCTACAAAAAAATTGGATCTTGGAACATGACAGTGGACTGCCTCAAACTCTAGTATAGTGGCCCAAATTGTACCTGCTATGTCAGATGTGGTATCTTTGTTGGAGCAGATTAACACTGCTTCTGGTACATGGTATGTGGCCACTGAACTATCAAATACCTTCTTTTCTGTCTCAGAAAGACAGATTCGAAAATTTATATTCACTTGGGACTGACTATATGTTTACTGTCTTGGCACAGGGCTATGTCAAAATATGGCCCAAAGGGAACTGAATTCTCTGGCCATTCTGCAGAATATCACCTTGGCCCATTGGATTGATGACACTATGTTGGTTGGTCCAGATAAACAAAAAGTGGCAAGTGTGTTGGAAGCTTCAGTAAGACACACATTCCAGACAATAGAGAAAAAAAACGCAGCAAAGTTTCAAGGGCCTACTACATCAGCAAAGCTATTCAGGGTCAATGGTCTAAGGCATGATGGGATATCCCCACAAAATTGAAGGACACATTAATGTATGTCACACTTTCCACCAGTAGCAGGGAACCAAAACACCTAGAAGGGATCTTCAAATTCTGGAGGTATCATATTCTACACTCAGAAATACAGCTCTGGCCTATTTTTTACCAAATAACAAGGAAGCTTCCTGCTTTGAGTAAGGCCCAGAGTAGTAAAGGGTTCTGCAGCAGATCCAGCCTGCAGTACAGATCTATCACTTTGCCATTTGACCCAGCTAATCCCATGCTGTTAGAGAAATCTGCTATAGGCAGATGCCATATGGATTTTATTCCAACATAAGAATCACAATGCAGATCCCTAGGGTTCTGGGCCAAATCATGCCGTTTGTAGCAGGTAATTATAAACCATCTGAAAAGCAGCTGCTGGTATGCTATTAGGTTCTGGTAGAGAGGAAATGCTTGGCTGTGGGACAGGAATTGACCATGTGTCCAGAACTACCCATCACAAACTGGATCTGTCACACCCACAAAGTTATAAGGTCAGGTGCATTCAGCAGCATTCCATTCTAAGATGGAAGTTACACATTCAGGATGGAGCACATGCAAAGGGCAAAAAGAAAAAATAAGCTATACGAGCAGGTGCCCCAGCCCCCATGTCATTCACCACTATTGCACCAGCACCTTTCCCTCAGCTCACACCTGTGACTACATAACAGGGCCCTTGTGCACAGTTCATAGAGAAGGAAAAAGACAGGGCTTGGTTCATGGATGATTCGGCTCAATATATGGGTACAAGTGAAAAATAGAGAAGGGAGATCCTCCCAATGGAGACAGCTTCTGTTGGTGAACCTGGGGTCATCCACTTTGTGCAAAAGAAAAATGGCCCAAGCTAAGACTATGCAGACTCATGGACAGTGGCTAATGGTTTGGTTGTTTGGTCAAGACCTTGAAAGGAGAAGGACTGGAACACTGGGAAAAAGAAAATCTGAGGAAGAGGTTTGTAGACAGAAAGACTGGAGTAGTCAAGACATGTTATCCACCAGAGAACATCAACCAAGGAAGAGGCACTACAAGACCAAGTGGCTAGAACAATTCACACACATGCCTCAGAGACCCAGAACCTTTTCCTCAAGGAGCTTATCTATGACAAATACACACACTTTAGTCCTTTATCTGATTATATTTAGTACCAAACAGTGCATTTTCTTCCAAATTGCAATTCTGATCACAGAAGAACTTCAATACTTTCCCCTCCATATTTAGTATGGTACCATTTACATAAAAAGAGAAAAAATATTACTGCCTGTACTTGTATTTGCTTTAGAACTTGCATTTTAAAAAATATTACTGCATGTACTTGTATTTGCATAATATCTGATATGATTTGGATCTGTGTTCTCACCCAAATCTCATGTTGAATCGTAATCCCCAGTGTTGGAGGTAGGTCCTGGTGGGAGATGATTGGATCGTGGGGGTGGGTCTTTCATGAATGGTTTAGCACCATCCCTTTGGTGCTGTTCTCATGATGGAGTTCTCATGAGATCTGATTGTTTAAAAGTGTGTAGCACCGCCCCCCACTCTCTCTCTTCCTCCGCTCTGGCCACGTCGGCCGTGCCTGCTGCCCGTTCACCTTCTGCCATGATTGTAAGTTTCCTGAGGACTCCCCGGAAGCAGATGCTGTCATGCTTCCTGTACAACCTGCAGGACCATGAGCCAATTAAACCTCTTTTCTTTATAAAGTGCCTCTTGGGTATTTTTTACAGCAGTGCAAAATGGACTAATACAATATCCATGGGAGGACATACAAGAAACAAACACAACTGGTGCCTTAGGAAAGAGTAACTGTGTGTTAGACTAGGAAAGAGACATTTTTTACTGTATACACACTTACTTTTTTCTGAAACCAAGTATTATCAATTCAAAATAAATTTGACCAAAAAGAAAATTCCAAAAGAGTGAGTCACTTATTCAAACAAAATATGTTTATTCTTTTTTCCCTTCTTATGCCTTCTTTTTCTAATTCTACACTCACAGAAGTTGGCATGAAAGCTCTCAGCTGTCCATCTTCAAGATCTTCACAAATAGTTTCAGGCAAACACAGCTTTTGCAAGCTCTTCTCTCTCCCTTACTACTTCCCTTTTACATAGCTATTCTTTTTCATCTTCCAGTACAGATTTCTTTTTTTTTTCCGATGCAATCCTACTAACCTTAACATGTTCTCTAGTTTGTTTGTATATTTCTTTGTTTGTTTCTAATTTGACCATTATCCCTATTAACCCGGGCCAATAACAATCTAGGCTTCTTCCTCATTTTCTTTCCTTCTTTTTACATCCCCCTCTCAGCATCACTATCAATTTTAAATATCTTCATTTAATAGAGTATCTCCATGACCTAAGACAGAGTCTGGCACATAATAGATGCTCATTATTTATTGAGCTGAATGAAATTAGTGAATGAATAAATGAATGAATGATACACCCTGCCCAGAAGAGGTCAGCTCATTTTTTTTCTATGCAACCTTAAAACAAATGCTGCTACTCTCAGATTTTGGAAGGCTGTAAACCTTGTGTCTGTCCTCAGAACTCCCTTAAAAGTGATTTGGAGGCCGGGCGCGGTGGCTCACGCCTGTAATCCCAGCACTTTGGGAGGCCGAGGCGGGCGGATCACGAGGTCAGGAGATCGAGACCATCCCGGCTAAAACGGTGAAACCCCGTCTCTACTAAAAATACAAAAAATTAGCCGGGCGTAGTGGCAGGCGCCTGTAGTCCCAGCTACTTGGGAGGCTGAGGCAGGAGAATGGCGTGAACCCGGGAGGCGGAGCTTGCAGTGAGCCGAGATCCCGCCACTGCACTCCAGCCTGGGCGACAGAGCGAGACTCCGTCTCAAAAAAAAAAAAAGTGATTTGGAGATTCCCCACTCCCGGCTGGAGGAACGTGTTGTTAGTTGCCTGCCCACTATGGGGATATTTAATGAAATTATAGAGATGGCTTGCTGTGCTTCCTGTTTTCTCTGAATTCTCTAATCTCTCTGTCTCTCATTACTGTTGCGGGTCAAAACAATTTGGCATGATGTCTGGGCACTCAACACCTCTCTCAAATCAGCTTGAAGGCTGAGGCTACTAAGTTGAAAAGTGTCTTTGTCTCTCAGGACAATCTCTTCTTGATTCATGGATCTCAAAGCAAGAGAGTGAAAATTAAAAATTTTCCTGACAGTTCTCCAAGGAGGCCAGAGAGTAAAAGGTTAAAAACACCAAGAACCACCAGATTGAATGTTCTTTTCCCCATACTCGCAAAGTGTAAGCACTAACAAAAAAAATAGATCATCTCCTTTCTGCATTCTATCCTCTTGCCCCTGCCCCAATAAGCAAAAGTCTAAATACTGAAAATAACTAATTATATTCTGAATCTCTCACATAGTGAAGTAGTAATTATGCATTAGTGAAGAGCTTCAAGCTGAAGCTTGCTCTCTATTTAGCAGGAAACAACCCCCTCCTATTTATTAAGAAGCTACTGTATCATTTATTTATCACATACCCACCATATGCTAGACACTATGTTATTTTCTTTCACATATGTGATCTCCTTTCATGTATCTTTTTGTGTGCATTTATTCATTCATTGCTCAACTGGTAGCAGGAGAAAAAAGATTCCAACAGACGAATTATCTTCCTGACTTGCCTGGGTCCTCAACAACGAGGGCATAGAGAAAATGAAGGGTTAGAGTAATTGGCTTTGATTTTCTACAGATGGAGCATTGTTATTTAAATAGAATTTCTTTCTTTATGTTGTAGCTCCTGGTTTTAAAAGATGGTTTTGTGGTTGAGCTAAAACTAGACACACAGCATCAGTCATTTACATTCTCACTTGTTAATTACACCAGAAAACATCGCACTGTGTGTATGGATTTGAAATCACTGGCCACCCTCCAACTCTGTGAAAGATGAGATATAAACAGTAGCATGTCTCACCGCTGAATAACTCTGAATGCAACTATGTGATTTTGCTATGTCAATACTTAAAGTGGCATGTATTCCCACATGCAAATTTGTTGGGGTTTAAATGGAAATAAAAGAGGATAGTTCACAAATATCCCTACAATCTAAATTTAGAACACTTTCATCCCTCATAAAAGAAACCCCATCCCCATTAGTTGTCAGTCCCTGGGTCCCCACTTATCAGCCTTAAGCAACCACTAATCTACTTTCTGTCGCTATAGATTTGCCTGTTCTGGACATTTCATATAAATGGGATTAAAGCTCATCCATGTAGCATGAATCAATAGTTTGTAAAGAAGGCTTTTTAAATATCCAAACATCAGATAAATTCTGTGTGAGGTGATGAATAAGGTATATTGAAGATAAACTGTAATTTAGTTATGTACTTAAATATCTTATTTTGATAGTGTCAAAGTAGGAATTTTTTATTTGCACATTTTGATAGACAGCCATATAATTTACGTTCAGAAAATGATAATTAAAGAGAAAGGCTAAATTAAGTAGAACATATTTTACACTTTATGTATATAAGTAGGACATATTTTATACTTTAAATTTGGTGATATATTTCTCCATTTTGGCAAATTCATAGATATCATGTGTCAAAAGACAAAACTACAAAAATTTCACTTGAATATCTTTTTTTTTTTTTTGAGATGGAGTCTTGCTCTGTTGCCCAAGCTGGAGTGCAGTGGCACCATCTTGGCTCACTGCAAGCTCCACCTCCCAGGTTCATGTCATTCTCCTGCCTCAGCCTCCCAAGTAGCTGGGACTACAGGTGCCCACCACCATGCCCAGCTAATTTTTTTGTATTTTTAGTACAGATAGGGTTTCACCGTGTTTGCCAGCATGGTCTCGATCTCCTGACCTCGTGATCCGCCCGCTTCAGCTTCCCAAAGTGCTGGAATTACAGGCGTGAGCCACTGCACCCGGCCTCACTTGAATATCTTAATTGGCAGCTGCTTCTGAAATCCCAGCACTTTGGGAGGCTGAGGCAGGCAGACTGCTTGAGCCTAGGAGTTCAAAACTAGTCTGGGCAACATGGCAAAACCCTATCTCTACAAAAAATACAAAAATTAGCCAGGTGTGGTAGTGTGTGCCTGTAGTCCCAGCTACTCAGGAGGCTGAGGTGGGAGGATCACTTGAGCCCAGGAGGTGAAGGCTGCAGTGAGCCGTGATTGTGCTACTGCACTCCAGCCTGGGAAACAGAGCAAGATTCTGTAAAAAAAAAAAAAAAATCTTAATTGGCTTATTTGCAATTCTAGAATCCAACAACACTTCATTCAATTAAATAGAATAAATGTTCTAATGATCCAAGCAGACAAGTTTGGTTTTATAGACGGGGCTGAAGAAAACAGAAAGAAAGAACAAAAAGCATATTGGTCATTTCAAAGTTACTTTCCTTGTAAGGCAGGAACAAGAAAACAGAACATTAGAGAAATAACTGGTTAACATCCAGTTACCTCAGTTTACCTTTTGTTGTGAGAATTAAAGCAGAGGGAACTTTATCGTCATCCTGATTAAAACTGACCTGTCTGGAAAATTATGCTGTTACATCTCTCTCCTGATTTCTCAAAAGGTCAGATAACAATTTAATTTGGTTTGGTGATATGGAACCTTGGGCATGAGTGACACCATTTTGATTTTTAATTTGATCTGTTGGGGCTTAGCGCAGGAGCTTAGTCTAAAGCAATAACCTCCTATAATTTCTACTTAACACATGGACAGTTAATAGTTTTAATGTATTCCCAAAGAAAAAAATCGGAAGGACTGAAAAATTGGGTGCTTTAAAAATGAAGAGATTGCTTTTCTTTAATCAAATACCAGAGGTCTGGAAACTCATTTTAGAGTAAAACTATTCAGTTGCCTCATACATAAAGCAGAGTCATGGGTTTTCCATTGTGTAAAAGGAACATGAAAAATAACATGCCAATTGTCAGCTGCTCTTGGGGCACCACGCAGTGGTATCTTTCAACAGTTTGCTCCTAACTCTTCTCAGTTTTTCATAGGTCCCTTCAAGTTTCCTGGTTTTTACCCTCCTTTGACTTTCAGTTGCCTTCCCTCTCTCTATCCGTGAACTACTGTCTTAGCATCAGACACATCTTACCTAGAGAAAGATAATACAAGTAACCAGGCACAGAACACCTAAGCAACTTTTTCTTCAGAAACCTACAGTGACAACCAAATAATTGTTGGCTTTGCTGGACTGTACAGTACATAACTGAGTGAATTCAACTGCTCTAACGAAATACAGTATTCAGGGGAAAAAAAAGGAGTTATTTAAATCTAAGGCATGTGGGGTCTATTATTATTAGGTTTTTAATATCAAGTCACATGTTTTCCTAGGCATTTTGGGAACTCAAGTTTTAGCAAGCATGAGCTCTTCCACAGCATGTCTTATACATGGCTTTGACGTTCACCAACCTGGGTTCAAATTCCAGCTCTTCCTGCATATTAGCTGTGCGATCTTGGACAAATAATTTACCCTAGTCTCATTTCCTCATTGTATTGGATTGGTGCAGAAGTAATCATGGTTTTGCATTACTCTTTTTTTTTTTTTTTTTTTTGAGATGGAGTTTCATTCTTGTCGCCCAGGCTGGAGTGCAATGGCACCATCTCGGTTCACTGTACCCTCCACCTCCCAGGTTCAAGCAATTCTCCTGAGTAGCTCAGCCTCTCAAGTAGCTGGGATTACAGGTGCCCGCCACTACACCTGGCTACTTTTTGTAATTTTAGTAGAGACGGGGTTTCTCACCACGTTGGCCAGGCTGGTCTTGAACTCCTGACCTCAGGTGATTCACCCGCCTTGGCATCCCAAAGTACTGGGATTTACAGGCATGAGCAACCATGCCCAGCCTGCATTACTTTTAATGGCAAAACCACAATTACTTTTACATCAACCTAATACATTGAACACAATATAATGCTCACTTCATTAGCTTATTGTGGGATTAGATGTGGAATAATGGCTGGCACATAGCAAACATTTAAAGAATAATAGCTTCTGTTACCACCAGCAGCACCACTGTCCATCACTGGGCTAGCAGTCTGTTCATTGGCAAATCTTAAGTTGTTCCAGCCGATGCAAAAACAATTATTCATTGTAGTCAATTCATTAACAAATATTTTTTAGAAACGGGCAAACACCAGTTGTCTGTTAGTTTTTTTTTCCCCTGCTACTGTTCGGCAGACTATTTTTGGCATTACAGAGGAATAGCAATGAAAATGAACTTTTCTTTCCTTCCCCCCAGTGTTTTCTCTCTTTGTGAAAATTGCTGCCAGCATGAATAGTCACTTAAACAGCAAGGGATGGTTCTTGTGTCTCAGGCAATGCCTGCCTGTTCTGGACATTATTGGCCCACTGATTAGATAGCGGTAAAAACAGGTCAGCGTAAAAGTTTAGCATTTGCATTTGAGGTTTCCTTTCTCATTCTCATCACTATATGGCAGAAAGTTGTTGGAGTGAAGGAAATTTATTCATTAAAAATTGCTTCTGTCTTTAATTTCTGCCCATTTGTACCTTGATAGGATAATTTCAAACAAACTTTGCTTTTTCTGTGAAGATGAAGCAAATTTGTTGTGGTCTTTGACTTGTATGTCATATTTGACCTGTATGACCTGTATGTCCTACTTGCACAAAATCCAGGCTACATCTTCCATGTTGTTGTTGTTGTTGTTGTTGTTGTTGTTGTTGTTGTTGTAGAGTCTCACTCTGTCGGCCAGGCTGGAGTGCAGTGGCACAATCTCGGCTCACTGCAACCTCCACCTCCCTGGTTAAAGCGATTCTCCTGCCTCAGCCTCCTGAGTAGCTGGGATTACAGGTGTGCACCACCATGCCTGGCCAATTTTTATACTTTTAGTAGAGATAGGGTTTCGCTATGTTGGCCAGAGTGGTCTTGAGCTCCTGGCCTCAGGTGAGCCGCCCACCTTGGCCTCCCAAAGTGTTGAGATTACAGGCATAAGCCACCACGCCCGGCCCCATCTTGTTTTTAAATTTAAAGAATGCCATTCTTTGTGTGTTGTATGTTATAAACAATGTTCCACGTTAGGGTGAGGGAATAGCAGCCATTCTGAAGAATGATGCTTTTAATCCCAGACATGAGCTTCTTGACCACAGAACTTCCTGCATTTTCAAGCTTGTGGAAGTAAGAGTGAATGCCCTTCCTTGGGAAATCTCACCTTATGTCTTTATTCCTCACTTCTCTGCATCTTTTCACCAAAAGCAAAATCTCAGCTTGATGAATTTCTCACTTGGAAACTGTTCATTTACAATATTTGCAACTTGTTTTTAGGATCAGCTTGTTGATTTTTCACTACTGTGCCCCTGACACCTACCACATAAGTATTTGTTACATGAAAATAATAATGCTGAACGATTTATTATGTTTTAAAGAAAGATATGTAAAATGTAGGCATTTGATCAAGGAGAATTCTGAGAGAGAAATTACTTGAGTACTTGTAAGTAAGACAACACAATCTTGCAAATTACCATTCTTCTACTTGCTTCGGTGAAGTGATGATTTATTAAAGACAAATGTAAGAGGTTCAATTAGTAGCTATGCTAAGCGCTTGCTAAAATAGGAGATGACTCCCTTTTTTTGGACTGGGCCTAATTTGGATTCTTTAAAATAAATTATAGAAAAATTTTTAAAATGCTGAAAGACTCGGAGACTAGTAAAAAAAAAATTGTACCTATTTATTCTCTAACCGAAAAAAAAATTAACCAACGTTTAGATATTATCACATTATTTTAGCTTTCTGCCTAAGGGAATCTTTACTTTTTTCACTTGTTCAGTTAGATGTAGCTCTCTCTACGTTCCATCAAAAAGACAAAAACAGTTTTGTTTTGTTTTGTTTTGTTTTGTTTTGTTTTGTTTTGTTTTGTTTTGTTTTGTTTGAGATGGAATCCTGCTCTGTTGCCCAGGCTGGAGTGCAGTGGTGCAATCTGGGCTTGCTGCAATCTCTGCCTCCTGGGTTCAAGCGATTCTCCTGCCTCGGCCTCCCGAGTAGCTGGGACTACAGGTGCCTACCACCACGCCTGGCTAATTTTTTTGTGTTTTTAGTAGACACAGGGTTTCACCATGTTGGCCAGGCTGGTCTCGAACTCCTGGCCTCAAGTGATCCACACCCCTCCCCCAGCCTCCCAAAGTGCTGGGATTACAGGTGTGAGCCACTGCACCTGGCCTAGTTTAACAAATTTATTGGCTGTATATTGAGTTTTTTCCCAAGAGAATTTATCAATGGATAGACAAATTGTAGTTTGCTATGCAATGGTATAATATGCTGAATGGAATACTTACTCAGGAGTGAAAAAGACCAAATTACTGATTGAGAAATTACTTGCTCTGGCAACATCCCCCTCAAAGGACTGTTATGACAGTTTGACCACAAAAAAAACATTGTTCCAGGCGATGGCTAGCCACAGAAAGCCCTCCGCTCCCAATACTGAACACTCTTTTCTCTTTTTTCTGACACAGGGTCTCACTCTGTCACCCAGTCTGGAGTGCAGAGGTGTGATCAGAGCTCACTGCAGCCTGAAATTCCTGAGCTCAAACAATCCTCTTGCCTCAGCCTCCCAAGTACCTAGGACTACAGGTGCATCACCATGCCTGGCTAATTTTAAAATTTTATGTGGAGACAGGATCTCACTGTGTTGTCCAGGCTGCTCCCAGCTTCAAACAGTGTTCCATCCTCAGTTTTCCAAAGTGCTGGGACTACAGGCGTGAGTCACCATGCCCAGCTTCCTCTTTTGAACTGTTCCTAAACTGCTCCCACTGGCTCCCTTTCAACCAACTGAGAACTGCCAAATGTACCTGAAAACCAATTAGAAAGTCTCCCCTGCTTCCAAAAATCCCACCCTAACAGAATATTTGCCAATCAGAGACTGTCCCAAGATTTCCTCTTTTTGCTCTATGAAAACTTACTTTTCTTTCTAACACCTTTGAACCCTTGCTGACACAAAAGTGATGGCAGATGGGTTCCCTCGCCACAAGTTTATGAATAATGAGCCTTTGCTAATTTTGTCTCAGACTTAGTTTTGTCTTTGACATGATACCAACAACATGGATGAATCCCAGAAACATTAAGTTGAGCAAAATAAACCATATCCTGTATAATTCCATTGATATAAAATTCTAGAACAAGAAAAACTAAGTTTTGATGATGGAAATCAGGATAGTGGTTGCCACTGGGAATGGAATTGACTGGAGAGGGGACAAGGACCTTTTCTGGGATGATGGAAATATTCTATAGATTGGCTGGTGTGATACTTAACTCCAGTGCAGTGTATATGTTTTTCAAAGCTTACTGATCTATATGATTAAGATTTATGCATTTTATGGTATGCGAATTGTACCTCAATTTTGAAAGTGAGAACACCTCTTGTTTGGAAGAGTCAGAGATTATGGCATTTGGTGTCTCACCACAGTCAACGTAGATAACCCAAAGCTCTTTTTGTGCCTTATAAGGAAACCAACCGTCTCTCTAATAAATCCAAGCTTTTGTCCCTCAAAGTTGGCAATGGAGAAGGAATTCTTTTTTTTTTTTAATAGAGACTGGGGTCTCGCCACATTGCCCAGGCTGGTCTTGAACTTCTGGGATCAAGGGATCCTCCTGCCTTGGCCTCCCAAAGTGCTGGGATTACAGGTGTCAGCCATTGCACCTAGCCAGAGGAGGAATTCCTAGACTTAAAATTGTGATCACTACTGTTCTTAAATGTTTACCATGTGCTTGATATACTTTAATCTCATTTAATCCCCTTAATAACCCTCTAAGGTAATATTGTTCTTCAATTTAAAAAAAAAGAGAGAGAGCCAAGGCCCAGGGAGATTAAGTAAACTACTCAGTTTATTAGTAGATTGAAACTAGTAAGTAGAAAAGCTATTGTTCAAACCCAGGTTGTTTCACCACAAAGCCTATGATTTTAATCATCACATTGTATCGGAGAATGGGCCAATTAGACATCACAGCCCTGATATTGACCCCCAAGGCTCATTTCTCTTTAGGATCTCTCACTAGTCTGTTGTTACAAGACACCAAAAAATAACATGACTTTTTTTAAAGTTTATTTCTATCCCTCACAACAGTCCAGAATGATGGTCTAGGTTGATGGGCAAATCTATCCACATGATCCTTTAGGGAGCCAGGCTAATAGCTGCCCTGCAGTCTCAATGTGTGACTTCCAAGGGCACTCTGGTCTTCACCATGTCAGGTAACTGGCAGGAGGAAAGAGTGGTTCACCAAGGCTGGGGATTCCATCATAAACAAGTGAGGAAGAAGTTGCACAGACCGCTTTTGCTCATTCCACTGGGAACACTTGAGTCACACGGTCATACCTAGCTGCAAGGGAAGCTGGGAAATGTGGCCACTAGCTGTGTAGCTATGGAATAGCACATCTTTTTTGTTGTTGTTGTTATGGAAGAAGAAAATAATGGATTTTGTTGGACACTTAGTAGTCTCCGCCATATTACCCTATATGTATTAGGTTGGCACAAAAGTAATTGTGGTTTTTGCCATTACAAGGAGGCCGGGTGCAGTGGCTCACGCCTGTAATTCCAGCACTTTTGGAGGCCAAGGCAGGCAGATCACTTGAGATCAGGAGTTCAAGACCAGCCTGGCCAACATGGTGAAAACCTATCTCTACCAAAAAACAAAAAAAAATTGGCCAGGTGTGGTGGTGGACCCCTGTAATCCCAGATACTTGGGAGGCTGAGGCAGGAGAATTGCTTGAACCCAGGAGGCAGAGTTTGCAGTGAGCTGAGATCACACCACTGCACTCCAGCCTGGGAGACAGAGTGAGACCCTGTCTCAAAAAAAAAAAAAAGAAAAACCGCAATTACTTTTGCACCAACTATACATGCACACACACACACACACACACACACACACACACATAATTCTTAATTTTCCTAAACACACCTAACATGTGGCTGGCTGGAATATTAGTAAGACTAACTTAGGGGAACAATAAAAGAGAAAAAATAAATGCACAATGTACCACAAAATAACATATCCTGCAAGATACAGTTTGCTTGCTGAAGCCCTCAGGCCCCATCTTTTTCCACCCCATAGTCTATTTCATGAGGTAGGTATTATCTCAATCCAGGCTTTTTACGATTGTCAGAGGAAAAAAGAATCACAGTCAAATTAGCTCTAGTCAAAAGACTTTTTTTGGAAAGAACACACAGGTGCTCAAGAATGCACTCACAGGCAGGAAGCAAAGCCGAGCTGATTGAACTACACAGGAACTGGGAAAAGAAAGATCTGAATTATACTCATTCATTCAATAAAGACTTACTGAGCATCTATCCCAAGCTCCTGGCAACTGTTCTAAATGAGGCAGATACAGCAGTAAAAAATGTCCATGAGCAAACCTTTATCAGAGAGTTTACACTATATGGTGGAATCAGACAATAGTCAAAATAAATAAATAAAATACGTATCATATGACATGGTCTTAAATGTCATGGAAGAAAAAGAATTAGAAGTAGGAAATATCAGAGTGTTTGTAATAAGAAAAAAAATGCTCCCCAAACTCACCTTCCTTTACTTCTGGCCACATAGCTAGATTAACCTCCCCAACCTCCCTTTGTAGTTAGCTGTAGCCAAGTGACTAATTCTGCTCAAGGAATAGTAAATATGTCATCCCCCTTTTGAAGGCCTAACCCACAAAAACCACCTATACACAATCAGCTTCTCTTACCCCATGTGATCACTTAGTGAAAAAAACTCCTGAAACTGTCTTTGCAAAAATTAGGACAGTGAAAGAAATCTGACACTGCTGACTCCATGTTGCTTCTAACCTCACAAGCTAACTGTCTTTGTTAACTTTAAAACAAAAATAATAACAGTCCCTTCCTGTTACTACCTCCCTCCCTGCTTGGGGATGGAAATCACTTTTGTAAAACTAATGAAAAGCCACAAGATTAGGATTATAGGAGGGGCCAGAATTCTGCTAGAACATACGAATAGTTAAATGATAACCAGCCATTGCTCCCTAGGTTGCCTTTCTATAATCACTTACTGCTCAAGAGTCAGGTAGCCAGAGGTCACAAGATTTGTAACTTCCCCAGTTGTTCCTATAGAGCTTTCCTATTGTCAAAACCTAAGGGCTGGGAGTAGTGGTTCATGCCTGTAATCCCAGCACTTTAGGAGGATTGCTTGAGGCCAGGAATTCAAGACCAGCCTGGGCAACATGGTGAAACTCTGTCTCTATCATAAACAAACAAACAAATATTAAAAAACAGACCTGGGGCCGGGCGCAGTGGCTCACGCCTGTAATCCCAGCACATTGGGAGGCTGAGGCGGGCAGATCACGAGGTCAGGAGATCAAGACCATCCTGGCTAACATGGTGAACCCCATCTCTACTAAAAATACAAAAAATTAGCTGGGCATGGTGGTGGGTGCCTGTAGTCCCAGCGACTTGGGAGGCTGAGGCAGGAGAATGGCGTGAACCTGGGAGGCGGAGCTTGCAGTGAGCCAAGATCATGCCACTGCACTCCAGCCTGGGTGACAGAGCGAGACTCCATCTCAAAACAAAACAAAACAAAACCTAAGTTTGATCTTTGAGATATTTTTCAGCCTTTTCCATTCTGGTGACTGACTGACTCCACCCAGATCTGTAACTCATACCAAGGAACTGATCTCACCCAGAAACTCCCACCCAGAAACTGACGTGGCACACAAAGACAGTTTGGACATGCCTAAGATTTCATCCCCGACCAATTAGCAGCACCCATTCCCTAGCCCTCTGCCCACCAAATTATCCTTAAACACGTTAGCCTCTTGGCTCTCAGGGAGGTGGATTTGAGGATTCTCTCTCATCTTTCTGCTTGTCTAGCTTTGTGATTATTAAACTTTCTCTACTGCAACACCGCCGTCTCAGTGTATCAGCTTTTCTGTGCAGCTAGCAAGAAGAACCTGTCAGGTAGCTACACTCTAAGGCCTTAGAAGGAGGTGGATCTATAAGATAGAAGGATTCTGTGTCTCAGAATGACCACAGAGATGGCTGTTCTCCACCCAGAAATCCCAAATTGGAGTTTATATGAGTGAGAAGTAAATAACTATTTTGTCAAGCCACTGTGGTGAGAATTTATCTGTTACAGAGCATTATTCACTCTACCCAGCATATGAACTGGTATCAAAAACATAATTATGAGCCACTAGAGGAGAACAGAGCTTCAAGACAAAAGGACCTTAGGTCCCTGAATGATTAAGTGGAAGGCCACCCACCAACCCAGAGCACCCAGTTGGACCTTGTATAGCTAGAAACAAACTTCTACTATATTAAACTATGGAAACGCATCTGTTAAACCACTAAGTTTTTTGTTTGTTTGTTTTTTGAGATGGAGTCTCACTCCGTCACCCAGGCTGGAGTGCAGGGGTGTGATCTTGGCTCACTGCAACCTCTGCCTCCTGGGTTCAAGTGATTCTTGTGCCTCAGCCTCCCAATAGCTGGGATTACAGGTGCCTGCCACCACACCTGGCTAATTTTTGTATTTTTAGTGAATTTGGGTTTTCACCATGTCGGCTAGGCTGGCCTCAAACTCCTGGCCTCAAGTGATCCACCCACCTCGGCCTCCCAAAGTGCTGGGATTACAGGTGTGAGTCACTGCACCCAACCTGGGTTTTATCTATTATAGCGGCTAGCATTGCCTCCCCTAAGTAATTGGGATGCTGTTTAATCTCTGGTCTCTTTTTGCCTGCATTGCTATGCCATTCTCCTGCTTCTCTTTGAAGACCACCTTTAAGGCTCTCTACAATTTTGGCTGCAACAGGGATTTGCCCCACCCTGAAATCAATTCCATCCCTGAGTGTATATGACCTTTTAGTTCAAGTACACATAATCATCTAGTTGACTCACACTCTCATTGTTACAATTTCAACTTCTCTAAAGCAAAAATCGAACTGGCCCATCCACAAGTTAGTTACCCACAACTTGTGCTACAGCTGTGTTGGAACAGTGTCTCAAAAAAAACCACCTTAAATAGGAAAGTGATAAATGCCAAATTTCCTGTAGATACTATCTTTGCATTTCTTACACAGCAGTCCACACCCAAGCACTTGCCTTCCTGAAAATTCTTTTTAAAATCTATCTAAAAAAAAAGCAAACCCAAATGACACACTCTTCAGAGAAAACCCTCACTCTTCACAGGAGTGTGGGCTACTATTCCCCAACATCTGCAACATATCAACCAAATCAGAATTCAGCACACTGACCCCAATATCACAGAAGAACTGTAGAGTAGGCCAGGTGCAGTGGTGCACACCTGTAATCCCAGCACTTTGGGAGGCTCAGGTGGGAGGATCACCTGAACTCAGGACTTTGAGACCAGCCTGGGCAACATGGTGAAACCCCATGTCTACAAAAAAAAAAAAAAAAAGAATGAGCCTGGTGTGGTGGCTTGTACCTCTGGTCCCAGCTACTCAGGAGGATCACTTGAGCCCACGGAGGTTGCAGTGACCCGAGATTGCACCACTGCACTGCTGCCTGGGCAACAGCAAGACCCTGTCTCAGAAAAAAAAAAAAAAAAAAAAATTGTAGAGTAGCAAGCAGGACAGATTTTTTAAATCATTGTGAGTTACTCTTAAGTGCCTTTGATCCCAGTTCCTTCTATTATCCATGAAGACTTGGAAAAAAATTATGCTTACATTATACTCACTATTAATAAGAACTCTTAGGTGGAACCATTATCATTTCTCCTGCATCTTCCATTGAGGGATGCCTGAGGGCTTGAAATACCAGAACTCCTAAAATCACAATAATCCAATATCTACGAGACAATTTCATGTACATATAATATGAGAACATGATTTCTGACCTCCCATGCAGTTAGTCAAGAGATAGAGTAAATCTTGAGTTTCTTTGAGAAATTAAGGTGATTCCTGGCCTAAATGGACCAACTTTGGATTCTAAGGAGCTTTCAGAGCATTCGTACTTGGTGCCTATCACTGCTTCTGGTAGTGAGTGTGGAATTGAGGCAAAGGAAAGGAAGAAAGAAAAAAGGACACATGTGGAAGCAAAAATTGGTCAGAAGATAGGAGAAGAGAGACAACAGAAAGAGAAAAAGAAAGAGATGTATTTGAAGGTTGAGAAGTGAAAAATCACCTCCAGTAATTCCCTGAAGATTCTAAATGAAGGCCACATTGGTTTGTCTACCCAGATGAAATCTGAGCTGGTTCCCTTATTAGCTTTCTCCAAATACTGCTCCCGTACCTGCCCAGCACACACTCAAGCGCACACACACACACACACACACACACACACACACGAGGCCATCTTACTACATTCTAATATGTATTTCCCAGCAACAATTCACTTCAGTGTCTTGTATTCTCCATTGCTCCAAGTTTTTATGTGCTTTCAAAGTCCCTGTTTAAAGATTACAAAGGGTAAGATCAAAGAATCAAGGACTTAGAGTGGTTTGACTTGCCAATGCAAAGTCAATGGTGTTTATACATCCATTTGTGTCTCTGACTTTGACTCTTAATGTAGTTTCATAACTTAATAAGGTTTCTTTGTACTGGGCCCTTCTACAATACTAACATTAGACTAAGAGGTATTCAGGGTGCAACAAGATTGTGTCCACTCAATATGTATCTGGGAGAAATAGCTCCTCTGTGACCTGTGGATGGGTAATTTCTTTGCCCCCACAAGCATTGTTTTTGTAAATTAATTTCACATAATGGTTTTGATCCAGCATTACTGTAATTGACTAAGCCTCTGTGGAAGTAGATTATAAAGAAGAAAATTTAACTGAAATATTCCTTCTTTAAAAAGGCTGAGCTAAATGGATAATTATGATGGTTGTACAACATTGTGAATGCACTCAATGCCATGAGATTGTACACTTAAAATAGTTAAAATGGTAAATTTTGTTATGTATATTTTATTACAATAAAAAAGGCTGAGTTTATATTAAAAATATTGATACAAGCCAAATAGAGCAATGGAAAGGAGAAGACATTGATTAATAAAAGATTATATTAGAACTCTGGTTCTCAAGCACAAGAAAGGCAACTCAAATTTGTTTATAGAAAAGATAAAAGAAAGAAAATGTATGGGATCATGTAACTGAAAAGTCAAGTAATAAATGTTATATTTCAGTCGTGGCTGGATTCAAATATTCAATGTAATCATAACTTCTTCTGTTTCTATTAGTCATGCTTTCCTCTATGTTAATTTCATTGTTATGTGGGTTCACCCCCAGATGATAGTAAAAATGACTACCTGCAGCTCCAAGCTTACCTTCTATCCCCTTAGCAACCACTTCAGAAAGAGAGTGACTCTCTACAAGTTGCTCCAAAATTTCACTGGCCTGACTTGAATTACAGCCAATTCATCAGCCAATTCTGATGACCAGGAGGATAGACTGTTCTGATTACCCAGGCAGAGTAAACCCCACCTAACCCACATAGAGTGAGAGCATAGAGTACAGTAGAGACTGGGACATTTTTGCCAAAAAAATGAAAACCAAGGGAAACATTTAAAGAGTAAAGACAGAACAAAATATCCTAACTTTATTTGATAATATCCCAGTAAGATGGAGTGCTTGCTTGCTTGCTAGTTTTTTAATGCTGCATTCCTTTTTTTTTTTTTTTTTTGGTGACAGAGTCTCATTCTGTTATCCGGGCTGGAGTGCAGTGGCACGATCTCACACCCTCTGCCTCCTGGGTTCAAGCAATCCTCCTGTCTCAGTCTCCCAAGTAGCTGGGATTACAGGCACCCACCACCACCCCTGGCTAATTTTTTGTATTTTTAGTAGAGATGGGGTTTCACCATGTTGGTCAGGCTGGTCTTGAACTCCTGACCTCAAGTGATCCACCTGCCTCGGCCTCCCAAAGTGCTGGGGTTACAGGCGTGAGCCACCACACCGGGCCTGATGCTACATTCCTTTATGGCTATCATTCTACCTCTCTCCTTTCCTTTTTGGCCAAGATTTTTGAGAAACTAATGTGCCCTTGTGATTTCCATTTAGAATTGTTTTCTAAAGTGATACAAGAGTACACTTCCATTCCCTTTCTCCTTTCCCCTACCCCTAATAATAAATGGACCACCATTTAGCATGGGAGTTACAGGCTGAATTTATGTCTTTGGCCCCATACTTCATAACCTCCTCAGATTGTTTCTATGAGTGAAGGAGAAAATTGACTTTCATTGGTTACAATTATATAATTATACCTTCTGTGTCTTTTCTTCATACCTTCTACCTTCCGGTCACCTTAGAAAAAAGCTACCAACCAAGCAGATGTGGCATTAACTCTCAGCTTTTGGAATTCCTAAATGTAGCGTCAATAATGCAAGATGGCTAATGCACTCCAGACTCATTGACTTTGTCTTTGTGTTATCACCACACACACACACACACATTCTTCTTCTTCCTCTCCTTCTCCTTCTTCTTCTCAACTTCTTCTTCTTCTTCTTCTTCTTCTTCTTCTTCTTCTTCTTTTTCTTCTTCTTCTTCTTTTCTTTTCCTTCTCCTTCTCCTTCTCCTCCTCCTCCTCCTCCTCTTTCTCCTCCTCCTCCTCCTTCTCCTTCTGCTTCTTCTTCATGAGATAGAATCTTGCTGTATTGCCCAGGCTGGAGTGCAGTGGTTCAATCACACTGCAGCCTCAAACTCCTGAGCTCAAGTGACCATCCTTCCTCTACCTCCCAAGTAGCTGGGACTAGAGGCACATGCCACCATACCTAGCTAATTATATATATATATATAGTAGAGACTATGTATATATATATATATATGGTAGAGACTATATATATATAGTAGAGAATGTATATATATGGCAGACTCTATATATAGTAGAGACTCTATATATGTAGTAGACTATATATATATAGTAGAGACTCTATATATATATAGTAGAGACTATATATATATAGTAGAGACTATATATATATAGTAGAGACTATATATATATAGTAGAGACTCTCTCTCTCTCTCTCTCTCTATATATATATATATATATATATATAGAGAGAGAGAGAGAGAGACAGAGAGAGTCTCTACTATATATATACATATATATATAGTAGAGAGGGGGGGTCTCACTATGTTTCCCATAGTGAACTCCTGGCCTCAAGTCATCCTTTTGACTCAGCCTCTCAAAGTGTTGAAATTACAGGTGTGATTCACTGCACCCAACCCTTAATAGTTCTCAATGTCTGACTGTGACCAGAAAGCACACAGGTGCCCGAGAGGAGAGTTGTACAACAGTCAGCAGACACTACCTGACTAGTAATAGAGATAGGACTTGAATCCTCCTCAGCATCCCAAATTGCTTTCTTTCCCTTCTTCACAAAACTATCAGGAAATGTAATCCAAGTGATTTAAGTACGGGGCAGAAAATAGCCCCATGCATAGATAGCCTATCACTCTTGCCTCCATGTTAAACTGAGGATCTTGACATCATTATTCTGTTAGGCCAAGCAGTGATCAGGAATTAAAGGCTGACTCTGGAGAGTTGTGTCGAAGGTATATAAATGCTACCTGGGATGTATTTGTCAGGCAGAACAGACAGGGCCTTGTCTTTTCTCATCAACAACCTGCTAACCCATGGAAAAATTTACCTAGCATCACCTTGGAAATCAGAAAAAAGCATAGAATTTTGGGATTATATAATAATATCAGTAAATATTAATCGAGACCATAAATCATCAGAGAATAGGGAAGGAAAGCCCCAAATGAGTTCACAATCATTGGAAAGATTTTTACAAAGAAGAATCAGGTTGAAAAGAGAAAAAGCAGGCAAAGTAGTTAACAAGAAAGAAGCACATATATTTGTAAATCAGTTTAGAAGAGATGGAGAAAATGGAAGCTAATATGGTTTGGCTGTGTCCCCACCCAAATCTCATCTTGAATTGTAGCTCCCACAATTCCCACATGTCATGGGAGGGACCTGGTGGGAGGTAACTGAATCATGGGGGCGGGTCTTTCTCATGCTCTTCTTGCGGTAGTGAATAAGTCTCATGAGATCTGATGGTTTTATAAAGGGGAGTTTTCCTGCCCAAGTTCGCTACTCCCTGCCGCCATGTAAGACGTGCCTTTCACCTTCTGCCATGATTGTGAGGCCTCCCTAACCACTGGAACTGTGAACCCATTAAACCTCTTTCTCTTTATAAATCACCCAGTCTCAGGTATGGTTTTTTGGTTGTTTTTGTTGTTGTTGTTGTTTTGAGATGGAGTTTCGCTCTTGTTGCCCAGGCTGGAGTGAAATGGCCGATCTCGGCTCACTGCAACCTCCAATCTCCGCCTCCCAAATTCAAGCACTTTTCCTGCCTCAGCCTCCCGAGTAGCTGGGATTACAGGCATGCGCCACCACGCCTGGCTAATTTTGTATTTTTAGAAAAGACGGGGTTTCTCCATGTTGGTCAGGCTGGTCTCCAACTCCCAACCTCAGGTAATCCGCCCGCCTCAGCCTCCCAAAGTGCTGGGATTACAGGCGTGAGCCACCGTGCCTGGCCTCTCAGTTATGTCTATCAGCAGCGTGAAAATGGGCTAATACAGTAGCCAAATAGACAGTCTTCCCAAATAGCCTATTAGGGAAAAAGCAACCAAGACGTGGCTAAAGGAAGTTCATAAAGTGAGAGGATTCTGCCCTGCTCTGCCATGAATCCAAAATCCTGTCTGTAACTTAGAGACTGGCAGGCGATGGGAAAAGCAGTCCGGGGAATCCTCCCTAAGTCAAACCAAATTGAAATTGAAGAGAACACATTAGGGCTACTTGATGTTTTTTCCATCTCAAGCTTGCAAAGTTCTCTGCATCTCTTATAATATTGCAGCAGTTCAAAGTAGATCTGAACTACTAGAAGGTGGGAATGGAGAATGTCATGATCAGTTTTTATGTTTCAGAGAAATCACCATGTCTGAGTTATTTTTTATCCTTAGACCTAGCAAAGTGGCAGGCACATTGTAGGTATTTAATAAATATTTGTTAAACGTTGCAGCACATGCAGTCAGTATCTTGATCTTATCCTCTTTGACCATCCTGAGATCACCAGCAGTGCCAGATGAGATGTCGTGGTCTGAGCTGGACCAGGCTGCCCAGCATTTCTCTGTCAGAGGAATTTCTCTGGCTGCAGGGGGTGTTTAGCCTGAGCACAGAGCAGAACAGAAGTGCCACAGGAACAATGCTCACTGAAGAGGGACAAAAGATGGTGGATGAAAAGCTCAACTCTGGGCCGGGTGCAGTGGCTCACGCCTGTAATCCAAGCACTTTGGGAGGCCGAGGCAAGAGGATGGCTTGAGGCCAGAAGTTTGAGATGAGCCCAAGACGAGGGAAGGAAAGCCCCAAATGAGCTAGCAATCATTGGAAAGATATTTACAAAGGAGAATCAGGTTGAAAAGAGAAAAAGCAGGTAAAGTAGTTAACAAGAAAGAAGCACATATATTTGTAAATCAGTTTAGAAGAAATGGAGAAAATGGAAGCTAATATGGTAACGGGCTATGGGCAACATAGCCTGTCCAAACCATATATATATGTGTGTGTGTGTGTGTGTGTGTGTGTGTATGTGTGTGTATATATAGGTGTGTGTGTGCGTATATATATATGTGTGTGTGTATGTGTGTGTGTGTGTGTGTGTGTGTGTGTGTGTGTGTGTGTATAGTATATCGCCCAGACTGGAGTGCAGTGGCATGATCTCAGTTCACTGCAACCTCCACCTCCCAGGTTCAAGTGATTCTCCTGCCTCAGCCTCCCTAATAGCTGGGACCACACGTGCCCACCACCATGCCTGGCTAATTTTTGTATTTTAAATAGAGATGGGGTTTCACCATGTTGGCCAGGCTGGTCTTGAACTCCTGACCTCAAGTGATCTGCCTGCTTTGGCCTCCCAAAGTGCTGGGATAACAGGCGTGAGCCACCATGCCCGGCCAACAAAAAATAATTTTAAAAAAATAGCCAGGTGTTGTGGTGCACACCTGCAGTCCCAGCTACTGGGGAGGCTGAGGCTGAAGTGGGAGGATCCTTTGAGTTCAGGAGGTGGAGGCTGCAGTGAGCTATGATTGTACCACTGCACTCCAGCCTGGGTGACAGAGGCAGACCCTGTCTCTAAAGAAACAAAAAACAAAACAAAACAAAAAACTCCCTTGCCAGTTCTGAGGTCCAGTTCCTCACATGGATAACAGCTGCGGGTGATGGGCTCTGTCTGCTGAGGCTCACAGCTGTTACCCATGTAAGAAACTGGTTATGAACTTTCCTCTCTTATTTCTCCATGCCCTCAACATGCTTCCTGGGATAAACTCTGAATAAATTACTTGCACCCAAATCTTTATCTCAGAAGTTGGAGGCTGGGAGTGGTGGCTCACGCCTGTAATCCCAGCACTTTGGGAGGCCGAAGTGGGAGGATCGCTTCAGGCCAGGACTTTAAGACCAGCCTGTGCAGAATAGCGAGACCTCATCTCTACAAAAGAATGAAAAAATTAGCCAGGCATGGTAGTTCATACACCTGTAATCCCAGCTACCGGGGAGGCTGAGGTGGGAGGATCGCTTGAGCCCAGTTGTTCAAAGTTGCAGTGAGCCGCAATTGCACCACTGCACTCCAACCTAGGCAACAGAGTAAGATCCTGTCTTAAAAAAAAAAAAAATTGCTCATAACCAGTTTAAATCAAGTGACTTTCTCTTATTATTACCCCAATCTTGTAATTCCTTTCATAGAGTCCTGGGCTCTAAAGTTATTAGTCGGAGAGGAAAGTGGATTTAATTCTCATGAGACAGATTTTGTCATTCATCAGTCAGGGTGAATAAAACCTGAATAATAATCAGATTCTGTTGATTATAAAGCCAAAGTAAGATATTCATTTATTAAAATTTTTTGAGACATCTGAACACCAAACTGTGTTGAACCAATCATTTATAACTCATTTCCAAGAGATTTGTATTAATACTAGTTATGAATTCATCATATAGACTCAACCTATTCTCACCCAAATCACTTATCGTCTCTGTGGCTCCATTTTTCTTATTTGTGAAAGGGAGATAATCACACTCACCAGCTCCTTCACAAGGACATTGTAAGGATTAATGAGTTAATGCTGGAGAAGCATGTTTCTGCCTTAGATGAATGTTGCTATATAAATGCAAATTATTGCATTACAGCTGGGCTTACATGTAAAAATGCAGTGACTTTTAGAACCTAGATTCTTTCATAACGCTGAGCAGTAATTCTAATGTGAACACAGCTTCGTTTAGAGGAAAAGCAATCCGTGTGAAGGGTAGCCAGGAATATTAGAATTGCTCCTGATGCCTTCCCCCACATTCTCCCTGTCTCTTAAGTGCTGGTTAGTTATGCATGTTCTTTCTTCGGCCACTGATCAAGTCGTCCTTCCATTACCTTTTTGCTACTGGATGCTCTTGTCATTCCTAAAACCCTTTGAGGCTTATGCAAATGAGCTTCTATTAAAGCAAAAATATTCTAAGGCCAGGCACAGTGGCTTGAGCCTGTAATCCCAGCACTTTGGGAGGCCATGGTGGGAGGATCAGTTGAGGTCAGGAGTTCAAGACCAGCCTGAGTGACATAGCAAGACCCCGTTCCTACAAAAAATTAAAAATTAGCCAGGTGTGGTGGTGTGCCCCTGTAGTCCTAGATACTGGAGAGGCTGGGGCAGGAGAATCACTTGAGCCCAAGAGTTCAAGGTTATGGTGAGCTATGATCATGCCACTGCATTCCAGCCTGGGTGACAGACTGAGACCCTGTCTCTAAAAAAAAATTTAATAATTAAAAAATAATAAAAGACTATATATATTCTACTTTTTCAATTCTTAAAGAATCCTTCTGTAGCCTAAAAGTTGATGTCCCCCCAAAATGCATTAGTTTCTCCCTATATTAGTTTGTAGGGCTGCCAAAACAAAGTATCACAGACTGGGTGGCTTAAACAACAGAAATTTATTGTCTCCCAATTCTGAAGGCTAGATGTTGGAAATATATTGGAACCTAATACCCAATGTAACAATATTAAGAGGTGGGGCCTCTGGGAAGTGATCAAATCACCAGGCTCCATACTAATGATGGGGTTAGTGCCCTTAAGCAGCTCCCTCGCCCCCTTCCACCAAGCAGCAACAAGAGGTCAGCTTTTAAGCAGAACACACTCACCAGACATGGAATCTGCTGGCCAGTCTGCTGCTGCCTTGATCTTAGACTTCCCAGGCTCCAGAACTGTGAGAAATACATTTCTGTTGCTTACTAATTACCCAGTCTGTGGTATTCTGTTACAGCAGCACAAAGGAACCAAGAGCCCGTCTTCTTCCTAATTCACCCCTTGGAATCCTGAGTGGGTAGATTTCTGGGCAGTGGTCAAAAGAGGAAAGGAGACAAGCCCCTACTATTACTGTAATCAAATTCCCCCTGGATAAAACTTGGGCCACTCTTATTATCTGCAGGCTGACATTCACACCACTTTGCCCAACACTGTGCCTAACCCACTCCCAATCCAACCATGAGGCTCTTTCCATCCCTGTCTCTCACTACCATCCCATACAAAAATAAACCCCCTTCTCGTATTCATCTTCACATAGTGGGCTAGTGAAAAAAAGCACTGAGCTTACTCTTCAGAAGACCTGGATTTAGTCCCCTTTTTTAATCCCTTACTAGCAGTGTGAGCGAGTATAAATTCTTTTCTAAGCTAAGTTGTTTTTGTCTACATGAATGCACCTGGTACAAAATTCAAAAGATACAAAATACAAAATGTGTAAAAGCAAGCATCCCCCCCACACCCCCTATTCCTTTCCCCAGAAGCAACATATTGTGAGAAGTTTCTAATTAATCTCTCTAGCTACAGTCTACACATATGCAAATGCATATATATATATATGTCCATAAAATGACTTGGGATTTTGATTGAGATTGCATTGAATCTATAGATCATTGGGAAATTGATCAGTTGGAAATTGAATCAGTTGGGAAAGAACTAACATCTTGATAATATTGAGAAAATCTTCCTATCTATGTATTTGGGATATTTTCCCATTTATTTACATCTTTGATTTCTTTCATCAGATTTTTACAGTTTTTCTCATGTAGATTTTATACGTATTTTGTTAGCTTTATACCTAAGTGCTTCATTTTTTTGGTGCTGATGTAAATACATTGTATTTTACACTTCAAATTCCAGTTGTTCTCTGCTGGCATATAAGAAATCAGTTCACTTTTATATATTATCCTTGTATCCAGAAACCCTGCTATAACCACTTATTCGTTTTTTTGTTGTTAATTATTTGCATCTTCTACATAGAAAATCTTCTCACCTGCAAACAAAGACAATGTTATGTCATCCTTCCAAATGTGTATACACTTTATTTCCTTTTCTTGTCTTATTGCATTAGCTAGGACATTCAGTGAGATGTTGAATGGGAGAAGTGAGAGGGGACATCCTTGCCTTGATCCTGATCTTAGTGAAAAAGCCTCTGGTTTCTCACTGTATTCATTTTCTAGGGCTGCTATAAAAAGTACCACAGACTGGGTGGCTTAAACAACAGAAATTTATTTTCTCCCAATACTGAAGCCTAGAAATTTGAAATCAAGGTGTCAGAAGGGTTTGTTTCTTCTGAGGCCTCTCTCCTTGGCTTGTAGGTGGCTGCCTTCTGCCTATGTCTTCTCATGGCCTTCTCTCGGTACTTCTGTATGTCCTTGTTTCCTCTTTTTATGACACTAGTTGTATTAGATTGGGGCCCATCCTAATGACCTCAATTTAACATAATTATTTCTTTAACAACTCTATCCCCAAATACAGTCACATTCAGAAGTGCTAGGGATTAGGACTTAGCATGTGAATTTAGAGGGGACTCAATTCAATCTATAACGCTCATCATTAAGTATGATATTAGTTTCTTTGTAAATGTTCTTCACCAAGTTGAGGAAGTTCTCCTCTATTCCTAGTTTCCTGAGAGCATATATGTACATATTGTTAAAAATAACATAAATGACATCATCACATGATTTTTTTTTTGTTTGAGATGGAGTTTCGCTCTTGTTGCCCATGTTGAAGTGCAATGGCATGATCTCCGCCTGCCTCAGCCTCCCAAAGGGCTGAGATAACAGGCGTGAGTCACGGCGCCCAGCCCATCACATGATCTTTTAAAAATGGAAAACTGGGCCAGTGCAGTGGCTTATGCCTGTAATCCGGCACTTTGGGAGGTTAAAATGGGAGGGTCACTTGAGCTCAGGAGTTTAAGACCAGCCTGGGCAACATGGCAAGACCCCATCCTTAGAAAAAATTTTAAAATTAGCAGGGTGTGGTGGCACGTGCCTGTAGTCCCAGCTACTTGGGAGGCTGAGGCAGAAGGATCACTTGAGTCCAGAAGTTTCAGACTGCAGTGAGCTATGATCACACCACTGCACTCCCACCTGGGCAACAGAGCAAGATCCCGTCTCTAAATAGAAAACCCAAGAAAAAACAGAAATCTGATCTCATCACTCCCTTGTATAAAACTCTTCAGTATTTCTCATTTCTGTTAGAAAAAGGATGGATCCTAATTACATCCTTCATGGCCCTGCATGCTCTGGCCTTTCCTTAACTCTCCAATCTCATCTTGTTCAACTTTCCCCTTCCCTCTCCGCTTGGAAATGTATCCCCTAAAATTTATGTTGGAAACCTCATCCTTAATGTGGTAGTATTAAATGATGTACACTTTAAGAGGTGATTGGATCATGAGGACTCTGCCTTCATGAATGGATTAATCAATTTGTAGATTAATGGGTTATCATGGGAGAAGAACTGTTGGCTTTATAAGAGGAAGAGAGACCTGAGCTAGCCCATTAGCACACTCAGCTGCCCACCATGTGATGCCCTGTGCTACCTTGGGACTCTGCAGAGAGTCCCCACCAGCAAGAAGGCCCTCACCAGATGCAGCCCCTTGACCTTGGATGTCTCAGCCTTTACAATTGTAAGACATAAATTCCTTTTTTAAAGTAAATTACCCAGTTGTAGGTATTCTGTTGTAAGCAACAGGCAACAAACGAATATACTGGGCATCCTGACCTGCTTCTGTTTCCTCTGAAAGAAGGGCTTCTGTGTCACACAGACCAGATCATGGCCTCCCTGCTATATACTGTGCATGTATGCTATTTATCATAGTTGTGGTTATATGCTTTTAGGATTTTCTATTTAATGTCTCCCTTGCCTTCTATAGTGTAAACAGCATAAGTCAGGGATCATGTCTGTTTTGGCCGTCATAATAACTTGGCAATTATATAATAAATAAATCTATAAAGTTAAGCTAATTATGATTGACCTACTTATTTTATCAAGTTCTCTAGCTATTGAATTCTTCTTGTTCTCTACTTTCTGAATTCTGTTATGTGACTATGTTTGATGACATATTATACAAATGAAAGGTAGCAGGCCGGCCAGGTACGGTGGCTCACGCCTGTAATCCCAGCACTTTGGGAGGCCGAGGCGGGCAGATCACCTGTGGTCAGCAGTTTGAGACCAGCCTGGCCAACATGGTGAAACCCCATCTCTACTAAAAATACAAAAATTAGCCAGGTGGTGGTGGTCCGCACCTGTAATGCCAGCTACTCAGGAGGCTGAGGCAGGAGAATCACTTGAGCCGGGGTGGCGGAGGTTGCAGTGAGCCAAGACTGTGCTACTGTACTCCAGTCTGGGTGACAGAGTGAGACCCTGTCTCAAAAAGAAAGAAAAGAAAGGTAGCAGGCCAGGCATGGCGGCTCATGCCTGTAATCACAGCATTTTGGGAAGCCTAAGCAAGTGAACCATTTAAATGCAGGAGTTTGAGACCAGCCTGGGCAACATGGCGAAATTCTGTATCCACAAAAAAATACAAAAATTAGCTGGGCATGGTGGTGCACACCTATAGTCCCAGCTACTCAGGAGGCTGAGGTGGGCTGAAGCTTAAGTGAGCTGTGATGGCATGACTGCACTCCAGCCTGGGCAACAGAACGAGATCCTTTCTCCCTTCTACCCCCGAAGAAAGAAGGAAAGAAGGAAGGAACGAAGGAGGGAGGGAGGGAAGGGAGGAAGGAGGGAGGGAGGGAGGGAAGGAAGGAAGGAAGGAAGGAAGGAAGGAAGGAAGGAAGGAAGGAAGGGGGAAGGAAGGATGGAAGGAGGAAGGAAGGAAGGTGGGAGGGAGGAAGGAAGGAAGGAGAAAGAGAGAAAGAAAAAGAAAGAGGAAGGAAGGAGGGAGGGAGGAAGGAAGGAGAAAGGAAGAGAGAGAGAGAAAGAAAGAAAGAGAGAGAGGACGGAAGGAAGGAAGGAAGGAAGGAAGGAAGGAAGGAAGGAAGGAAGGAAGGAAGGAATATTGTGGCCTGAATATACCTTGTGTGTAGGTGTGTTTCATTTCTTCAATGCCACACATGTTCTTCCCTACTGCCCCCTAATATCCCAGCTTTATCTCAGGTGTCCCTCATCCTTAGTCACTCTTCTCCAGCCACTTTGGCATTTTAATATTTAATTTTTATTTTAATCTAATAAAAATAAGACTGTATAACTTTTTTTTAAAGTCAAGTAGCACTGCAGTTTTCCAAAACTTAAAACAGCAGTTTCCAATCCACTCTACAGCCCTATTCCACTTTTCTGGTAGTTTACCTATGTAAAGAATTTTAGGTTAAAAGTATTTTTCCCTGAAGATTTCAAGACATTTCTCCTCTGCTTTCTTGCTTCCAGTGTTACGCTTCTAAGTCTGACACATTTCTGCTTCTTGATCCTTTCTAAAAATTTTAGGGTTTTATCTTTGTTCCAGTGTGAGGGGTTCTGGGAAGATAGCAGCAGAAACATGGCTTCTGAATCTCCCCAGATCCCCGCATATAAACAGTCAGAATAATTATATAGCAAAGTCAAAAGCAAAACTAGGTAACAAGATATCTCCATAAATCTGAGTGCACCAGGTGAGGACAAACTCCCAGCAGCCATAGGCCTGCATGGTGTCTGCGTTTATGCTGGAGCTCAGAGGGAAGCAGCAGGTGTCTAATAGGCCTCGAAGCAGGAGAACCTCAGCAGCCAACAACAGATACTCCCTGGAAAGCACAGGGGACCCAATTTACAACAGCTTCAGAAACTGGGAAAAGGTTTACAGGGTCTGCCCCTGTAAAGCAAGCTGGACAGAACAAATATTAAAATCTTTCATTTAGAGCCGGGAACAGTGGCTCACGCCCGTAATCCCAGTGCTTTAGGAGGCCGAGGCAGGCGGATCACCTGAGGTCAGGAGTTTGAGACCAGCCTGGCCAATGTGGTGAAACTCTGTCTCTATTAAAAATACAAAAATTAGTTGGATATGGTGGTGGGCACCTGTAATCCTAGCTACTCAGGAGGCTGAGGCAGGAGAATCACTTGAACCCAGGAGGTAGATGTTGCAGTGAGCCGAGATCACACTGCTGCACTCCAGCCTGGGTGACAGAGCGAGACTCTGTCTTAAAGAAATAAATAAATAAAATAAAATCTGTCATTCAGGAAACCTTGTCTAAAATTTAAAAACACAGTCAGGTGCAGTTGTTCACGCCTATAATCCCACCATTTTGGGAGGCCAAGGCAGGAGGATCACCTGAGCCTAGGAGTTTATAACCAGCCTGAGCAACGTAGTGAGATCCTATCTCTACAAAAATAAAAAAATTAGCCGGGTGAGATGGCACACACCTGTGGTACTAGCTAGTTGGGAGGCTGAGGCAGGAGGATTGCTTGAGCCCAGGAGGTCAAGGTGACAGTGAGCTGTAATCATGCCACTGCACTCAAGCCTGAGCAACAGAGCCAGACCCATCTCCAAAAATAATTTTCATTAAGCTAAATTTTAAAACAATTTAAAACTACAGGTTGAAAGAGCACACCATGTACCCAACTCTATCAACCCGAGACTCACCAACACCAAGACACATTCTTTAAAAATTACCAGACTTTAAGAAAAAATTATTTGGACATCAAGGCAAAAAACAACAAGGGATGGAAAGGCAAGAAAATTAGATGACCATCAAACTTTTGTCAGCAATGGTTTATACCAAAAGAAAATGGAATAACATATTTAAAATACTCAAGGAAAGAAAATGTGAGTCAAAGATTTTATATGCAATAAAACTGATTTTTAAGTATAAAGGAGTATAGGCAAACTATTATTAACACTCAAAGATTTGGAGTTTCTTGTATGTTATTCTCATGGGCCCTTCCTGTAGAATCTACTGAAGAACAAGCTTCAAACAGCCAACATAACTAGAAAGACACAGAGAAGTACCACAAGGACTCAAACATCCTGGTGCTACACTTTGAGTAGGTATTTCCTCATTCATTATCCTAGAAACTTAGGGGATGGTTTCAATCTTGAAACTCAGTAGTTCAGAATATTTTTGTATTGTTCCTTTGAAACTTTTCCTTTTTTTTTTTTTTTTGTTCTGTTTCTGAAACTCCTAAATGTCAGTCCCAACATTACTATTCTCACTTGGGATGCCAATGGCAAACCTCAGGTTGTGGCCTGGGCTTCTGACTGATTGGCTGTGAATCGGGTTCCAATGACTCCCTCCTCAGGCTCAATTAGTTTGCTAGAGCAGATCATAGAACTAAGGAAAATGCTTTACTTCCATTTATCAGTTTATTTTATTTTATTTTTTCAGATGGAGTCCCACGGTGTTGCCCAGGCTGGAGTGCAGTGGTGCAATCTCGGCTCACTGCAACCTCTGCCTCCTGGGTTCTAGCGATTCTCCTGCCTCAGCCTCCCAAGTAGCTGGGACTACAGGCACCCACGACCATGCCCAGCTAATTTTTTTTTTTTTTTTTTTTTTGTATTTTTAGTAGAGATGGTGTTTCACCATGTTGGCCAGGCTGGTCTCAAACTCCTGACCTCAGGTGATCCATATACCCTAGCCTCCCAAAGTGCTGGGATAACAGGTGTGAGCTACTGCACCCCACCCATTTATCAGTTTATTATAAAGGGTATTTCAAAGGATATAGAGAAACAGCCAGATGGAAGAGATGCACAGGACAAGGTGTGTGTGAAGGGCTGAGCTTCCATGCCCTCTCTGCGTGCACCATGCTCCAAAACCCCCCATGTCTTTAGCTATCCAGAAGGTCACTAAACTCAGGCCTTTGGGGCTTTTTAGGAGGCATCATTATGTTAGCAGGACTAATTACATCGTCGACTATTAAGCATCTCTCCCCTCTCTGGAGGTCGGGGGTGGGACTGCAAGTTCCAACCTTCTAATCACATGATTGTTTCCCCTGGCACCAGCCGCCATCCTGAGAGCATGCAGGAGTCCGCCAAGGGCCACATTTTAGACCAAAAGATGCTCCCATCATCTAGGAAATTCCAAGAAATATAGGAGCTCTGTGTCAGACACTCCTATCACCTCCTATCACTCAGGGAATGACAAAGATGTTAGGAGCTCTGTGTCGGGAACTGGGGGTCAAAGACCAAATATTAGAACAAAAGATTCTCCTAGCACCCCTATCTACAAGGGTTTTAGGAACTGTATATCAGAAAACAAGGACAAAGACCAAATATATATTTCACAATGTCAGGGTAGTATTACAAGAGTTTTCATTGCATAATTACTTGTGTATTTCTTTTGTATATACCTTTCGTGAGGGCAGAAATATAGTCATTCACTTGTATATCTTCAGGCACTCACACAGGGCCTTGCATATAGTAATTCCTCCATTCATTCATTCATTCATTCATTCATTCATTATTTTGAAATGTCTTTCTTCATTTTCTTTAATTCTCCCCATCCTTGATGGTATAACTACAAAGCATTTCCTAATTATTCTAACTATCTTCCTGGACATAGTTGATGACCTGGACCTGTAATACTATAATTACTTTTTACGAGTACATAATTTGTCTCTCCAACTCTACTGTAAGGTCTTGGCATTTCATTCATTCATTCGCTCATCCATAAACATTTAGTAAAAACCGCCTATGTAAACTATACTACCAGCTACTGTTAGAGAGACAAGGATACATGATACATGTCTCTATATCCCAAACTCTGCCACTTGAGTTAAAGAGATAGCACAAATTGTACTATAATATATAATGTAATAAATGCCATGGAAGAGTTAGAATGTGCAAGAAAGAAAATTTAGCTGGAGAGACCGGGAAAGCCTTTGTAAAGGAGGTAGACTTTAAGATCCTATTCCACCATAGCATCTATCATGGGGGAGCAAATATTTGTTGGTGGTGATGGTAATAGCTCCTTCAAGGGTTAGCAATAATTTATCAGCTACTATGGTTAAGTTGTCTTCTTTGTCATAAGCCTTGGGAGGCAGTCAGAGCAGAGGCAACATAATTCTCCCATCTCATCTCTACTTGGGGAAAGATCAGTGACTCTAGGGTCTTCTGTGTAATTTTTTTTTTCTTTAGACAGGGTCTCACTCTGTCACCCAGGCTGGAGTACAGTGGCATGATCACGGCTCACTGCAGCCTCAACCTCCCAGGCTCAGGTGATCCTTCCCATCTCAGCCTCCTGAGTATCTGGGACTACAAGCATGCGCCACAACGCCCCAGTGAATTTTTGTATTTTGTAATTTTGGTACAGATGAGATTTCGCCATGTTGCCCAGGCTGGTCTCAAACTCCTGGGCTCAAGCAGTCCACCTACCTTGGCATCCCAAAGTGCTGAGATTACAGGCGTGAGCCACCACGCCGGGTCTTGTGTCTGTAACTTATTTTCTTTCTTTCTCTTTTTCTCTTTCTTTCTTTCTTTCTTTCTTTCTTTCATTCATTCTTTTCTTTCTTTCTTTCTTTCTTTCTTTCTTTCTTTCTTTCTTTCTTTCCTTCCTTCCTTCCTTCCTTTCTTTCTTTCCTTCTTTCTTTCTTCCTTCTTTCTTTCCTTCTCTTCCTTCCTTCCTTCTTTTTTTTTGACATGGAGTCTCACTCCGTCACCCAGGCTGGAGTGCAGTGGTGTGATCTCGGCTCATTGCAACCTCTGCCTTCTGGGTTCAAGCAGTTCTCCTGCCTCATCCTCCCAAATAGCTGGGACTACAGGCGCACATCACCATGCCTGGCTTATTTTTGTATTTTTTTTAGTAGAGACAGGGTTTCACCATATTGGCCAGGCTGGTCTCGAACTCCTGACCTCGTGATCCACCTGCCTTGGACTCCCAAAGTGCTGGAATTATAGGCATGAGCCACCGTGCCCGGACTTTTTTTTTTTTTTTTTGGCAAATTCTCGCTCTCTTACCCAAGCTGGCGTGCAGTGGCACAACCTTGGCTCAGTGCAACCTCTGCCTCCAAGGCTCAAGCGATCTTCCCACCTCAGCCTCTGGAGTAGCTGGAACTACAGGTGCATGCCACCATGCCCAGCTAATTTTTGTCTGTATTTTTTAACTACTGTTTTATGAAGTATTCCCGAGGCTGCAGCAAGGCATCCTCTAAGCAGCTTACTCTGTACCTTTTCTGAACCTGTATATACCTCTATTTTTGCATGCATACAAAAATATAGTGTAGGTGTTATTAATTCATAAGCTCCAGGAAAAGGACCATGTACTATTCACTATGATATGTCTCTCCCTAATGAAATGCCTGGCAGATCATAGGTGTGCAGCATACATTTGCCGAGTAAGTGAAGGTCACTTATCCAACTGTGTCTTATTGCAAAAGTTAATTCTTATTCTGGATAATTTCTAAGAGTTGACCTTTGGTTTTGTTGGATTTTACAAAACTTTTGTTATACGTGTGGTCATCTGGGGCGTCTATAAATCAGGCCTTAAACTAGATGGGTGCTCATAAATTCTCAGATCTGTATCCACTGTTCTATTAATATTTGCTTTGTGTTTCTTTAAATAAGCATGATGTGGCAATTCATCCACTGTGAAGCAAAGGACAGAATTGCTACCCCTTCCTTTATACCACTGATATTAAAAGGTGGACACATTAATCATGATGGCAATAAATACCAGGGAATACAAGCATGGGCCCAGAAGAAGGCTTCCAGCACTGAGGAATCACAAAGTGCACACACACACACACACACACACACACACACACACGAAAGACTCCTTATCACCTCCAATTCCAAAGGTGTGATGCAAAGACATACTGTCTTGACCCTGCTGTTGTCCATGTGTCTCTCATTTATTCTCCTCCCTCATCCAGAGGACCAACTGCTCAATTAATTAGGGAAGTCTCTTGGAAGAGCTGAAAGATTCACCGCTATGATAACCACCCTCTTTGGTCATGGTAGTGGAAATTTTGGGGTTCTCCTCTCAGATCTCTTTGGATTCTTTTTACCATTTCTAAGGACACTCCCCCCAGCTTCTGTGCCCTTTTGCTTTTGACAGCACACTCCAGTGACTCTCTTTAGAGCACTGCCCAAGGACTGCAAGAGCTGATTTGTCCACATTTACAGAGAGGCAGTTGTGCCTGGGAGGTTAACACTCCCTGGAGGGGCCTATAGCCAATGACTAGTGTGGTATGGGTGTGTGTGTGTGTGTGTGTGTGTAAGCCCATGTTCCTAGTCTTGAGATGGCTGAACTTCAAAGGTAATTTTCACTCCAGTGGTTCCAACAGGGACATGCTGATGCTGAGACTTTGCCCCTGATTGCACACTTGCTTCATTTCTTCCACTTGCATGTCCTGCTTCCCCATTTTCTTATGGGTTTCTCCGGGAGCACCTCATAATTAAATCATTTACTCACAAATCCTTGTCTCAGTGTCTGCTTTTGGGGAACTGAGCCTAAGGCAGTTGATTCTAACAGGGGCCCTAGGAAGCCGATTCTGGCATGGGCTTCTGGAGCTGGGCCACTTGCCTGCCATATGGCAACTGGGACTTCCTCCCTGGTGGGCTAAGTGGAGGGTTGATAACCCCTGCCACATTGTAGAACTGCAAACACTTTCACTGTGGCAAAATGGGATGTGACACAGAAGGACAAGAGGCACTGGTGTCTATAATGTCTCTGTTTGAGAAGTAGGAGGGAAATGGTAACTGAAAGAACTATGAAATTAGTTGACTGTTTCTGGGCATCTGATATGATCTGGTTTTGTGTCCCCACCCAAATCTCATCTTGAATTGTAATCCGAATTGTAATTCCTACATGTTGGGGAAGGGACCTGTGGGAGGTGATTATATCATGGGGGCAGGTCCCCCCAACCCATGCTGTTCTCATGATAATGAGCGAGTCTCACAAGATCTGATGGTTTTATAAGCTTCTGGCATTTCCCCCTGCTGACACTTCTCTCTTCTGCCACCATGTGAAGAAGGACGTGTTTGCTTCCCCTTCCACCATGGTTGTAGGTTTCCTGAGACCTACCTAGCCACATTGAACTGTGAGTCAATTAAATCTCTTTCCTTTATAAATTACCCAGTCTCAGGTATGTCTTTTTTAGCAATGTGAGAATGGACAAATACAGCATTGCTGAGGCATTGAAGAGAAAATGATAGGCTCAGGTGTGAAAGTCAGAAGGGCTCTGAAACACCACATAAAGACACATTCATTTCCAGAAACCAGAAGACACAGTGTGCTGAAGACCAGACCCTGAACTGTAGGAGCAACAGAACTTCAGAGAAGGCTGAATTTGCAGCCTCATCAAGTCTCCTAAGCCAGAGGCAAGGCCTTGTCAGGGAAGGAGTGTGAACTTGAGATTTGGGATGACAACATCCAGGTGAATGCACTTGAGATCCTTGAACCGTCTGGGTCTGCAGAAGGGACCACTTCCCCTTGCTAGAGGATAGAGAGGCCCACCCACGCCCACCCTTCCCACCGCTTGTCTGGAGACTATGTAGAGGCCTCAAATGTGGCAGATGACTTGTGCTCCTCAAGACAATACTTACCCTCCTCAAGTTCAGCAGCCCCCTCCCCTCCTGGCCACTAGACCAATAATGCAGCATAAGTCTCACTCTGGCCTGTTTGGGGAAGTGCTGGCCCTGCCAGGAAAAGAAAGGGAGTGGGCCCCAAAAGAGTCTCAAGGCTTGGCAGATATGTCCAGGAGTGGGTCTTGAGGGTGCTCGAACAAGTTGGGGGCAGTCTGCTAAGCTGGATAAAGGAGATTTTTAATATGAGGGCATTATCCTGTGACTTGGGATTCATGTCCAATCTCTTAGCAAAGTGATAAGAGTGGAATTTAAAAAGCTTGGAGACTAGGCACAGTGGCTCATGCCTGTAATCCCAGTGCTTTGGGAGGCCAAGGTAGGAGGATCACTTGAAGCCAGCAGTTCAAGACCAGCCTAAGAAACAAAGTGAGAACCCATCTCTACAAAAAAAAAAAAAAAAAAAAAAAACTTTTTGAAATTAGTCTGGCATGGTGGCAAAACTTGTAGTCCCAGCTATTGGGAGGCTGAGGTGGGAGGATCACTTGAGCCCCGGAGGTTGAGGCTGCAGTGAACGATGCGTGTACCACTGCACTCCAGCCTGGGTAACAGAGCAAGAACCTGTCTCTAAAAAGTACATAAATACATAAAAAGACCCAGAGAAGAGAACCTGTCAGAATGAGTTTATTTAAGACTCGTGGACCCACCATCTCTCTTTGTTCCTTGCAAGGGCCCCGAGCACCTTCCTGTCACTTACATAATAAGGAATGTGCTAATGAGAGGGGCACCGCACTCTTAAGACACTCAGTTGTGGGTCCCTCCATTGCCTAGAGCTGACAGTTTCAGGTGCATTATGAAACTCTTCTCCCTAATAGGGATGATAAGATTTTGGAAAAATAGATGCCAACTGGTAGCTCTTAACCACCAGAGACAGGATGAACTTAGTTACCATATTGGTTGGCAAGACTGGAATCATTCGTGGATGGGCCAGCTCATTGGTGTGAACCACAAATGGACTGGGTTGCACTATAGTTTCATGCAGGAGTGGTTCTGAAAGACAGTGATGAAGGAAAATCCTCCCAGTGGGCTGAGCTTCATGCAGTTCATCCTATTATGCACTTTGTGTGGAGGGAGATTAAGTGTTCTGGAAAAAGGATATCAAAGACTCTTGGGCAGAGAGAAACCAAGTTGCAGAAAAGGGCAGTAGGAAGAGTCTACTCCAGCATGGAGGAATAGTTTCATATTGACATTGTTTAGAATTGCCACTGCACAGTAATAATACCACACTGGCTGACTTGTAGGCATTTTTATTATTTGTAAATTCTCTGCAGACAATACACACCTTTCTTCCCTGCACAAGAGTGAACCACTTCCATCACCATCCCCCTGGCTCGCCACTGCTCAGAAACTCTGGTGAATAATTCACTTGGTTGGTGAGAGGGTTGGAAGAAGCAAGACTGGGAACATGAAAGCTTCGAGGTCTATTGGAGTAGGCTCAAAGTGTGAGGACCTTTGTATGCCCACCAGAGTGGATCAGTTGCAGAAGAGGCATTAAACAACTCAGGACTTCCCTAGACAGCCTGTATTCCTGACCACCTGTGCCTGAACAAAGATAGACTCCCCTCTTCAGTGCTGATTTAGCTATTGTTGCTGCTAAATGTCTTGTCTTTCAGTGGCAGAGACTGACACATCTCTTAATATAATATGGTACTTTCCCTTAAGGAGACTAGCCAGCCCCATTGTGGCAAGTAGATCACCCCAGATTCCTTCTACCCTGAAAAGGGCAGCGATTGTTCTTGACTAAGATTGACAATTCTCTGGATCTGACTTCCTTGCCCATAATACCACAGGATCCCACATAACAGAGCTACAGACCAAGGAACCCACCTAACAGTGAAAGAGTCACAGCATGGGCCCATGACCACAAGATCCATTGATCATACCACAGACTACATCATCCAAGTATGGCTGGCTTGATGGAGCACTGGAATGCTCTTAAAGATGCAACTATGGGGCTGGGTGCAGTGGCTCACACCTGTAATTCCAGCATTTTGGGAGGCCAAGGCAGGAGGATTGCTTGAGCCCAGGATTTTAAGACCAGCCTGGGCAAGATAGCAAGACCCCATCTCTACAAAAGAATGAAAAAAAACAGCCAGGCATGGTGATGCACGGGCCTGTAGTCCCAGCTACCAGGGAGGCTGAGGTGGGAGATCACTTGAGCCTGAGAGATTGAGGCTGCAGTCAACTGTGATTGCACTACCTCACTCCAGCATGGGACAGAGCAAGACCCTGTCTCAAAAACAAACAAACAAACAAAAACAAAAGATGCAACTACGACACTAGCTAAGAGATGATTGGCAAGGTCAGGGCTCTGTTTTTCAGGAGGTGATATATACCTTAAACTAGTGGCCAGTGTATGATATTATGCCCCATAGGTAGAGCAGAGGGGCCCAGAAACCAAAGAGTGAAAATAGAAGTAGTACTGCTATCAGTTTTAAGTGAACCCCCTGGGGAATCTTTCTTGTCTCTACAAGTTTAGAATCTGTGAGTCTAGATATCCTAGTTGCTGAGAGTGGGAATGTTTCCACCAGAGGACACCATAAGAGTCCTAATAAACTTAAAGCTGTGGCTGCCACATGGTCATATAAAGTTTGCTATGGTTTAAGTGTTTGTCCTCTCTAAAACTTCTGTTGAATTTGGTTGCCCTTGTGATGGTGTTGGAGGTGGAACCTTTGGGAGGTGATTGGGTCATGAGAGTTCCATGCTCATGGTGGGATTAATCTGTTATAAAAGGACAAGTTCAGCCCCCTTTTTGCCTCTTTGCCCTTTGACCTTCTGTCATGTGATGACACAACAAGAAAGCTTTTGTCAGATGCTGGTACCTTGATCTTAGACTTCCCAGCATCCAGAACTGTGAGAAAATAAATTTCTGTTTATTATAAATTACCCAGTCTCAGGTATTCTGTTATAGCAACGCAAAACATAGTGAGACTGAGTTCCTTTTGTAATTACTATCCTAGCAGTTAATAATCTAGCAATCGACCCTATTCATCATAAGAAGATAGAGCTGCTGCTACAGAGAGAGGCAAGAGGAATATCTCTGGGACTCAAAGGACCCATTAGGGGCAATTCCTGGTGCTCCTATGCCAAGTCTTAACTCTAAGTGGGCAATTGCAGCAAAAATGGCCTGGTAAAGTTCTGGTAATCATGTGCTCAGACCCTCTGGTTCACCTTATCAGATAAGCCACCAAGACCAGCAGAAATACTCATCGTATGAAAGAATCTAGAATGAGTGGAAGAAGAGAGATGATGAATAACAGTTATGACCTAAAACCAACTTCAGCATTGAGAGCTTCAGATGATCCCAACATCCCTGTGGTAAGTTTCCCACCCCTCGCAGAAATGTGATGACCAACCACCACCATGAAGCACTTCTAACAGGATGGAATGAACTTAAGTGAAACTCAAGTAGGTCCATTAGAATGAGCGACTGGTAGTGATTATCGTTGGTGATTTACCCAAATCCCTTACGATTCCCTTTTTTTTCCTTCTTTCTCTTTTTTCTTTTTTTTTTTTTGAGACAGGATCTTGCTCTGTCACCCAAGCTGGAGTGCAGTGGTACAATCAGGGCTCACTGCAGCCTCAACGTCCTGGGCTCAAGCAACTCTCCTGCCTCAGCCTCTCAAGTAGCTGGGACTACAGGTCCACATGTTTACACCTGGCTAACTTTTGTATTTTTTTCATAGAGATGGGGTTTTGCCATGCTGCCTGGCTGATCTTGAACTCCTGGGCTGAAGCAATCTGCCTGCCTCAGCCTCCCAAAGTGCTGGGATTACAGGTATGAGCCACCTCGCCTGGCCCCCTATGATTCCTTAATTCTGTGTGCTCCTCTCTCATTTTCTGTATTATTTTGTTCTTAATGGCTTGTGCCTGCAACTTTCTTAGTACGACTGCCTGAGAGCTACGGGAGCCACTGCCCATTGGAAAGCCCAATGTGCCTGAGAGTTTACATCCCAGGAGAAGCCCTTAACCAGTGACAGACTGGTGAAAGAACGTGAAAGTCAACCTTGCCTCAAGTTTCCACAAATTCTTAGAGCTCCATATGGGATCATGCTGAGGCTAGTAATATATCTGTGGTAGGCAGAATTCTAAGATGGCAGCCAATGAATGACCCACACCCTTGTATGATCCCCTTCCCTTGAGTGTGTGCAGGACCTGTGAATAGGATGAAATATCACTCCTGTGATTATGTTGCAGTACATGGAAAGAGGGAAAAGATTTTGCAGATGTAATTAAGGTCCCTAATCAGTTGACTTTGAGTTCATAAAAAAGGAAACCATCTGGAGCAGGCCTGACCTACTCAAATGAGTCTTTCAAAGAAGGCTCAGGCCTTTCCTGAGAGTAAAGAGATACTCTTTTGCCTGCCTTGAAGAAACAAGTCACTGTGAGTCCTACAGCTGCAAGGAAATGAATTCTGCCAACAGTCATGTGAGGTTAGAAGAGGACCTCAAGCCTCATATGGGACCACAGCCCCAGATGACACCTTCATTACAGCCTTGTGAGACCCCATGTGGAGAACTCAGTTAACTGTGCCTGGACTTCTGACCTTCAGAAACTGTGACATAATACACCATTATGTCAACCACTAAGTTTGTGGTACACAGCAATAAGAAATTAACATAGTACCTGAATTCTTGCCTTTTCTCAGCTTTCCTTTCCCTGTCCTTTATCCACCACTCCCTTGCCAGTTTCTCCTGGAAGCATTTCTTTAATAAATCACTTACACATGAATCCCTGACACAGGATGTGCTGCTAGGAGCTCAAACCTATAACAGTCACCTCCTTCTCAAGTATATCTTCAGCCACTGCTCAAAAATAGCCTCATCTCATTTTCCTCTCTCCATTCCTTTAATTTAATTTTTTGTCCTCAAATGCTCTCTTCTTGAAAAGTGTAGCTTTGGAAGTACAGTTAGCTAAGGTCACTTGCTGCCTCATTTAAAATCTGTACAAAAGAAGGACATGACAGTGGAGAACTCTGTCCAAGTCCCCTCTCTTGGCAAATAATTCTAAGGCTGAATTGAAAACAGGCCCATCTAAACCAGGCACAGTGATGTGTACCTGTAGTCCCAGCTGCTTGGGAGGCTGAGGTGGGAGGATTGCTTAAGACTAGGAGTTGCAGACCAGCCTGGGCAACATAGTGAGACCCCCATCTCTAAAAAAAAGAAAAGAAAAAGAGAACAAGCCAATCTAGTCTGTCCCAAGGGGCAAAGGCAGAGTTCCATTTCATAATAATATGAGGTATAGGAAGTAGACATCAGAATTGTGTCCAGGGAAATTTTCAGTTTGGGCTGCGTTTTACATCTAAAGTGGGATGTCACATCAATGATACTTGTGGCAAAAATCAGAATTCAAGTAACTGAGCAAAGGAGAAGGCAGACACCAATGAAGGGGAGCTTAAGGAACACCCCATCAAAATTGGCCAAGCAAAAGGAAGTAATCTGAGCCAGGCATGATGACTCATGCCTATAATCCCAGCATTTCGGGAGGCCAAGGCTGGAGGATCACTTGAGTTCAAGACCAGCCTGGGCAACATGGCAAATCCCTCCCTCTACAAAAAATAGAAAAATTAGCTGGGCTTAGCGGCATGCATCTATAATCTCAGCTACTCAGGAGGCTGAGGTGAGATGATCACCTAAGCCTGGGAGCTTGAGGCTACAGTGAGCTGTGTTCTCGTCACTGCACTCTGTCTCAACAATGACAACAACAAAAAACAGGAAGTAATCTGAGTGACTTACATTTGTAGTAGAAGCCAATTTTCTGAAGTTGGTTTTTACCCACTCCTGGAACATCCTATGTGGGTTAGTTTGATTCATTAAAAGGAGCCAGAATAGGATAAAAAGAAAAACACAGTTGACCTGACTTTCTCTGACTTTTTTTCTAGTTCAGTTTCCCACTCAACATAGTAATTCCTTCAATAGCATCCCTCATAGATCTTCAAACAACTAATTCAATACTGAAGTAATGAAGTATTCATTTTGGGAAACCTCTGATTAGCAGAACCCTATTCTCCATAGAGAGCCAAATCGGCCTCCTATGACTGCCATTTAGTCCTCATTCCAGTCTCTGAAATGGTTGCAGAGAAGTCCATTCCCTCTTCCACTTGCCAAGTGGCAGTCATTGCTTACTCAGGTCCTCTGCTGGCTCAGCCTTGCCCATTTCTGAAACCCATGAAAACGCAGCCTGGCAAGAAATGGGATGCTCTTCCCACTCATGAGTGGACTTTGGAAAGGATAAACCAGAGGTGAAGAGAGCCCTGGATGTCTATGTGAGCACTGAGCAGCAGCCTGCCCATGTCCCTTGCCCCCAGCAAACAGACAGCAGACACACTCACACACTGACTGCTCCCTGGATAGCCAGTCTATCTGATTGGTCTACCGAGGTTCTCTGTCTCCATGCATCTTCCCCACTGGAAACGAAGCTTGGTCCTGTTTCCAGCTTGGTAGACTACAATCCAAATTCCCTTCACCAAGTCTATTCCACCCTCTTCCCTTTAGGACTCTTTGTATTCTTTGCAATGGCTCTATTTGACAGTGCAGTGGCTCTATTTGACAGTCCTCCTTGACTTACAATCCTGGAAGCCTACCTGAGCTAAGAGGAGTCACTGCTGCCCAGACATCCTGCCATGATGCCACGCCCATTGCTCTCAGAATCAAATTTTCCCCTTAGGGTGTACTGCGAGCGTAGATTCACCTGGAGTTGCCACATCCCCATGGACTTGCTGCTGTGTCTGCACACCTTTTCCCCAGGGGGAGTTAATGCACCTGCTGGGTCCTCCACGGCACTGCGCTCTTAGCCCCTGGTTCATGGATCCCACTAGTTGAAATGTTCCAGCGTGCCATGCAGCTCCGACTGTGAGTTATGACCCAGGAGTGAGAGGAGGTTAGAACTTGAAGGAATCTTCAAGATCATCTTATCCAGTGGTTTTCAACTTATTCTCTGAACCACATACGTCAAGGAAAAATACAAACAATAGTGGGGCATACTGAAACCAGTGAGTTAAAGAAACTATTGACAAACAGAAATTCTTGAGTTTACAGGATGGTGGAAATTCTTGAGTTTAGAGGATGGCAAAAACAAAACCATTTACTAAAACGCCAAAATTCCCCCTGTTTGTGAGATTTAAGTAACTGGCTGAAATTGGTTAGAACCAATATGGCCAACTAGAGTCTGCACAGAATGAGCTTGCTGATGTCACAGCCCAAATTTCCATCACATATTTCATGCTGACTCCTCCCAAATTTGCATATATGATCCATGAGGTAGCATGAAGAGATAACTGTGCATGCCTGAGGACTTTCTTGACCTCTACCCTTTCCTTCCACCAATCACCTATGAATCTCCAAATGCACCCCTAAACCTTTTCTTTTCTTTTCTTTTCTTTTCTTTTTTTGAGATGGAGTCTCACTCTGTCACCAGGCTGGAATGCAGTGGCACGATCTTGGCTCACTGCAACCTCTGCCTCCTAGGTTCAAGTGATTATCCTGCCCCAGCCTCCTGAGTAGCTGGGATTACAGCCACGCACCACCACACCCAGCTAATTTTTGTATTTCTAGTAGAGACGGGGTTTCACCATGTTGGCCAGGGTGGTCTCAATCTCCTGACTTCGTGATCCACCCACCTCGGCCTCCCAAAGTGCTGGGATTACAGGTATGAGCCACTGCGTCTGGCCTAAACCTTTTCTAATAAAATTACTACCTTAAAGTTATCACAGGGAGATAGATCCAAGCTAGACTCCTGTTTCTTTGTTGCTCACCCTGCAATAAAAAGCTTTTGTTTTCTCAAAAAACTGGCATCATAGTACTGGCTTCTAGCACATCTGGCAGCAAGCGCTTTTGCTCAGTAGCAATATCTTCTTTTTATAGACAAGGAAACAAACCCAGAGGCTAAGTGCCCTGCCAAAAGTCTTACAGCAAGTTTTGATTTAAAACTAATTACATGACACACAGTAGCATTTTGGGTATCATTACTAGTGACATTCATTTGTATCTTTTTTCTATCAACTTATACAAGGAAAACAATGCAAATGTATACAGAAACTAAGGCATTTTGGCAATTTGGTTTTAAACCAGTGTTATAAGCTGGGGTTTTTTTGTTGGTTTGTTTGTTTTGTTTTGTTTTGTTTTGTTTTTTGAGATGGAGCCTTGCTCTGTCACCTAGGCTGGAGTGTACTGGCACAATCTTGGCTCACTGCAACCCCTGCCTCCTGGGTTCAAGCAATTTCTCCTGCCTCAGACTCCCGAGTAGCTGGGATTACAGCCGCACATCACCACACCTGGCTAATTTTTTGTAATTTTAGTAGAAACAGGGTTTCACCATGTTAGCCAGGCTGGTCTCGAACTCCTGACCTCAGGTGATCCACCTGCCTCGGCCTCCCAAAGTGTTGGGATTACAGGCATGAGACACTGCGCCAGGCCTGAGCTGTATTTTTCTTAATCAGTCTTTTTCAAAGAACAAAATCACATTGTACTACATTTTCCTCATTTTCTTACCTAAAGAGCGTAAGATTCTATTTTAATTAAAGCTAGAGATACAGAATGACCAGAAATGATTGAGAGAGAGCAGGACTGAGTTTGAAAGATAGAGATGAGACTGGAAAGTTGAGCAGAATTCCTTGAAAGAAGATAGCAGGAGATCTTGGCTGAATGAAAGAAGGGTCTTAAGAAAAGTGCAAGAGCACCGATTAGCCTGCTAGGGCTGCCGTAACAAAATATCACAGACTGGGTAGCTTCGACAACAGAAATTTAATTTCTCACAATTCTGGAGTCTGGAAGCCCAGGATCAAGGTGCCTGCAGGGTTGGTTTCCACTGAGGCCTCTTTCTGGCTCCCAGATGACCACCTTCTTCCTGTGTCCTCACGTGCCCTTTTCTCTGTGTTTGCGAGGAGAGAGCTCTGGTGTGTAGGGTGCAGTGGCATGATCGTGGCTCACTGCAGCCTCAAATTCCTGGGCTCAAGCGATCCTGCTGCCTCAGCCTCCTGAGTGGTGGGGACTACAGGAGCATGCCACCACACCCAGCTAATTGTTTTGTTTTTTGTAGAGATAAGATATCACTGTGTTACTTATGCTGGTCTTGAACTCCTGGACTCAAGCAATCCTCCAGCCTCAGCCTCCCAAAGTGCTGGGATTACAGGTGTGAGCCACTGTGCCTGGTATTTTCCCCTTCTTATAAGGACACCAGTCCTATCAGATTAGGGTCCCACTCTTATGATCTTATTTAACCTTCTTTGTCTCCTTGAAGGCCTTATCTCCAAATACAGTGGCATTTGGGGTTAGAGTTTCAACGTATGAATTAGCGGGGGCGATTCAGTCCATAGCAGGCACTGTTTCTGCTTTTGTCAACGTTATGCACTAGCTTCACTTCTTTTCTTGAAAGTTGTCTTCTGTGCTTATAGGAGAGAGGCAAAAAAGAATTAGTGTTTGCCAGGGCAACAGCTGTGCCACTGTGATACAGCATGCATTGTAAGAGTACTGGGCTTAGCAGCCTCCAGGGAGCATGCAGTACCTGAATTCACCTCCTATATTCCATTTAAAATGCAATATAGAGGCCTGCCTTGGCCACTCTTCATCTTCTTGTGACAACTCACTCTGCATTTGACCAAATCAATTATTAACAAACTCCCAACCTTACTCATAATTTTGTTCAGGCCTTGCTGTCACTGGATAAATTGGTTTTATTTTCTTTTTTGGCATACTGCAATTTTCCTACGTAGGGCTACATTGACAGCATATATGTTAAAACCAGACCAATGGATTGTTGATATCTGATACAAAAGAAAAATAATAATATTATGAAGGCCACTTGTAAATGTTGGATTAAATTTCTCCTTTGGACACTAAAGTTTATAGCAATAATTATGTTAGTTAATTTTATCAAGCTCTTTATATAGAATATTCTTCTTTTTTATTAAAAAGTTTAGTTGTGAAGGGTGGCAGAATATGCCACTCCAAAATATGCCACTTTGGGCCAGGCGCGGTGGCTCACGACTGTAATCCCAGCACTTTGGGAGGCCGAGGTAGGTGGATGGCCTGAGGTTAGGAGTTCAAGGCCAGCCTGGCCAACAGGGTGAAACCCCATCTCTACTAAAAATACAAAAATTAGCCATTCATGGGGATGGGAGCCTGTAGACCCAGGTACTCGGGAGGCTGGGGCAGGAGATTCACTTGAACCCGGGAGGCAGAGGTTACAGTGAGCCAAGATCGTACCACTGTACTCCAGCCTGGGCAACAAAGTGAGACTCTGTCTTTAAAAAAAAAAAAAAAGTCACTTTGGCATAAGAATTATTTTGAGCTGAAGGCCCATGTAAAGTAGCAGATATAAAAGGGTCACTCTGAGGTCACTCTTTTTTTTCTGTACAGGATAGAAAAAAAAAATTCTTATCACCAGAGGCAGGGAGTCAAGGCTGACAAAAATCTGCATAAACAGATCTTGTTAAAATAACTCTTATCTTATTTTGCCTTCCCATATATTTTAGGTACTTACTCACAATTGCCACTCTTTGTCCAACCTACGATATAAGCATTTGGGATGTGCCTCTTCTTTGGGTCCTCATTTTCTTATGGGAACTTCCATGTACATGTAAAATAAAATCTGTATGCTTTTCTTTTGTTAATGTGTCTTATGACAACTGAATTTTCAGGCCTAACCTGAGACTCCAAGAGGGCAGAAGTAAAGTTTTGCTTCCCTGCAGTTGGAAAGATAATACATGATGTTAAAAAAAACATTCTGGGTGACATCAGCAACATGGCAGAATAGGAAGCTCCTGATTCCATCCACAGACACACCAAATAAACATGTATTCATGGGTTAACTCCTTCTGGGAGAAAGTCGGAGACCAGTTGAGAGACTCCTACCCACCGGGCAACTGAGAAAGTATCTGCATCGTACAGGTAGGAAGAGCTGAGGCACACTTGTGGATGGGCCCCACCACAGGCACTGTGCCATCAAATTGGGAAGGGAATACCCAGCTTTTCCCTGTGGAGAAGAGGGTTTGCACCTCACATACAGCACCCTAACTCTGAGGTTCCCCATGGTTTGATTCTTAATTCATCAATTCTGGGAGCAAAGGGGATTAGATGTGTGCGAGTTTCTCTAGACTGCAGGGAAAAAGCAGCAGTTTTACATGGTTTCTCAAGAACTTCCAAGGACTTCCTACCCTGGGAGAAATGCAGAAAAGGGACTTTAAAATACAACCTTTGTCTCTCCCTGGATGGGGTTCATAACACACTCTCTCAGTGGCTACTTGGCAGTCTGGCTTCCAACTAACTTGCATCAGGGAGTTAAAGGGATACACAAGTATTAAAGCATCCCTGCCTAGCTGAGAAGCAGGTTGGTACTTTCTGAGCTTTCTCACCCAGCTTACCCAGAAATAACTACATGTCTATTAATCCCTCTTGGAAGGAGTTGGTCCACACATCGAGCATCCCAACTTTTATAGCTTCCACCCAAAAAACGTCATCCTAAACTTTCCAGTTCTGGGGGCAGAGGGGACTGGCATACACATGTCTCTTTAGATCACAAAAAAAAGTGACAGTTTTATACAGGCGTGTAAGAACTTCCAGGGGCTTTATCCCCCAGGAGCAGTGCAGAAAAGGGGCTTTAAAATGCAGCTTCTGGCCAAGCACGGTGGCTCACACCTATAATCCCAGCACTTTGGGAGGCTGAGACAGGCTTATCACCTGAGGTCAGGAGTTCGGGACAAGCCTGGCCAACATGGTAAAACCAGGTCTCTACTAAAAATACAAAAAAAAAAAAAAATTAGCCAGGCGTGGTGGCAGTCCCCTGTAATCCCAGCTACTCTGGAGCCTGAGGCAAGAGAATTGTTTGAACCTGGGAATTGGAGGTTGAAGTGAGCCAAGATGGCGCTGTTGCACTCCAGCCTGGATGACAGAGCGGGACTCCATCTCAAAAAAACAAAACAAAACAAAAGCCGCTCTTTGTTTCTCCCAGGCAGGGGTTTATGCCGTGCATCAAGTATCCAAACTATTACAGCTACCTCCCAGAGGACTCCATCCTGAGCCTCTTAGCTCTGGGAGCAGAAGGGATTAGGCATATATGAGTCTCCCTAGATCATGGAACAAAGAGGGGGTTTTAAACAGGTGTGCAAACACTTCCAGGGGCTGCACCCTGTTGGAGTAGTGCAGAAGAGAGGTGGAAATATGCAGCTCTCATTTTCTCTTTGGAAGGGGCTTACGCTATACACCTCCAGTGGCTACTTGATGGCCAGGCTTCTAATGAACTTGCATCAGGAAACTAATAGGACAAACAATAGCCCTTATCAGCCAGAGCCAGATCTTGGCACTTCCTAAGCCTTCCTTCTGGCCCACCCTAGTGATAAATTCAGGCCTATCAATTCTTCCTGGAAGGAGTTTGGCTACACACCGAATGCCACAACTTCTATAGCTTCTCCTAATTTTAATTAATTAATTAATTAATTAATTTTATTTTTTGAAGTGGAGTCTCACTGTGTTGCCCAGGCTGGAGTGCAGTGGTGCAATCTCAGCTCACTCCAACCTCCACCTCCTGGGTTCAAGTGATTCTCTTGCCTCAGCCTCCTAAGGAACTGAGACTACAGGTGCACAACACCATACCTGGCTAATTTTTGTATTTTTAGTAGCGACAGGGTTTCACCATGTTGCTGAACTCCTGACCTCAGGTGATCCATCTGCCTCAGCCTCCCAAAGTGCTAGGATTATATGCATGAGCCACCGTGCTCAACCTATAGCTTCTCTTTAATGACCTAGATCTGGGAGTCAATGGGCTTTGCATTTCTGAGTGATCCTAGACCACAGAACATAAAGGTTAATATACAATGGACCTGCTTCCAGCAGCTATGTTCCCAGGATCAGAGGGTACAACCTGAACATGAATATGGGCATTTGACACAAATTCTCTCCCCATCGTAGTGCAGAGAGAGTAAGAGAAAATGCCTACACTCAGTTTCACGATGAAGACAAAAGGGAATGGAACACACATTCAACATCCCAATTTTCCCAGCTACCTCTAGAGAGTCTAGCTCTTACCTTCTTACCTCACCAGTCTTGAGGTACTGACAGAAAGTAACATATCCTAAGTTCCAGGAGGGGCCACCAAAAACAGAGATAGCAGTCTGGCCAAACACAAAGATTTGACAGGCACTGAGACCCAATCTCTATAAAAGAATAAAAAATTAGCCGGGGGTGGTGGTGTATGATTGTAATCCCGGTTATTTGAAAGGCTGAGGTGGGAGGATCCCTTGAGCCCAGGAGGTCAGGGCTGCTGCCATGAGGTAGGATTGTGCCACTACATTCCAACCTGGGCAACAGAGTGAGACCCTGTCTCAATAAATAAATAAATAAATAAATATGTCTGGCACCTTAAAATCCCCTGCATGAGGCCAATCTGACAAGACTGGGAGAGGTAATTGTCTTATCTAATATGCAGTAACCAACACAGAGAGTAAAGGAAAATGAAGAAATAGGGCAATATATTTCAAATAAATGAAGAAGATAAATCTCCAGAAACTGACCAGAGTGAAGTGGAGATATGTGATTTATCTGACAAGGAATTAAAAATAGTGGTTGTAAAGATGCTCACCAATGTCAGAAAAGCAACACAAGAACAAACTTGTGAGAATTTCCTTTGTTTTTGTTTTGTTTTTTATTCGAGATAGAGTCCGGCTCTGTCACCCAGGCTGGAGTGAAATGGTACAATATGGGCTCAATGCAACCTCCACCTCCCAGCCTCCAACTATCTTCCCATCTCACCCTCCCCAGTAGCTGGTACTACAGGAGCATGCCACCACGCCTAGCTAATTTTTGTATTTTTGGTAGAGATGGGGTTTTTTCATGTTGCCCAGCCTGGTCTCGAACTTCTGGGCTCAAGCAATCCTCCTGCGTCAGCCTCCCAAAGTGCTAAGATTACAGATTTGAGACACTGTGCCCAGCCCAAACTGAGAATTTTAACAAAGAAATAGAAAATATAAAAAAGTACCAAACAGAAATCATACAGCCAAAGAATACTATAACTGAACTAAAAAATTCAGTAGAGGCATTCAACAGCAGACAAGAGCAAGCAAAGCAAGAATTGATAAACTTGAAGACAGGTCACTGGAAATTGTATAATCAGAGGACCAAAAAGAAAAAAGAATTTTAAAAAGTGGGGAAGTGAGGACAGTTTAAGAGACTTATGGGGCACCATCAAGCATAACAACATATGCATTATCAATGTACCAGAAAGAAAAGAGAGAGAGAATGAGACAGAAAACATATCCGAAGAAACAATGATAGAAAACTTCCCACACTTGGGGAGGAAATAGAAATCCAGATCCAGGAAGAACAAAGGACACAAAATAAGATAATTCCAAAAAGACCCACACTGAGACACATCATAATCAAATTATCAAATTAAACACAAAGGGAGTTTTGAAAGCAGCAAGGGAATAGCAAATTGTTACATACAAGGGAACCGCCATAAGATTATCAGTGGATTTATCAGCAGAAGCCTTATAGGCCAGAGGGAGTATGGGGTGATATATTGAAAATCCTGAAAGAAGAGAAAAAGTCAACCAATAATACTATACCTGGCAACCCTGTATTTCAAAACTGAAGACGTGATAAAGACTTTCTCAGACAACCAAAAACTGAGAGTTTATCACCACTAGGGCTGGCTTACAAGAAATGCTAAAGGGAGTTTTCAAACGAAAGAAAGGATGCTAACTGGCAACATGAAAACATTTGAAAGTAAAAGTAAGTACATTGTCAAATGCATAACACTCTAATACTGTAATGGCACTGGGTAAATCAACTACATCTCTAATATAAAGGATAAAAGGCAAAACTGTTAAAAAAAAAAAAACTAAAACTGCAAAACTTTGTTAAGGATATAAACTATTACTACTGCAAATTGTAACATCAAAAACACAAAATATGGGCCAGGCTGGGTACAGTGGCTCATGCCTGTAATCTCAGCAATTTGGGAGGCCAAGACAGGAGGACTGCTTGAGCCCAGGAATTCAAGACCATCCTGGGCAACACAGTGAGACTGTCTCTACAAAAAAAAATCAAAAAATTAGCCAGGTATGGTGGTGCATGCCTGTAGTCCCAGATTCTCAGGAGGCTGAGGAGGGAGGATTGCTTGAGCCCAGGAGGTTGAGGCTACAGCAAGCCATGACTGCACCACTGCACTCCAGCCTGGGCAACAGAGCAAGACCCTGACTCAAAGAGAGAGAGAGAGAGAGAGAGTCAGGAACAGTGGCTCATGTCTGTAATCCCCACACTTTGCGAAGCTGAAGCAGGAAAGTCACTTGAGGCCAGGAGTTCTAGATCAACCTGGTCAACATAGGAAGACCTTGTCTCTATAAAAAACTTAAATATTAGCTGGGTGTGCTGGTGTGCACCTGTAGTCCCAGCTTCTCAGGAGGCTGAGGCAGGAGGCTTGCTTGAGCCCAGGAGTTCAATACTGCAGTGAGCTACAATCATGCTACTGCATTCCAGCCTGAGTGACTAAACAAGACTCCATCTCAAAACACAAAGAAACAAAAACATAAAATGTGGGGCAAAGGGAGATAAAAGTGTAGTGTTTGTGTATGTTATCCAAGTTAAATTGTTATCAGCTTAACATACTAGTTATAAAGTGTTGTATGTAAGTTTCAGGGTAACTACAAAACAAAAGCCTATAATTTAAAAAATCCAAAAATCCAGGAATATAAAGTAAAAAATTAAATCTTTTTTATAAACTTTTAAGTTCAGGGGTGCATGTGCAGCTTTGTTAAAAAAATTAAATCTTACCTACATTCCCTACCCTTAACTACCTCACTCTCATGCACTACGGAAAATTACTGTTAAAAGAATGATGTATTTTCTTCTAGATTTCCTACTAAGGGCACACACACACACACACACACCACACACACACACACACACACACAGGGTTTGTAACTTTTTAAACAAAAATTGGATGGCACTATGTTTATGTGTATGTGTTTTACACCTCAAATCTATCATGAAAAAAAGAGGCAGATAAAATGACAATTCCAGAAAGTTGATAATTGTTGAAGCTGGATAATGGATACATGGAGGCCCATTATTCTCTTTATTTATGGATTTAAAAATATTATAAACATCCTTCAGTGTGTGTGAATACAAAAATATCTATCAATTTTTTTCATGATTATATAGCATTACATAGTATGAATGTGTTATTTATTTATTTATTTATTTATTTATTTATTTATTTTGAGACAGAGTCTTGCACTGTTGCCTGGGCTGGAGTGCAATGGCATGATCTGAGCTCACTGCAACCTCCGCCTCCCAGGTTCAACAGATTCTCCTGCCTCAGCCTCCTGAGTAGCTGGGATTACAGGCGCCCGCCACCACACCCAGCTAATTTTTTTTTGCATTTTTAGTAGAGATGGGGTTTCACTATGTTGGCCAGGTTGGTCTCGAACTCCTGATCTTGTGATCCTCCTGCCTCAGCCTCCCAAAGTGCTGAGATTACAGGTGTGAGCCATTGCGCCCAGCCTGTGTTAGAATTTTTATTCTCTTTCTAATGAATGTTAATTTTTTCTCTCCCCTCCTTTTTTTGTTTTTATAAATTATACCATGATTCTTATTCATTTATTCCTTCATTAATTCAAAAATATTTATAGAGGGCTTACAGTCTGTTAGGCTCAGATTTTCATCATATTTTTCTATATATACATAAAAATATTCTAGTCTTCACTCAGCAAAGTAGGAACTATATTACTATTTATATTTTGGTATAATAGATAAATTTATTAGTTCTATTATCAATGTATTTCAATGTATGAATTGAACATTTAATTATTTTTAATAGAGATAACATACCACTGTATAGCACCATTTACAAAGGGAGGCTTACAATAGGATAATTGGGTTTTCCACGTATTATGTCAGATTATGCCTGGTATCCCTCCTTCCTGCTACCAACCTTCTACCCTAAATCATGAGACACTGCATCACTAGGGTCAATTCTAATTTAGGAAGAAGATATTCAAGGGATTCTAAGCCAAGAATATTGTATTTGATATCATTACATCTACTATTTTGTACCTCTAATATTTTACCTAAGTTGTAATGACTAGCATTCTTCTCTCTTGTTCCACATTCCTGATTCTTATCTTAGTCACCTTTCCAGGCTGGCAATCTTTTTTAGGATTGGAGACCTGAATTGTTCTCCACTGTTGGCTCCAGTGGTTGACATACCTACTCGAATCTGTTTTCCATTGCCTCCAGAATTCACCTGTATTTATTCCACAAGCATCTTAAAGCACAGGTTACTCTGCATTTGGACTACCCTGAGATCAATCCTGTTGGATTTTCCAGCTGTCTTAAAAACTTTATTCTGCCTACTGGTCTGGCCTTCTTCCCATCCTCCCAGCCATGCCGTTGTATCTGTTATTGCAGTGTAGTGGGATTGATAAGGAATTAGAGAGACTGATGGGGTTGAGGAGGATATTTATTATTTAGGTGCACTGGCCCAGTCGGATTAGAATCCAAAGGACTGAGCCCTGGACAAAGAGTTAAGTTACCTTTTAAGCATTTCGTGGGGCAGTACAATATTGGCTCAATGCAACCTCCACCTCCCAGGGTCCAACTATCTTCCCATCTCAGCCTCCCCAGTAGCTGGTACTACAGGGGCATGCCACCATGCCTACCTAATTTTTGTATTTTTGGTAGAGATGGGGTTTTGCCATGTTCCCAGCCTGGTCTTGAACTTCTAGGGGGAGATCTGTGCAGGGGGAAGCATATTACAGAAGCAAGAAACAAAGACAGTCATTCAATTAATTGAGACATGCATTACATCATTTCTTACTTTTCAAGGAAAAACATATTTTATGACTTGAGTTTATCTGTCTAGTGACCTTGCAGCTGCACAGCTAGAGAAACAGGGTCTTCACAATGCCTGGGAAAGGAGGCGACATAAGGCTCACTAGCCACAGAAAAACAGGCAGTTAATTTTTAAAGGACTCCAGCTTTTTCTCTTTCTTAGGGGGAATTGGGTTTTTTACATACAACTGAGTTTGTGCTTACACATTCTTTCATTTCTTTCAATTCCTGTTCCGGCAGGGCCTATACTACCTTTCAGGTCTGGTTCTAGGTCTGTACAGTTTCTTATCTAGCTGCGGTCTGGATCCACAAAAAGACTCTGAAAGGCTCAAAAGACCATTCTCTACATTTATCAAAAGATTTCATACACGTTTCTAGAAATGGAAAGAAAGTATAAAGGCAAAGTTGTTCTGAAGAAAGAGAAGTCAGTAAATATCAAATTACAGTAGTTCAGGTGAGGTTGGGAAAGACTTGATCTGTAAACAGAGATAATGACAGCCGTGAGTGATCTCATGAGGAAGGTTAATGATGAGTTTTCCAGAATAATTGCAATTGCATCATGTTGTTAGTAAATAATAAATTCTACAAGTAGAAATCCTTGACCAAAATAAAATTTAAAATAGAAGCTATCAACAAAAAGATAGCTTTTTAAAAAAGTAATTGCCTGGAGATATTAAATGACATCTCTAACTCCTGGATAAAAGAAAAGTTAAAACTGAATTTACAGATTATTTAGAAAAGCAACAACGATAACTCTCCTTATCAAAACTTTTGGGATACAGCTACAGCCACATTCAGAGAAAAATTCAAATCTGTAAAAAACAGGAAAATGTGAAAATTGATCAATTATCTCAAGAAACAAAAAAAAAATTCTAACAAAAGTAGAGCCAATGAATGTTCTAACTATTACACTAAACTCGGAAAACTTAAAGGAAAATATTGACAGGTTTGATTACAAAACTTATTTTTAAACTCTAGAGCAAAATATGCCATACATAAAAACAAAATACAAATGACAAACTGGGAAAAAACATCCAACATATGTCAAAAACACAATAATGCACTGAATATGTACAAATATATTTTAAATCAATAAAAATGAACAAACACTTCAATAGAAAATAAATGGGGATTAAACAGAAAATTTCCAAGAACAGAAGCTAAGAAGCAATCACACAGATGAAAAGATGCTTAACTTCACTAGCAATCAAAGAAATACAAATATAAATCATACTTTTTTAATTTACGAGGCTAAGAAAAATTCAGAGGAGGGATCCCACTGAGAACTGGCATGAGAATGAGAAAACTGGCACTCTCCTCTGCTGTTGATGGAAGTGTAAACTGATGCAAATTTTATTTTGGAAGGTTGATTTTGACAATATGCCTTAAAATTTAAAACTTGCATATTAACTCATTCAAGATAGTGGTCTAAGCAAATGTGTTTATCTCATACCTGTCAAAATCTCATTCAAGTGACAGAAAATACATAAAAGGAAGTTCCTTGCCCAATGTAGAAACTATAACTAGAAACCTGCGCCCAAAATAAAGGCCTGATGCACAGCTGAGCACCACTCTCCACGAGGGTTTCTAGGAGAAACTCCAAGTTCACAGTGAGTTGGAGTTGGAGTGAGTCATGAAATAAGATAATTAATTTACTGTTTGTATACAGAATACCTGGTTGAGACATTTGCTTTCAAGTTAGGTATGATAAGAATAAATTTCAAAATGAATTGCAAGACCAACGGTGACAGTGAGGCTTTGCAACTCCACAACAGACAAAAAGGAAAAAAGGAAGTGAGGCAATGTGCTGGGTGAAATATACTATACACTCTGTCTCCATGTTAATGTCTTACTACAGTAAATGAAGGGCCTAAGCTTAGCTGGTCTTTATACACCTGTGCAATCCGCACCCACTCTGAAAGGAATCCTGTCTTGTCCACACATTCCTGCCCACTCTCTTCTAGAACCCTGTCTCCCCTCCTCATCATGAGAAAAGCTATCATGGAACAGACCTCCAGAATTGGAGGCGCTCCAGGTCAGCTTGTGTACTGCACAATCTCATCTGTCATTGAAATGTATGCACGAACAACCTAGAGTCCCCAGACGTTCAAAACAAAACAAGAGCATAAATAAAACATTTATGATAAACAAGCAGAGGAACCCCCTCTAGAAGAAAGAAATATTTCAGGAAGAGAAGAGACCTAAAAACTTCTAATTATTGTCCTCAGGGAAATTTGAAAATTCAAAGAACCTGCAAAAGATACAAGCCGCTATAAAAAAAAAAAAAGGATAAAAAGATGGGGCATACACATTTGTACCCATTTAATAAGAACTGGCTGTAAATAAAATCAGAACACATGGCTGGGCATGGTGGCTCACGCCTGTAATCCCAGCACTTTGGGAGGCCGGGGCGGGAGGATCACGAACTCAGGAGATGGAGACCATCCTGGCTAACATGGTGAAACCCTGTCTACTAAAAATACAAAAGAATTAGCCGGGCATGGTGGTGGGCACCTGCAGTCCCAGCTACTTGGGAGGCTGAGGCAGGAGAATGGCGTGAACCCAGGAGGTGGAGCTTGCAATGAGCTGAGAGCGCGCCACTGCACTCCAGCCTGGGTGGCAGAGCAAGACACCGTCTCAAATAATAATAATAAATAAATAAATAAATAAATAAATAAATAAATAAATAAATAAATAAAATCAGAACACGTTATTCCAAATTTAAAGGAAAGGATCTGAACTCTGAGTGAGAGAAACTATAGCTGGGGTAAACAGAATTGCTTTTAGGGAAAGGAACAAAAATAACTCCCAAGGAAACATACCTATGGCATTTATTTTTAATTTAATTTTATTTTTTGAGACGGGGTCTTGCTCTGTCACCCAGGCTAGAGTGCAGTGACACCGTCACAGTTCATTGCAGCCTCGACCTCTCGGGCTCAAGTGATCTTCCCACCTCAGCCTCCTGAGTAGCTGGGACTACAGGCACGTGCCACCACTCCGGGCTAATTTTTGTATCCTATGGCATTTTTAAGAAACTTGTTTTCTGAAGGGTTTCAATGTGAAATCTACCCCCCAGAGTTTTACCTTTCACTTGAAGAATTTGTAGCAGAGTAGAGCTAGAGACAATGTTTGCTGGAGAACCGGAGGATACATCAAATGTGTCCATTGCCTTCTTCTTAGATTTACATTTATTTCCAAAATCTCTTGCTTCTTAGGCATAAGGTCAGTAATTTATGGGTTGGACTAGGATTGGAGAATCAATCCCTAAATCAAAATATTTATTCAGTGCCATGTATATGCTTAGAACTCTGTATAACAAAAAATTTATTCAGTTAGCAGCATTAATACAAGCATTAATACAGCTCTTTCCAAACAGGTGCAAAAAAACCCTATGGACTCTATGGAAAAAGAAATCTTGTGCTAAAACTTCAGTAAGTCTTTTTAAAAAAGTATTTCAGAAATTTTTTCTTTTACGTGGTTGTTTTCAGTGTGTCTTTTGTATTATTTTATCATGATTTTGTAGGTAAAAGGATAACATGCCTCTAAGACTAAGAAATTTAATCCTTTAAACCTATTTTTAGATAAAATTTACACACCATAAAATTCAGCCTTTGAAATTGTATATTTCAGTGGCTTTCAGTATATTCACTATATTGTGCAACTAACAACACTAATTCCAGCAAATTTTTATCATCTCCAAGAGAAACATTATACATTAGCAGTCATTAACCATCCTCTCCTCACCACAACCAGTAATCTACTTTCTGTCTCCCTGGATTTGCCTATTCTGGACATTTCATACAAATAGAATAGTACAATGTATGATTTTTTGTGTCTGGCTCCTATCACTTTGTGTAATGTTTCCCAGGTTCATTCATACTGTAGCAATGTATCAGAACTTCATTCCTTTTTATGCCTGAATAATACCCCATTGTGTAGATATGCCACATTTCGTTTATCCATTTATCAGTTGATGGACATTTGGGTTGTTTCCACTTTTTCGCTATTATAAATAATGCTGCTATGAAAATTCATGTACAAGTTTTGTGTGGATATATGATTCCAATTTTCTCAGATGTACAGTGGGTATATATTGTGGGGTCATATGGTAATTTTATGTTTAGCTTTTTGAGGAACTGCCAGACTGTTTCCAAAACACCTGCACCATATATTTCTTTCTTCCTTCTTTTTTTTTTTTTTTTGTAGAAATCAAAATATTTATTCACATAATTTTAAACTAAAGTTGAAGCTAATAAATCTTCCATGGCAATGATTTAAGTGCAAGTGATGTTTGGCTTTCTTTCACATTCATTTCTTTTCTTCTGAGTGAAGGCCTATCAGTTATTCTTGAACAAGTCAATACAGCTCTGCAAAAGGGAGACATTGTTCCTGGCATGTTTTATTTCCAGTTCAGACATTTCAATTAGATTCTTTCTAAATGCTGCCACTCTCTTCCGTTTGAAATTTATCAGCTCTTCTTTTGCAGATTTGGAAAGTTGTTCAAATTTCTGGCAGCACTCCTGCTGGTGTACCTCAGCCAACTTGACATCTTTGCTCTTTAACCAGGCCTTATCCAGAGCTTCGTTTGAGTTCTCATAGTCGATGAGGGCTTTGGCACCTGCACCGTATATTTCTAACCAGCAGTATATGAGAGTTCAAATTTCTCCACACCCTCATCAATACCTGGAGGTTTTTTTGTTTTGTTTTTAAACTTTTATTTTAGGTTCAGGGTTCCATGTTCAGGTTTGTTATATAGGTAAACTCATGTCACAGGGGTTTTCTGTACAGATTATTTCATCACGCAGGTACTAAGCCTAGTACCCAATAGTTGTTTTTTCTGATTCTCTCCCTCCTCCCACCCTCCACCCTCAAGTAGACCCCAGTGTCTGTTGTTCCCCCTCTTTGTATTCATGTGTTCTTGTTATTTAGCTCCCACTTATAAGTGAGAACATGCTGTATTTGGTTTTCTCTTCCTGCATTAGTTTGCTAAGGATAATGGCCTCCAGCTCCATCCATGTTCCTGCAAAGGACATGACCTTTTTTATGGCTGCATAGTATTCCATGGTGTATATGTACCACATTTTCTTTATCCAACCTGCCATTGATGAGCATTTAGGTTGATTCCATGTCTTTGCTATTGTGAATAGCGGTGCAATGAACATATGCATGCATGTGTCTTTATGATAGAATAATTTATATTCCTTTCTCACCAATACTTATTACTTAATATTTTTATTAAGGAATTTACACTTGTATATAAATTTAAGTTGAAATTTGAAACTGATCATGCAAATGCTCTGCAGGTACAAACTACATTCCTCATAAAGACAGGATTTAGAAATAAGGAACCCAAACCCCTTAAAGGAGACAGTCATATTGATCTTTAAACTGACTTTGGAATTACGGATCTGAGTTTGAACTCTGTAAGCTCTGTGATTTGAGGTAACTGCCTGAACCTCCATTTTGCTTCCCTAATATGATGACAATAATCATTCCTATTTCCAGAATTGGAGCCAGGATTTGGGGTCCTGAATCTCATACAATTTGAGGACCCATATTTAAGGAAAACAATAGAAAATCATGAATACAAAATTAGGTATACATAATGTCTTAGCTCAGGCTGCTATCACAATATATTATAAACTGGATGGCTTAAACAACTGACATTTATTTTCTCATAGTTCTGGAGTTTGGAAGCACAAGATCAGGTTGTCAGCATGGTCAGGTTCTGGTGAGGGCCCTCCTCCTGGCTTACAGACAGCTACCTTCTCACTGTGTCCTCACATGGCAGAGAAAGACAGCACTTTAGGGTCTCTTCCTCTTCTTATAAGGGCGCTAATTACAAAAATTAGCCAGGTGTGGTGGTGTGTGCCTGTAGTCCCAGCTACTTGGGAGGCTGAGGTGGAAGAATCAACTGAGCCCAGGAAGTTGAGGCTGCAGTGAGCCATGATCGCACTATTGCACTCCAGCCTGGACAATGGAACGGGACTCTATCTCAAAAACAAAACAAAACAAAACAAAAAAAGAAAACCACAAAAAGAATAACACCCATAAGGGAGTAATCATGCTTTTTTCCCTTTCATACAATGTATATCAACATGATTACTTCTTTTTTTAGTTTTGTTTATCTCTGATAGGCAGCTTAATATCTGATATGAACCAAAAAGTCATATGGAACTAATTTTTTAAAGATTCTATTAATGGAATATGTTAAAGGGTAATGGCAATGCCTAGAATATTTAGAATTCTACATAGATTTATCAACCTACAATTGTTATTCAAAAAAGAAGAGATCACCTGGTTGGATCTGTTTTTTCTAGTATTTTCAGACAAGAGAGTTTCTGCATTTCTAAAGAGAAGAAAGGATGGGTTGAGATTAGATTAAGCTTTTCAGCAGAACAATAAGAATCTTTGGCACGGGTATGGGGTTAGGGACCACACTGCTGTTAAGCAGCGAGCTGCAGGTAATAGAGATTTTCGAGTTCGAAAGGCTGCTTCACTCAGCACTGATGTGGGGCTTGCTCTCTGCAGTACTGGGTACACAGCTGCCCTCTACTGGATGAAATGACAATTTACCCAAGTTCATCGAAACTGGAGTTAATTTACTCAAGCATTCATTTAGCTTTCAACAAATATTTATGACTATCTCAGGCACCGTGTTGAGCTTCAGGGATACAGAGGTGGGGAAAACACATTGCCTGCCCTCAAATATCTCACAGGGAATTGAAGAAGACTTATAAGAAAATCAGTGATTGCAACGGAGAGTGTTAAATGCTTTAATAAAGAGTGGTAGCATTTAATAAATGCTTTAATAAAGACTGGCACAGATACTATTGGATTACGAAGAAAACACGATTTATTGTCTACTTTGACTTATTAACTGGTGTGACCCCTATTTGAGACCTCATCTGACAAAAAAATTGAAAATATTCGGTAATTTTACCTTGGAGATGAGGTTGACAGATCAAAAACAAGGCATCCAGTTAAATTTGAATTTCAGACAAATACTGCATGAAATATACTTAAAGTTAAAAACTGCAGTAGTTTTATTTACTTATTTATGGATCTGGTAGTCCTACAAGAAGCCTGCCTCCTCAACCCTGAATTGTTTAAGAACCCCAGGTGGGCTTAATAAGTACCAAGGGACCAACTTTGCTTTCCAAAGGCTATGTGAAGTAAGAACAGGAGTGATCAATCTACTACCATACTGTTATTTTCTGTAGCTGGTGCACTTGTTACTGCCATTCTCACTCCTGTCACTTCATTTTACCATTGAAACAGCAGTCCCTGCATTATCTCTGCACCCCTGCTTATGTTTATGGCAGAGCTACTGATCATCCAGCTTCCTGCAGAGGCCATAGAGATTCTTCTAGGGAGAAGAGTCTCTTTCCCCAAGCCTGTGTTTGTAAGGTTACAGCACCATTGATTGCCCATGCTGGAGTGGCTGGTTTTAGGAAGAGCTTCTGGATGCAGCCTGGGCTGAGTACCGATGCTGGCCACCATTGCCACACTCACCCTGACTTCACCGTGTGCTCATTCATGGAGGTCCTTCGGGGAGACATACTGCCAGCTTTTCCCAGCGGGGACCATCTCAGTTCATCAGAGAAGTTTTAATTATGTTGACCCTAAAGTAGGTCAATGCTTCCCTCTCTTTGCTCTCAGAAGCTCATTGGTTCAGGAGTAAATTTGCATATTTTCTCCCCAGTCTCAAGATTTTCACACCAAAAGAGTATTGGGAGATGAAGCCATTTTCAAGTTGCAGAAAAGTTACCATTACAACCTTTCCCTAGGAAACTGGGTGCATATGTGCCTTTCAATTACGTAACTATTCAAGTGATTCTTTCTACATCACTTACTATACAGAGATGATGCTGGAAATGATTAAATGGTAGCTTTCTCATCAATAAATTAATAATTAACCTCTCAATTGAAGATATCTTTTATTTGGACTTAAGTCAAGAGTATTTGCTGAGCAGCACTTTTTATGTGCCCAGCACTGCCTGGAACTACAGCAATTCGCTCAAAAAAATGTTGAAGACGTGATCTTGTGAAGGTTATAACATCGCTAGGAGCTTAAAATTTGACAAATAAATTATCTGTGCTCTTAGAGTTTGATAAGAAAGTTGTTTATTCTTTTCACTTAGCATAGTACAGTGGGGAAAAAGTGAGGTTTAGAGTCAAAGCCCTTGGATTTGAGTTCTCATTCTACCATTTGTTACCTGTATGTACTTCAGAAATGATTTATCTGTGCTTCAGATTGTTCAACTGCAATATGAGATTAATGGCATTGTTCAGAATTGTTCTGAGGATTAAATGAGATATTAATTTCTTAAAGTTTGGGTCTAACATTCCAGATGACATCAACAATTGATATGAAAATTATGCTAATTTCTTTAATCAATTGAGGAGCCAATAGATACTCTTTTCATTTGTATTGATAATTAGAGAGTACTGGTTTTAGTATTATTTGGTTAACAAAAGTATCCATACCTGCCAAAACACTAGAGGAAAGCAAAAGTAAATATAGCCCACATGACAAAAGATATAAAAGAAAAGAAACAGCAAAGATGCATTAAAAATAGCTAAACCAAGATGACTAATGTCAATGTCAGATATACCTATAAAAGCTTTTGCACTCCTGTTAAAAAAGAAATTAAGCCAGGCACGGTGGCTCATGCCCATTATCCCAGCACTTTGGGAGGCTGAGGTGTGAGGATCGCGTGAGCCTAGGACTTTGAGACCAGCCTGGGCAACACAGGGAGACCTCATCTCCATAAAAAAAAATTAGCTGAGTGTGGTGGTGCATGCCTGTATTCCCAGCTACTGTGAGGCTGAGGCAGGAGGATGGCTTGAGCCCAGGAGTTCTAGGCTGCAGTGAGCTATGATCACACCACTGCACTCCAGCCTGGGTGACAGAGCAAGACTCTATCTCAAAAAAAAAAAAAAGAAAGAAAAGAGATTAAAATGGAATAACATTTAATTGTACACTGTTCATTAGAAATACATGGAAACCAAATGGCACAGAAAAGTTAAAAGCAAAAGATTGGACAGAGAAACAAGAAGCAAATGCAAAGACAGAAGGGGGTAACAATAATAATTCGTTAAAGTAGAATTCAAGAGAGGGAAAAAAACATTTAAAATCTGATAAAGGGATTCATTTTATTTTAATACAAGATCCAATATGCACAATACATAGTATTCATAAAGCTTTATGTACTAAATAATATAGCTATACATATATGAAAAAAGTGACTACAAATTTGAGGAGAAATGGACATTTGTCTAAGACTTAGAAAGATAAAAAGACAAAAATACGAAATATGCCAAAAAAAAGTAAGATTTGAATGGTCTGAATAATACAATCAACAAGATAGATATAATGTGTGTATGTTAAACTTTACATGCTACAGAAGGCAGCAAAAGAAAAAATTAAAAATGCAAATACAAATTATTTTTAAAAAACAATCGTGAAAATAATACTATTTATGAAAACTCATAGGATGAAGCCAATGTATGACCTCAGAGGTAGAGCTATAGTCTTAAAAATGTTTTGTTTTTTAAGAAATGAAAAAGAAAATAAAACATAAACTGGCCAATCAATTCTAGAAAAGAATGCAATGAAACCCCATCTCTACTAAAAAAATATATAAAAATTAGCTGGGTGTGGTGGCACATGCTTGTAATCCCAGCTACTTGGGAGGCTGAGGCAGAGAATCGCTTGAACCAGGAGGCAGAGGTTGCAGTGAGCCAATATTGCACCATTGCACTCCAACCCAGGCGACAGGGCAAAACTCCGTCTCAAAAAGAAAAAAGTAAAGAATGCAAAAGAAGATGAACATTAGCCAATCAATTCAAGACAGTAATATAAGAATAAAGTAAATCTAAGAAAATGATAAGGGATAAAAAGTAATGTTTTAGAAAATAAATTGCAGATTATTATAGTTTTTGTTTCTTTTGGAATTTTAAAAAGAAAAGGATGGAGATAAAGGAAATAGGAGTAAACTGAAGTTGTAGATTTGGTATAGTTTTATAGTGTTGTTCACAAGATACCTCTTTTTTTCAATTTTCTTGTGGCACTCGACCTTGATCCTTTTTTATTTATTTTTGAGAGTAACATCTAGTTTTCCCCTGCTGGTTATAAAGAAACACATGTTCATTGTAGATAATTTGGAAATTACAGAAAAGCATAAAGAAAAAATAAAAATTACCTAAAATCCTATAACACACTGATGACAATTTTCTCTAAAAGATAAGCACTATCCTGATTTTCATGAAAATCACTTCCTTGCTTTTCTCTATCCTTTAGACACATAAGTATGCATACTTACATACCAGTTTGGTTTTGTCTATTTTTAAACTATACAATTGGCAACTCACAATGTACATTCTCTTCTGTCTGACTTCTTTCCCTCAATATTGCTTAGGCAATCCATGCATGTTGTTGCATGTAAATGTAGTTTATTCTGTTTTCATTGCTGTTAAATATTCCAATGAATGAATATGCCGCAATTTTAATTCAGGATATTCCAGTTGTTCCTAGTATTCTGCTATTATGAACGGTATTGCTATGAAATTTTTATACATGTCCCTTGGGTGTAAACTCCTAGGAGTACAATTGCTGGGTACCCTAATTCTTAAGTTGAAAAAGACAGATAATGGTCATGAAGAAGAAAATGAAAAATATATAAATTTTGAACTTTCAATTTATTGTCAAAAATAGATTTTTTTAATTTTTTATTTTTAGACGAAGTCTCAGGCTGGAGTGCCGTGGTTTCACTGCAACCTCCGCCTCCCAGATTCAAGCGATTCTCCTGCCTCAGCCTCCCGAGTAGCTGGGATTACAGACGCATGCCACCACACTCAGCTAATTTTTGTATTTTTAGTAGAGACGGGGTTTCACCATGTTGGCCAGGCTGGTCTCAAACTCCTGACCTCAAGTGATCCACCTGCTTCGCTCTCCCAAAGTGTTGGGATTACAGGGCGTCAGCCACCTTGCCCAACCAAAATAGGTTATTAAGAGGAATAATAAAATTTTATTTCACACGCAGTAAAACTGAAACTTAAAATAAGTTTTTAAAATACCATTGGTTTATAGGAGCATAAACAGAAAACAGAAATTCCGACTGTGTTTTGGTGGGGTAGTGTCATTGACATTAGAATTTGATGATAGTTAAAGAACGTCTTTCCACTAAATTGAACTTATAGTGAAAGAAACATTTTAGGCCGGGCGCAGTGGCTCACGCCTGTAATCCCAGCACTTTGGCAGGCCGAGGCGAGCGGATCACGAGGTCAGGAGATCGAGACTCATCCTGGCCAACATGGTAAAACCCCGTCTCTACTAAAAATACAAAAATTAGCTGGGCATGGCGGCGCCTGGCTGTAATCCTAGCTACTCAGGAGGCTGAGGCAGGAAAATCGCTTGAAGCTGGGAGGCGGAAGTTGCAGTGAGCCGAGATCGCGCCAATGCACTCCAGCCTGGCAACAGAGCTAGATTCCGTAAAAAAAAAAAAAAAAAAAAAATTAATTCTCAGATTTACGGTATTCACAGATCCCTGAAGCTCCTCTTTCAATCCAGTTGTAAAATACACTTAAAACTTGCCTTACAGAAAGTGATTATTGGAAAATGGAATAGTGCATCTTTGTGTGTGTGTGTGTGTGTGTGTGTGTGTGAGAGAGAGAGACAGACAGACAGACAGACAGACAGACAGAATCTCACTCCTTTGCCCAGGCTGGAGTGCAGTGGCGTGAGCTTGGCTCACTGCAACCTCCGCCTCCCGGATTCAAGCAATTCTCCCGCCTCAGCCTTTCAAGTAGCTGGGACTACAGGCGCACGCCACCACGCCTGGCTAATTTTTGCATTTTTTAGTAGAGACTGGGATTCGCCATGTTGGCCAGGCTGGTCTGGAACACCTCAGGTGATCCGCCCGTCTCGGCCTTTCAGAGTGCTGGGATTACAGGCATGAGCCACCGCGCCCGGCCGAATACTGCATCTTTTAAGCTGCCTGTCTTCAGCGTCTTCGCCCCTAAAGGATTCACCCACTGAAGGATGAAGTGACTCTCAGGCCTGCAATTGTAAAACTAAATCTGAGTGACTGGACTGGAAGACTTCGATTCTGTAATCTATATAGCCTCTGAATCAGGCTTTCATAAGCCGCGCTATGAAGTAGAATTAATTTTCTGAGTGCAAGGATTTTTTTTGTTTTTGGCAGAGGAGGTCTCACTATGTTGCCCAGGCTGGTCTCAAACTCCTGAACGCACCTTGGTCTCCCAAAGTGCTGAGATCACCGACCACCGCACCCGACAGAATGAGTCTGGTAAAAATCTTCATGCTTTAGATCCCTGAAACTTGGATGTACTTGTTAGCTCCAAGCTGAAGCCTTAGCTAAGGGATTTGGCCATTAGCTGAGCAACATAAAGTCCTCCCCGATCTTCTAACTCCTTTTGAATTAAATTAGAAAGCCATGACAAAACGATCGTTTTGTTGAAGGCCCACTCCGTGTACACGGAGTAGGCACTGAACACACAGTTTGCTTCAGGACATGGAAAGTCTCTCAGGAGTCCGTTCCTGCGCGGGCCCCACCTACGGGCTTCGAGCTTCCACGTGCAGGGCCTCTGGCTCCGCCCCCGGCGCAGTGCGCAAGCGCCGCTGCTTTCCGAGCTGCCTGCTCACTGTGCGCACCTCGCTGGGGGGTGCTGCTGTGTTCCTGAGGCTTCCAGGGAAGGCAGTGGGCGAAGGTCTGTACCGTGCTAAGATTGAGTCTGAGGAACTGACTGAGCAAAGAAGACAGCTCAAGGTTTGTGGGGAATGTGGCAGATGAGGAGAGGAGGGTTAGCAGCTAGTTTGGTGTGAGGTAAATTAAAATTAAGGAGTGAAGAATGTTAATTATGGGGAGTCTCAGACGCTACTCTTCTGGCTCGGAGCTTCCCGATTAAATTTATTTTTAAAAATAATAAATTTTTTAAAAATGTTAATTATCATTGATTCAGGGACTCTGGGGCCAAAGGTGGGCCTCCGAGGGCCAGGGCAGCCGACTCTACAGGTGAAATGTTTAGCTTTCCTCAGATGCGCGGGTTCCCGCGCTTTCGCTCTCCCTCTGCCCCCGCTGAGCCCCACGGAGCTGGCCCTGCGTCCTTGTTTGCAGCTGAGGAGAAACTCGCTGCTCTGAGGCAGCGAGAGGAGAGAGCGCCACAACTTGGTGGTGGCCTCCGCCTCGCCCTGGCTCCCTGGAGGCGCAGTTTGTAGTCAGCAGAAGGCAGCGCGGAGCAGCCGCGTTGCGCAGGGCGCGTGGGGATCTTCGTGGTGCGTGGGGATATCCGCGGGGGCGGGGAGGGGGCGGGAGCCCCGCCGCCCCGGGACCGCAACTCGGGACTCCTGTGGGACTCGCGACCCTGGAGCGCTAGGGCGGGGAACGCCGCCCGGGTGACTGGCAGTCCGCGCGCCTCATTCTCCCCTGCAGAGCCCGCGCTCGGACCATGCCCGCCTGCGCCGGCTGTCTCGCTGCAGGAGCCGGTGGACGCGGGGGAGCCTCGGTAGGTGAGGGCGGCGCGGGGGTAGCTGGGCTCCGACGCGGGCGCCTGAGGGGAGCGTCCCCCGACTGCAGGAGGACTGGCGCGCCCGGGATGCGGTGCCGCGTGTCCCGGCGCTGTGGCTGTTGTAAGGCTGAGTGGAGGTTTTGCAGGGCTGCTTCGCCCTGGTGGCTCTTGGCTTCCTGGCTCGGCTCAGTGAAGGGAGTGAAACCCCTCGGGTCCCGGCGTGGTGCGGGTGCAGGAAGAGACTCCTGCCTCAGTTTCGTGTGAGCCGCGTCCCAAGCCCAGCCCTGCACAGATCCTTTCAGGCAGTTTCCATCCTCTCCGCGCTCGGGGTTGAGTTTCCGCGTTTGGAATGCTCGGTTTGAGGCGCATGGCCACCGCGCTGGCTGTGTCGGGAGACAGTGCCCAGGGATGATGTTCGAGAAAGTGGAGAGGCTGAGGTCGCTGGCAACTCGGAGACTTTGAAGATACCACGGTTCCCTTCAAGTTTAAAAATGGTGAGCTCTAAGTGCAGTGTGAAGCACCCCAACGCCCTAAGTGCACTGATTGCTTTTGGGGGTGATGGGTGAATATGGGGCTGTTTCAAAGTATGAAGTAGAAGTGATACCATTATTCGCTTTTTTTATTTTTGAATTTCCTTTTTGACGACTATGTGTGTTGGTGGAGAAGGAAGAGAAGTGATACAAGCTTTGGCGAGCGCTGTGGCTCAACGCCTGTAGTCCTAGCATTTTGGGAGGCCAAGGCGGGCGGATCGCATGAGCCCAGGAGTTCGAAACCAGCCTGGGCAACATGGGGAAATCCCGTCTCTACAAAAAATAATAATAATAGTAGTAGTAATAATACAAAAAATACGAAAATTAGCTGATGTGTTGCCACGCGCCTGTAATCTCAACTATTCGGGAGGCTGAGGCAGGAGAATCGCTTGAGTCTGGGAGTTTGAGGCTGCAGTGAGCTGAGATTGCACCACTGCACTCCAGCCCGGGCGACAGAGCGAGACTCTGTCTCAAAAAAATAAAAATAAAGTGGTACAAGCTTTAATTAAAATGTCGTTGAGTTCACATTGAGAAAATGGTTAAATTTATTGAATATTTTTAAAAGATTTTAAGGTTCATCCAAAATATATCATCGCTGCTTGAAAGGGAGAGTTCGTTTTAACAGTTGAAGTTAAGGGAACTGGAGGAGTGAAATCAGTATTTAGAGATACGTTTAATGCTTTGTTATTGCCCACTTTCTTAAAGGCCTTTAATTAAAAAACAAAACATAGATCTTTCTTTACCTTATTGCAAAGATATTTTAAAATCTGAACCCTACCTAATCATAAAGATGTCAAAATTTGAGGGAGAGTGCTTAAGCATCAAAACCCATGTATGTTTTCTTTTTTAAATAAATTATTTGGATGAGTGCCAAATAATGCCATGTAATCCTAGGACTTTGGGAGGCCAAGGTGGGAGATTGCTTGAGGCCAGGAGTTCAAGACCAGCCTGGGGCAACATAGTCCCCGTCTCTACCAAAAAAAAAAAAAAAAAAAAAAAGGCCAGGCGTGGTGGTGCAAGCCTTTGGTCCCCAGCTATTTGGGATGCTAAAATGGGAAGATTGCTTGAGCCCGGGTGGTCAAGGCTGCAGGAAACCGTGATCACATCATTGCAGTCCTGGGCAACAGAGTCAGACTCTATGAATTCTGTAAAAGAATTCATGGAACTAGGCAAACATAAGAAATTACCCGTAGGAGTCTTATTGGCCAGTGGGAAGAAAGCATAAGAACTTCCACTGGCACTTTTTGAAATTTTAATCCTAGCAGCTAGTGATAATTTCCGCTTTAGTATATGGCTTTAGTATGTTAAAAAATGTTTTACAAAATCAGTGAAGTATAATTATATTGCTTTTACTCAATTTCAGGAGATCCGAAGGTCACTTTTTCTCCCAGCACACCTACTAGTGTACTTGAGCACTTTAAAGTTTTTTTTTTTTTATTGTACCGAAGGATGATATACTGTACTGGATTACAAAATTTCTTCAAGTTAGAGAAAACAATCATGATTTTCACAGTACCCAAAAATTTTGGAAAATTGGCAGTTTTAATTTTTGGTAAATGTACTGCTTTGGTCTGCTTTTGCTATGTTCCTATTTCTCATTTATTTCAAAATAGCTTGGCTTCATGAAGGATGATAGAGGGGATTTGAAGTGCCTACATGTTATCCTGTTAGGTCTAATGGAATCTCATTAAATCTCCAGCCCCTGAATGTGTTGCACAGTTGGGATTAGTTTTCCTCTGAATCTATTAAATGTGATATCAAAGGTGAAAAATAACCTCATCTTCTTTCCGTTTATATTTTGTTACTTATCTTTATCAAAGAGGAACTAATTTTTTTGTTCAATTAAGCATGTTTAAAATTGATGTTCTGTGGTGATTTACTCTTGCTTTGTAATAATACTTCCAAGCTTTATAAAGTTAGTCAAGTAGTAGGGCAAGATGATCAGAAATTAACTTTTCAGAAATAGCTCTATTTCACAAAGGGAGGTAAACTCACATGACAAACTAAGCAAAGTTCAGAAAATTTAAAACTTGTATGTAAATTTGATGATTGCTTTAATGAACTACTTTGCTTATTAGGATAGTCCCCGAAGTCTGGTAGCAATCCTATATCCTTGGAATGTGCAATCCACATAATGCAAAGCCTTTGTGATTGCTGCCCTTTGAAAATAATGATAGCTAGCTGCTCCTGAGGGGGGAGTGGGGGCGGGGGGGGGTCTGTCTTTAATTACAGCAGCTGAGACTTTGGCACAGATGCAGTTTCTGCTTTCACCAATGTGACTGAATACATGTGGACAATTAAATCCTTATCCAAACCCAGTTTTGCATAGCTCTGTTCGTGCCTATTAGACCCTAGGTATACAAAACATATTTTGATTTTTAAGGTTTATCTGAGGTTTAATTAAGCTACTGTAACTAAATTTGAAGATTTTTTAGGATAATGATTAATAAAATAACTGATTTGAGTATCTAGTTTGTCCTGATATAAATCTAAAACTACACACAATCACTGTTAATATGCCTCAAGGGGGGAAACTTTGCCAATAAAGATAAAACTTCATTTCTTTTATGTGTTTAAAAGTAAGCTTGTGAGCTCTGGTACATTTACACGTTGCACAGCAAGACTTTAAGGGTGTGTGTGAGAAAGAATATGAATGCGGAAATGGCATTTTTATATTAAAACAGCAGGAACCATTGTAATCTAGTATTCTAGAGGGTTCTTAGGATACATGGACTTGTGTGATTACTTGAAGCCCCTAACTGTATGCAAAAATGTGTGGATTGTGTTAATTTTTGTTGAAGAAAAGATCTATGACTTCATCAGATTCTTTAAAGCATGTGAGACACCCCTCTTATCAAAAACAAAGTTAGCAGTAATATCGAGAGATGAACACATTTCAGTTTTATGAACTGAAGTAGCTAAATAGTGAAAGAGCTAGGATTCAAACATAGGTTTTTAACTGCCAATCCTTTGCTTCTTCTGTTAGTCCACAATTATTGTACCTTGTAACCTCTTTTCCGGATGGGGCAGTGTTCTCCACTCTGTGGCTTACAGTAAAGCTTTGTTTAGAGAGAGACTTCAAGCTCATGTAAGCATTTAATGTAGGATCTTAGCAAGAACTATGAGCAAAAAAAATGAATTGTATGTAAAGGAGATATATAGGCAAATATTTTCTCGATATACATAGATGAAAACATTACTATAAATTTTGTGCCATTAATATAATAGAGCAAGTCAAAAGGGAGAAAGCATGCCAGCACAGTGGCTCACACCTGTAATCCTAGTAATTTGGGATGCCGAGGCAGGAGGATCGCTTGAGTCCAGAAGTCGGAGACCACCCTTGGCAATATAGCAATGCCCTGCCTCTACAAAAAATTAAAAAATAGGGTCAGGCACAGTGGCTCATGCCTGCAATTCCAGCACCTTAGAAGGCTGAGGTGGGAGGATCACTGGGACTCAGGAATTCAAGACCAGCCTGGGCAACGTAGTGAGACCCCATCTCTACAAAAAATTTAAGTATTAATGTGATGCGGTGGCACATGCGTATAGTCCCAGCTCCTGGGTAGAGGGGGTAGGTTGCTGAGGTGGGAGGATCACTTGAGCCTGAGAGGTCAAGGCTGCAGTGAGCCATCACTGTGCCTCTGCATCAGCCTGGGCGATGAATTCTTTTATAGAATTCATAGAGTCTGACTCTGTTGCCCAGGAGTGCAGTGATGTGATCACGGTTTCCTGCAGCCTTGATCACCTGGGCTCAAGCAGTCTTCCCATTTCAGCCTCCCAAATAGCTGGGGACTAAAGGCTTGTGCCACCATGCCTGGCTTTTTTTTTTTTTTTTGGTGTAATTATATATAAATTAGATATAAAATTTTATATCTAATTTATATATAAATTTTATATCTAATTTATATGTATTTTATATATAAAATTTTATATATAATTTATATATAAATTATATATAATATATAAATTAGATATAAAATTTATATATAAATTATATGTAATTATATAATTAAATATAATGTATATTAATTTATATATAATAAATTATATATAAATTTTGTATATACATTTTATATATAATTTGTATATACATTTTGTATATAATTTATATATACATTTTATATATAATTTATATATACATTTTGTATATAATTTATATATACATTGTATATATAAATTAGCCAGGCATCCTGGCATGCGCCTGTAGTCCTAGATACTCAAGAGGCTGAGGTGGAAAGATTGCTTGAGCCCAGGAGTTCAAGCGTGCAGAAAACTGTACGCAAATTTTGAATATTATCCAGTCACCAGGAGAAATAAACTGGAGTACTGATCACAGCATTCTAGGCAGAGAAATGAACTTGACTCTTGTGATGCTGTCAGGCACACAATGAGCCATGATTGCACCACTGCACTCCACCCTCCAGCCTTGGCAACACAGCAAGATCTTGTCTCTAAATAAGGAAAAAGCTTTTATTAAATCAACAACAAATTCTTCAGTGGTATAATTACATAGGGCAATGGTGGTTAGGAAAGTCTATAAACTCTTTGAGTTTAGAATGGTATTCTTACGAAGATTTATACAACCTTTACATCTGTATGGTATGTTTTATATAAAGTCACATTTGGCCAAGGAGTAAGAATCAGCTTAAGTGAACAGCAAAAGAAAAAAAAATTGTTTTAAGTTCCTCAAATCCATTTTTCTCTCTAGAAAATGCAATTTTTTGTGTCTTTCAAGCCCATGCTAATCAATTAAACCTAGTGTCTTTCTGTGCCTTGGTTTTTTCATATGTAAAATGGAAAATTTTCATACGTAAAATGGGAAAATCTGCTTATAAATTATTTTGGTTGACTGTCTTCTGCAATATTGTCTTTTTCATGGGTCTTTCAAGCCTATTCCCAGCAGTTAAACCTAGTGTTTTAGTTTTTCCTAAGGTATTACATGCCTGCTTATCCAAGGTACAAATACAAGCACTTTAATATATGCTTGTTCTCTCTCTCTTTTTTTTTTTTTTTTTCTTTTGAGATGGAGTCTTGCTCTGTCACCCAGGCTGGAGTGCAGTGGCACAATCTCGGCTCACCACAAGCTCCGCCTCCCGGGTTCACATCACTCTCCTGCCTCAGCCTCCTGAGTAGCTGGGATTACAGGTGCCTGCCACCACACCAGGCTAATTTTTTTTTTTGTATTTTTAGTAGAGATGGGGTTTCACCATGTTAGCCAAGATGGTCTTGATCTCCTGACCTCATGATCCTCCCACTTCAGCCTTCCAAAGTGCTGGGATTACAGGCGTGAGCCACTGCGCCCAGCTGCTTGTTCTCTTTTAAGGCTAAAACAGAAACAAAGACTTCCCAGGTCAATAAATAATATAACTATTTGAAGAAGAATGGAGGAATGTTAGATGATTAACATTAAACTGTGAGGATTAAAATATTATGCCTCTTTATTTGATTAAACATACATTAATAATAATAGCCAATACTTATATAGCGCTTTACCATAAATGAGTCACTGTTCTGTGTGTTGTAGTAATCAATATAGCAGAAGAGTGTTGATTAACTGAATTAATCTACTAAATACTGTTATTTTTTTCCCATTTTACGTATGAAGAAACTGAGGCACAAAAGTATAGGTAATGGGTCTAGCGTTGCAGTCAGTAAGGGGCAGATAAAATTTGGGTTTTGGGGGTTTTCTTGTTTGTTTTGTTTTTTGAGACAGGGTGTCACTCTCACCCAGGCTGGAGTGCAGTGGCATGATCACAAGGCTCATTGCAACAGCCACCTTCTGAGCTCAAGCAATCCTCCCACCTCAGCATCCCGAGCAGCTGGGAATACAGGTGTGCCACCATGCCCAGCCTTTTTTTTTTTTTTTTTTTTTTTTGTATTTTTTGTAAAGACAGGTTTTCGCCATGTTGCCCAGGCTGGTCTTGAACTCCTGAGCTCAAGTGATCCACCGGCCTCAGCCTCCCAAAATGCTGGGATTATAGGCGTGAGCCACAGACCAGGTGGTCTGGCTTCACCAAACTGCCACCAAAAATATTATCTCTTATCCATGGCGTGAATAAGTCAAATAATTTTCTCTTAAAAATAATCTATCTGAATTATGCTAAATTTTTTAGAGGAAAATTTTTTGCTTGGTACAAATTTGCAGTCTGAAAATTACTCTATTTTGGTGATCTGGTATTTAATATGACAATTCAAAAGTAGGACTAAAATTTTTAGTCTGACAAAGGAATAGCAGCATCCCAAGAGTTCATTCTCTGCCTAGAATGCTATGACCAGTACTCCAGTTTATTTCTCCTGGGGACTCAATAATATTCAACTTTTGCCTACAGTTTTTTTTTTTTTTTTGAAGTCTTTTTAAGTCTTCAGTTGGTCTATTTGGTATAATTCCCACCAGGTTTGTTGCAGTACTTTGACATTGCACGATCAAACAGTTTCTGAAGAATTTTTGAGAAGCCTGTTTGTTACTAAAGTCAGGTAGAATCTTAAAATGAATGTTAGAAGTAGACAAGTTATATTAAAATTCATTCTTGATAGGGACATTAGTAAGAAGGCACATGAATTGCTAGTTGTTAGCTTTGTTACCCCCACATTTAATGTAAGTACCTAAAGAAAATGTGTAAGTGAACTCTTTCATGAGAAAGATGTATAATTAGATACATTTAGAAATTTATAATTGTGTATTAGTGTTTTTCTGGGCATAACTCCATTACAGTATTAGATAACTTGTTTTAACCTTATCAAGTAATACATTTTTTTAATTTTAGGTTCAGCAGATCATAAAAGGTGAATAATGGTCAGCAGCTATGTTTTTCATACTAAAATGTGGAAAATAAAGCTGTTGACTTCTTTGAATTAACACAGAAAGATAGTTTAATGTTTTAAAATGGGAGGAATATTTTATATGCAAGATGACGTCATGCACACCTCATTGACATTGAAAGAGAAGCTGAGGAATACTTGTGGTTTTTAACCGGAAAACAACTCACAGGGGGAGGAAAAGTTGATTCAGTATTGGTCAATCCTAGTTAGAAATTTATGAATTTCTAGTTAAAAATGTATTACCTATATAGCTATTTTCCTACATTAATCAAAATGAATTGTGTGAATATTTAGTTATGACCAATTTCAGGGTTTAAATAAGGTCCTTTTTTTTTTTTTTTTTTGAGACGGAGTCTCACTCTGTCACCAAGGCTGGAGTGAAGTGGCACCATGTTGGCTCACTGCAACCTCCATCTCCTGGATTCAAGCAATTCTCCTGCCTCAGCTTCCTAAGTAGCTGGGATTACAGGCGCCCACCACCACACCCGGCTAGTTTTTATATTTTTGGTAGAGATGGGGTTTCCCCGTGTTGGCCAGGCTGGTCTCAAACTCCTGACCTCAGTTGATCCACCCACCTGAGCCTCCCAAAGTGGTGGGATTACAGGCGTGAGCCACTGAGCCCAGCCTAAATAAGGTCGTTTTATTATTATTTCCTTTCCAAGACTTGTAGTTATTAATTCCCTTGAAAGTTGTGTCATTATCTTTAATCATCTGATTATTTCTTTGTATTTCCCTAATGTCTTTTAAAAAGCCTCATAACCATAATAGATTAGTAACTAATCCCTGTGCTTTTATGACAATTCCCAACTTCTTTTGCATATAATTTCCATCTGTTTGAGCAGAGAATACACTCAGTTTGGGGTTGTACATGATTGATCTGTCCTCATCTTTCACAACCTATTAGCACAGTCATCTTCCATATTTCATACCCTTCTAACACCATATCTGATTTCAAGGACCTTGGCAAGGTAATTATCTCTCTGTTTATATCTGCATAGGGAAGACAAGTGGCTTTAAGCAGGCAAAGTGGTGACTTTTTTGCCATTCTCAGTTTTTCGCTATCAGTAACACAGAGGATGGCATTTGTTATATTTAATGCTTGGGCTGAAAAAAGAATGCTGATTTGTAGAAGGATAGGTAATCCAGGTAATCTTCCTGGTGGAATAAGATGCAAGTTATCCTGTGCTAGCTTACTTTATGGTAGAGTGGGTCTATTTCAGTCAAGCCAGTCAGAATATGTCCTTTTTGAGAAAGCTGAAGGAAGGACTAGGACTGAAGGATTGAGTGAAAAGTTGAGCTGTTTCTCACCTTTCTCTGCAACCAGGATGACCTTGGCCTTTTTGTGGAACTCAATCTGTTTGTACTGCAGCTCCTAGACTCCAAAGGGAAAGAAACCAAGGGAGTCCTAACCCCTGGGGGCCCCTTAACTTTGATTTTTCCCCGTGATGAAAAGCAGCTGGACTGGAAGTACTCCTCCCCATAGCCTGGGCTCTTGGGACAGTCTTTTAAACATGTAAATTATTTTTAAGTCTGCTCTCATTTGACTATATAATTAGATAGATACAGGATCCTCCTTGGACCTAGAGGAGAGCCTGCCCCAAATTTTTAGAGAAATACATCCATACAGCATAGGTCATTAAAACAAGATTATAATTTGAGTCATCACAAAATCATGGAAATCTTTGAGTGCCAGTTTTGGCTTCTAGTTTGGGAAACCCTTCATAATGGAGGTTGGTTGATTCAACATAGACTATGTAATATGCATTATCAAAATAAAATAGTTTAACCACATAGTTTAAAAGCATAATCCCTCTCTTGCCTTTTCCCTGAGGGGCAACAGACAAAGTCTGTGCAATAAATATGAACACCTTGAGAAATGTACTGGTAATCCTCAGACATTTCCTTCCTGGAATACTTAAATTCTACTGTGCTTCATCACCTAGATTGGTGGTTCTCAAACTGTCGTTTCTCTTCACTATCAATGTCACCTGGGAATTTATGAGAAATAAAAATTCTTGGGCCTTAAACATACAGAATTAGAAACTCTGGAGGTGGGACCCAGTAATCTGTATTTTAATAAGCCCTCTAGGTGATTCTGATACACACTGAAGTTGGAGAATCACCAATCCCTTTGATCATCAAGGATGAACCATAGTTTTTTGCTTTGCTGGTCTGTTACTTCACTATAAATATTTTATTGCCCATGTGGATATTACTGCATGTGTATACCAGGAATTGGCAACCTGTGTTAGTACTACATTGAATGATACCCAAGTTAAAATTGTTAGTGACCTTCACAGTTCTTTTCTACTTCCTTGTCTTCCTTCTTGCAGAGTGCCTGAAACAAGGTAGCCACTGGATAATTTGTTAATTGAATGCCTATCTTCCCCCCTTCCTGCCCTCCCCCTGCAAAAAGCAAAATCACGTTTTCATTTATCTTTTGGTTTCTTCCTCTGCAGGAGCTTTAAGCCTGAAAGTGAAGTTCCCAGTTGCAAGTATTTCTTTTTCCTAATAGTGACTCTGGCTAAAAGAGATTCCTGATACATTAAGGAAAAAAAAAAAAAAAGGAGGAAAAGGAAAAAATAGTTCTTATATACCTGATTAGATGCCTTCCTCAGAATTATCTTAGACCAGCGGATCTCAAACTTATCTTACATCAGAATCACCTGGAGAACTTGTCAAACCACAGATTTCCGGGCCCAGCCTCTAGATTCAGTAGGTCTGGGATGAAGCCAGAGGATTTGCATTGCCAACAAGTTCCCAGGTTGTGCTGATGCTGCTGATCTAGGGACCACAGTTTGAGAACCACTTCCCCTAGTTCACTAGACCAGAAATACAGGTAATTTCATGATGTACTTGTTAGGTGTCCCCCAGCTTGCGTAGCCAGTGATCTATAATTAGGAAGTATAGGACATGTCCAGGTGACAAACTTTGTTAAGTAGTAGTTTTTTCTAGCTCTATGCCTTTCCATATTCCAGAAGTTAAGATCTTCTCTTTCAACATAAGACTTTTTTCAGACTTTGAAAACTTCCTCAGACTTACTTGTCTAAATAATTGAGGTTGAGTGGAATAGATTTTTACCCAACTCTTACCACACTGATTACTTCATTTCTCTGCTTCTGTTTCTTTTTATTTCAAGCTTAATTTTTCCAATATTATTATATACTCAAACATACGTTGCTTAAGTTGATATTGTTTATCTGTTTTCTGTACTCCCATACAATTTCCTGAAGAATGGGAAATGGGCATTTCTTCTGGATTTTTTCTCACAGCTAAACACAGTTGTTACAGACTTGACTCCTTGTCACTTGGATTCTTATTATGAAACACATCCTTAGCATCTCCTTAAACAGAGATTGAAAACAGATGAAACTGAGGCCTTTTTTCCAAACTCTTCTGTAAGCCTTTTTTTCTTGCTAAACAAGTGGTTTTAAGGAGGAAAAATTGAAATGTTAATCAATACAGAATTCTTGTATTTAATAGGAACTTTAGTTAAATATTTTCAACCATATCTATGCAAACACTATATTCCTGTGCAGATTAATCTTCTGCAGATTAAATTTATAGGTACTCTACTAGATAGCTTCTGGTAGAGAAAAAAGCTATTGAAGACCATTTTGGTTTTTCATTTTCTTTTTTTGTTTGTTTGTTTTGAGACAGGCTCTTATTCTGTCAACCAGGCTGGAGTGCAGTGGCACAAACACAGCTCATTGCAGCCTTGACTTCCTAGGCTCAAGTTATCCTCGCACCTCAGCCTCCTGAGTAGCTAGGACTACAGGCACGCCTGGCTAATTTTTTAACTTTTTGGTCCCACTATGTTGCCCGAGCTGGTCTCAAACTCCTGACCTCAAGCAAGCTTCCTGCCTTGGCCTCCCAAAGTGCTGGGATTACAGGTGTGAGCCACCATGCCCAGCCCTAGTTTTTCTTTTCATGGAATATCACCCATGAATTGTAGAAAGGTTTACCAAATCAGTACCTTCTTTGTTAAAACCTGTGGTTGGTGTGGTTCTGTAATTTCAGTGTCCTGTAGCCAACTTTTCTTTTTCCTATTGCAGGGATTTTGTATGCCACTCTTTTGCCATTCCAGAAAGTCTGGAACAGCTCTGTGCAAGTGTCTTTGTGTTGACATCCTCCCTTGAGAACTTTCATGATCAAATTAAGACAATTGGTAACATCTTCATGCATATTTCCTTTCTTATACATGACAGTTGTGTTAACTTACAAGTTTGCTTCAGATTCTTATTAATGTACTAACTTAAAAACTATCTTTCAACTTACTATAATTACAGTAGACATAGAAATGTCATCAGTCATCAGTTTTCAAATACACATATTACTCATATAATTGTTGCTAAATATTTCATGTTACTAATGATATCCTTATGTGAATGCTGGTGAGAGAGATGGATCATCACTATCACAGTACTCAGAATTTCTGGTTCCCAAATTATTTGACATTTTATTTTTATATGCCAGTCTCTCATTTTAATTACCCTGATATTGCATGGTTATATTTGTCCCTGATTATTTCTTTTTATTCTCTACGTTTACTTCTTTGGGTCTCTTAGACAATGACAATTAAAGCACTTGAGTAAAATATACACGAACTAGTAAGTCAGTAAAGGATAAGATGTTCTTTTATTTATATGATGAGTTCTAAAATATTTTCAAAGACCAATCTACAGTGTCAGCTTTAAATAGCTTTTGACCTTTTTTTGGATGCTTAACTTGGAGAAAAGAAAAAAGATCTAGAATTTGGAGTAAATCTCAAATTTTGCTAAATGTTTCACCAATAAAAGTTACCTTTTCTTGAAAATGCATAGCATTTTAAATATATTAATTAGTACCATATAGAGATATACCTTATAATCACTAGTATTATCTTGAAATCACGAAATAAGTTAAAAGTTGTCTAGCTTCACAGGAACATGAAAGCTCATTATAATAGGTCATTAGGATTTGGGCTAATTATAGTTTTCTGTTGTCTCCATGGTGCATACGGTCAGAGTTAGGGTTTAAATGCCTCTAGAAAGAAATACAAGAACGGAGTTGGGGCCAGGTGCCATGGCTTACTCTTGTAATCCCAGCACTTTGGCAGGCTGAGGCGGACAGATCACTAGAGGTCAGGAGTTCAAGACATGGTGAAACCCCATCTCTACTAGAAATACAAAAATTAGCCGGGCACGGTGGCACATGCCTGTAATCCCAGCTACTCAGGAGGCTGAAGCAGGAGAATCGCTTGAACCCAGGCAGCGGAGGTTGCAGTGAGCCGTGAGCCAAAATCATGCCACTGTACTCCAACCTGGGTGATAGAGTGAGTGAGACTGTCTCACACGCACACACAAAAAGAACGGAGTTTGAATAGTGTAGTGGTTTAGATCCATACTTAAGCATCAGGCCTGGACTTGAAAACCAACTTACCAGTTTGGTTACCTCGGATAAGTTTCTTAACCTTTCTGAGTCTGTTGTTCTCATCTGAAAATGAGAGCAACACCATCAATCTGTGAAGATAAAATGAGATACTGTATGTAAGCTACCTATACTGTGTGTAGCATGTATCATAACTGCAGTGATTGACTAAAAATCAATGTTTTGTGCTGTATGTAAAAACACTAGAGCAAGCTCATGTGCTGCGTTACAGGTGGTTTTCCCAAGTAGAGCTGCGTGAGATTGGTGAGCTGACACTGGGACTCTGGATAGCAGATGAGAATGTACTGAAGGGAAGAAAAAGAGAAAAGCTTATTGAGAAAAGAGGAGGGAAAGAAGAGGGAGGAATGGAAAGGCTTGAGAGAAGGAACTGAGATATGCAGAAAACAGACAGCTCCCTCCCCCAGAATGGAACAGGAGTGAAAGGGAGACAGAAACCAGGAGGAAAAAAATGAATAGAGAAGACAATGAAGAGATAATTATTGGGCTGGGGGAGCTTCTGATCATAATTCTCTACATGTTTCTGTTTTTATTTTTATTTTGTAGATGTTCCCTTATCAGTTTTCATGTATGGACTGAGTACTGATTATAACTGTGTAATGCTGGATGCCATTGAAGAGTGGTAAGTATTTCAAATAATGGCTTTGTTACTGCTTTATTTATACCTTGTTGATTTATTTTAACTACTTTACAATTGATTTATAAATAATTCGGCAATAAAGAAGATAGATGAAGAGTGTCTTTTATCACACATTGGAATACTTTAAAGTATGTAAATATTTATTCTTGATGATAATAGTTATTGGGTACTGTCTTAATCTACTCGGGCCACTACAACATAATATAAACTGGGTAACTCATAAACAACATAAATTTATTTTTCACAGTTCTGGAAGCAGAGAAGTCCAAGATCAAGGTGCTGGCAGATTCAGTGTCTGGGATGATGGGTGCTTTCTCATAGGTGGTGCATTTTCATTGTGTTATTGCGTGGTGGAAGGAGGTAGCTAGCTCCCCTGAGGGTCTTTAATAAGTATGCTAATCCCATTCACGAGGGGTCTGTTCTCGACTTAATCATCTCCAAAGGCCTCACCTCTTAATACCATCACTCTGATGTTTAGGTTTCAACATGTGAGTTTCACGGGGGCACGAGCATTCAGACCATAGCAGGTATTTATTTTATAAGGAAGTATACTTTGTGCTGGAGATAGAAAAATGGGTAAATTGTAGTCCAGTGGAGAATATTGTCCCGTACATAATTGACCTTAATTTAGGGTAGGTATTGACACTTTCAATAACTAATTTGAAAGTCAAGCCAATATGCAAATATCGCTTAGAACATTTGTGGTATTCAAGGTTTGGAATTACTGTTTGAACCAATACATAAGCAGGGCAAGAAAATGAGGCCCAGCTTAGTGGCTCATGCCAGTAATCCCAGCACTTGAGAGGCAGAGGCAGGAGGATTGCTTGAGGTGAGGAGTTTGAGACCAGCCTGGGCAACATAGCAAGACCTTGTCTCTCAAAAAATAAAATAAAAAATTAGTCTGGTGAGGTGGCATGTGCTTGCAATCCTAGCTACTTAGGAGGCTGAGGCAGAAGGATTGCTTGAGCCCAGGAATTCAAGGTTACAATGAACTGTAATTGTACCATTGCACTCCAGCCTGGGTGTCAGAGTGAGATCTTGACTCTTAAAAGAGAATTAGTTGCTTTTTAGACAGATTCTTAAAATTTTTATATTTTTAGTCAAAAGTGGTTTTGTCACATTTGGTTACCCACATATTAATCATATGGATTTTAAATGATTTTTGGTTGATTCTAAAGTGAAATTCACTCTCAGCAGATGGGAATTGGACCCACTATTGACATTTAAAAAGCAAAAATACCATAGTCATGGAAGGAAATACTCTAGGCAAATAAATGTTCTAAGTAATTGGAAAGGTAGAGGAGGAATTTGGACTGTTTAATGTAATGAGGCTATCCAATTTTTAAGGCATCGGCTTGCATACAGTGTACAATTTCTTGCATATGCCTATATGTGGAGCCACAGAGAAAATGTAGATAGAGCCTGAAAGTGGTAGGAAGAGGGATAGGTGTTAGGAGGAGGCAAAATATTTTACAGTTTACAATACAACTTTAAACCTTACCAAAACACAAATGAGGAAAGTAAAGCTTAGGAGCAGACATCTAGTGAGTGGCAGAATCAGGACAAGATACCTACGTCTGCCGACTTCTTGTTCAGAATATTTTATTTCATAAATCCTTTCAAAAAAATTTTTTTCAACCCGATTTTGTAAAGACAATTTGGAAGGGAAGTGAAAGGTTGGTTTGTTAAATCACAAAGGTGTGAATTTCCTAGCCAGGTTATCTTTAGCTACTTGTCACTGGTTGGCCCTGAGAATTTAGATACCCTCCCACCACCCCACATATTTTAAATGGTCACTCTGATCAGTTCTAGACTTTTTTGCATTGGGGGAAAAAATTGCTTTCAGTCTTAGAGTCTTCAAAATAAATCTGGAAGAGGCTTTGTTAGCACTTCATAATAGATTTATTACTTTTATCCAGATACTAAGATTTTATTCTCCCCAAATAAATTACTACAGTTTTACTATAAATTTTTAAGGGTTTAGAGATGTGTAGTGCATTCTAATGTATGAGGCTTTCTTTTGATACTGCATATCTTTCTGAGGAAGTGGTCAATATGGGCACTGATTCTAAGAAGCACACAGGTTCTGCTTGTCTAAATCTTTTAAACTTAAGTAAAACAAATATCAACAGAATGGGGGCATTCTTTTGGGGAGTTATGTTGACTTTTTTTTTTTTAATCGTATGGTTCTGGTAGTGAGCTGAGGTAACTACTGGAATTATTAACGTAGTTGCTATAAGCCTTTGTCTCTGGATCACACTAATGCCCTCTAAGGAAGTGGACTGAATAGATGGTTCATCTTCTCCAACAGAATTTGGTAATCTGTTTCTAAAAGACTGAGATTTGGCAGTGGCAAAGTAAACAAGATGAGTGAAAATAGATGAAAAATGGCCTACGTCCTAATAACCATTTTAAATAAAATTAAAAGCGTGATAAAACTACTGCCATGCATTCTTTGCTCTTTGGCTTCTAGTTTTCTATTCATTTGATATAAAGAGGATGGAGATAACCCAGAAACACTTTTTTTAATAACTTCTACCTCATATGTATAAGATTGAGGGGAAGTTTAAAAAAACTTTACGGGTCGTCATTGTCCTGCATTTAGGCATTCCAGATGTTCCAGTCTTCTCCCAAGTTCCAAGGTACCAATAGTCGAACTTCACATTAAAAGATTTGAGAAAAAATGAAAGAACTTCACAAGTCACTGTGATGGTACTGAACTTTCTTTAAATGTATGTGTTTGGCCAGGCATGGTAGCTCACACCTATTGTAATCTCAGCACTTTGGGAGGCCAAGGTGGATGGATCACGAGGTCAGGAGATCGAGATCATCCTGGCCAACATGGTGAAACCCCGTCTCTACTAAAATACAAAAAATTAGCCAGGTGTGGTGGCAGATGCCTGTAGTCCCAGCTACTTGGGAGGCTGAGGCAGGGGAATTGCTTGAACCTGAGAGGCAGAGGTTACAGTGAGCCGAGATCGCACCACTGCACTCCAGCCTGGGGACACAGTGAGACTCTGCTCAAAAAAAAAAAAAAAAAAAAAAAAGCATGTGTTTAAAAGGTGTTGACATGTAAACCCTTGAATAACCTATACATTTACCTAATGGAATGTCACATAATGGCTTCATAGGTGTTGAGTCTGAGCTCCGTTAAAAAAAAAAAAAGATCTAATACTTAACCAGATACTCATGCCTTAATTGGCAGAGAAAGGTCAGCAACATTCTTTAAGTCCAATAAGAGGATTATTAATAGATGGATTTTACTGATAGCCTCTTAGGGGCATCCTCTGACCCTTCAACAAAGCTTGGTTTCAAACTTCTAGTCCATGAAAAGCAATGTATTATTTAACTTTACCCCTTCAGTACCCCATCACCAATTCAGCAGTCATTTGTTGACAGTCTTTTTTTTTTTTTTTTTTTTTTTTTGAGATGGAGTCTCGCTTTGTCGCCTAGGCTGGAGTGCAGTGGTGCAATCGTGGCTCACTGTTGACAGTCATTTTGTGCAAGGTTGACATCTAAGTCATTATACTACATATTTTTTTTGGTATGGGCCTTTTCCATCTTACCATACAGATTATGCTCTTGCTGACTAAAGATCAGTTCAAACTAACCTATAGGAGATCTTCTAAAAATCCTCTGTCTTGGTGCATTCAGGCTGCTGTAACAAAATACCATAAACTGGGTAACTTATAGACAACAGAAATTTCTTTGTCACAGTTCTGGAGGCTGGGGAATCCAAGATCAAGGTGCTGGCAGATTTGGTAGCTGGTGAGGGACTGCTTCCTGGTCCACAGACAGCTGTCTTTTCGCTGCATCTTCACATGGTGGAAGCTACAAAGGAGGTCTTCACAGTCTGTTTGTAAGGGTACCTTCATGAAGGCACCACCTTTCATACCTAATCAGCTTCTGAAGGCCCCACCTCCCAATACCTTCACATTAGGCTTTTTCTTTATGTTTTTTGTTTTCTAACAGTTTGATAGTTTTAACTCTTATCTTTAATCTTTGACCCATTTGCAGTTAATTTTTTTACATGGTTTAAAGTAAGAATCCAACTTCATTCTTTTGCACATGGATATCCAGTTTTCCTGGCACTATTTGTTGCAGACTGTGCTTTCTCCCACTGAATGGTCTTGGCACCCTTGTGGAACATCATTTCACCATATATGTGAAGGCTTATCTTGGAACTCTTCTTCCTATTTTATTGGTCTTAGATGTCTGTCTTTATGCCTGTTCCAAGCTTTAAAGAATATGAGTTATGGAAATAGTGAATGAATTAATAATATATATCAATCATACTGGAAGCAGGGTATTATAAACAAACGATAACACACACAAAAATAGGAGAATTGGAGTTGAGACTTAAGATGTTGGAATTATCAAATACGGATTTTTTTTAGAGACAGAATTTTTTTTCTTGCTACATTGCTATGTTGCCCAGGCTGGAGTACAGTCATAGCTCACTACAGCTTTGAACTCATAGGCTCAAGCAGTTCTCCCACCACAGCCTGCCACGTAGCAGGAAGTACAGGTGTAAACCATCACACCCAGTTTAAATACAGTATATTTTTAAAGAAATGAGAAAGGCTTTAAAATGTGAGAAGCAGATTTTTTTAAGAACCAAATATAACCTTTATTAATGAAGATAGTAATAATTATAGTTAACTCAATGGACTAGAAGCAGATTAGACCTAGCTGAAGAGAGTCAGTGAACCAGATGTTAGATATGAAGAAACATGATATGATTTTTAGATATGAAGAAGGGTTAAGAAACATGAAGAATAAAGATAGAAATTTGAACATAGGTAAAAGAAGTTCTATACTAAGGAAATAGAATGATGTCACAACAATATTTAAAGATAAAGTTTCTGAGAATTTCACATAATTGTTGAAAGATACCAAAAGTTAGATATAAGAAGTTCATCAAATACTTAGCCTAGAACATCATGATGAAAATGCAGGACATAAGAGACAAAGATGATACTAAAAGCTGCCGGAGGAAAAGATTGCCCATAAATGAATGACAATTAAATTGGAGGTGATAACATCTTGAGAGTGCTGAGAGAAAGTAGCAGTCATTCTAGAATTTTCTACCCAGGAAAATTAAGCCTGATGGCAGCAAGTCTACTAAAGAATAGAATTTATCATATTAAATTGTAAAAAATTTAAAACATTCCCTTTAAAATCAAGGGCAAGATCAAGATACCTGTCATTATCAGTTATATTCAACATTGCACTAGGTACAAGAAATAAATAGCATAAGAATCAGATGGGAAGAAACAAAACCGTAAGTCATTGTACTGTCCATTATTCATAGAGGATATGGTGGTTGATGAAGCTAAATTATTACAATTAGTAAGAGCTTAACAAGGTTGCTGGGTAGCCAATATATAGAAATTGGTTTCAGGGAGTCATTTGCCTCGTGATTGAGTGCATTCACTCTGGTGCCACACTGCCTAGCTTTGAATTCCAGATTCTGCCCTTCCTAGCTCTGTGTCCTTGGACATATTATTTAACTTCCCTGCACTTTTGTTTTCTAATTTAAAATAAGGGTATCTCATAGGGATGTTGTGAAGATTAAATGGATCAGTATATATCTAAAGCATTTAGAAAAGTGTCTGGTACCTGGTAAGTGTTATATACGTGTTAGCCATTTTTATTATCTGTATCAACATCTTTTTTTTTTTTTTTTTTGAGGCAGAGTCTCGCTCTGTCGCCCAGGCTGGAGTGCAGTGGCACAATCTCGGCTCACTGCAAGCTCCACCTCCCGGGTTCACGCTGTTCTCCTGCCTCAGCCTCCCAAGTAGCTGGGACTACAGGCGCCTGCAACCACGCCCGGCTAATTTTTTGCATTTTTAGTAGAGACGGGGTTTTACCGTGTTAGCCAGGATGGTCTCGATCTCCTGACCTTGTGATCCGCCTGCCTCGGCCTCCCAAAGTGCTGGGATTACAGGCGTGAGCCACTGCGCCCAGCTACAACATCATTTTAAACATAGTAGTGAATACAATAAGTTTTAAAGATACCATATATAGTAACGTAAAAATTATAAAGTACCTTAGAATAAATACTTTAAAAGAAGTGTAAAAACCCTCAGGGAAAAAAATTATAAAAGTATTGAAAGACATTAATGAACTGAATACCATGTTCACAGATAGGAAAACTAATATAACAGTATAACTTATCTTAAGATCGATCACTGGGTTCAGTGAAGTTCCAGTTAAAACCTAAACAAGATTTATTGTTAGATAGGCCTAATTTAAAATGTGTATAAAAGTGCAAAGAGGCTGTGGAAGAACAAGATTTGTTTTTTTTTTCTTCTGGTTTTGCTCAAGCATGTATCAAGATTTGTTACAATATGGTGTTGATGCATGAATACAGAAAGACACCAATGAAACAGAGCCCAGAGCCCAGAATTCATACATATGTGGAAAATGGGTTTATGTCAGAGATGGCATTACAGATAAATAGGAATAAGAAAGGTTGTTTTAAAAAATGCTAGCAGTTCGATATTCACATGGAAAACTCAAACCTTTATTTTTTACCATAGACAAAAAATGAATTTGAGGCAAAGTAAAGACTTAAAGGTAAAAGGCAAAACTATGAAAGTTTTAGAAGAAAATATATGGGATATCTTTATGATCTTGGGGAGAAGTATTTCTTAAAGTTGATCAAAAGCAAAAATGAAAGCACAAAATATAAAGAAAAATATTCGTAGTTGGGACTAAAATTAAACATACCTATTTTAGAAAATGAAAATACAATTTTTAAAAGTGGGGGGAATTACTTGCAATAAATATAATTAGCAAAAAAGATAGTATCTCATATAAAGATTTCTTGCAAATACATAGAATAAACAAACTGATAGAAAATCAGGTAAAAAACTTGAATGGGTATTTCACAGATGTGGAAACATGACCAATAAATATACTTAGTACATGATCATTCTCAAAAATTGGGGGCTGGATTCAGTGGCTTATGCCTACAGGCACTTTGGGAGGCTGAGGCGGGCAGATCACTTGAGGTCAGGAAGCTGAGACCAGCCTGGCCAACATGGTGAACCTCCCTCATCTCTACAAAAATTAGCCAGGCGTGGTGGCACATGCCTGTAGTCCCAGCTACTTGGGAGGCTGAGCCAGGAGAATCGCTTGAACCCAGGAGACAGAGGTTGCAGTGTGCTGAGATCACGCCACTTCACTCCAGCCCAGGCAACAGAGCAAGACATTGTCGAAAAAAAAAAGGGGGGGTGCGGGGAGAAAATGCAAACTAACCACAATCAGTTATCATTTGCTCCTGTCAGGTTGGCAGAAAGTAAAAACTACCAACATAAGGTGTTGATGAGAATATGGAGAAACTGGAACTCCCATACACTCTTGGTGATGATGTGTAATAAAAGATTCAGAAATAGCCAAGCATGGTTGGCATGTGCCTGTAATCCTAGCTACTTAGCCATTGGGGAGGCTGAGGCATGAGGATCAAAAATCAGTGTGCAGTTAGCCAGCATCTTCCCATGACGGTGCCCTCACTCACCCCACACAGTGCAATGAGGACAAACCAGAATTCTCCAAGGCATTTATTGATCGCTTGAGCTCAGGAGTTTGAGACCAGCCTGGGCAACACTAGTGAGACCTATTCTCAAAGGAAAAAAAATGATTCAGAAATGAGACTATACAGAAATTAGTTTTTCTGTGTGAGGAATCTTCCTCATGTAGAAACAAAATTAAAAGACAAAAATATTAAAATACATATGACAGACAAAACTAATTTATTTGTATATGGAGTCCTTATAAATCATTAACTACAATACTATCTTTGTGGGAAAATATGGACAAAAAGATAAGAACAAGTGATTCACAGAAAAAATAGCTCAATGTCACTGATAATGAATTAAATGCAAACTAAAACCACAGTTCTATTTTTATTTACCAAGTTTTCAAAGGTTAGGTTTGATGAAATATTAAAAAATAAAAATATAAAGAATATTTTCTTTTAAGCAAAAATTAGTAAATAATAAAGGCTAGATACAGACAGGTGAGTTACTAAGAGACCAAGAAAATCAGGATTATGAAGTCATAGAAGTCTGGCAAGCTGTGTTATTTGAAGAACAGAGTGGTCAAGAGTTAAACAGAGAGAGGCCACGTGAGTCATGAACCGCAAATGACTGATGTGGATAATCATTGATGACTTTGAAGATTGCTATTTAGGTAGAGTAATGGAGGTAGAAATCAAAGGAGATTGAGAAGGGAGTGGGAGGTGAGCTAGACAATGGCAAATATTTGCATTTCTGAGATGAACTCAGCTGATTTATGATGTATTATCATTTTTACTTTTATTGAATTTCTACTGATTTAATTTCCTCCTAATAATAACAGGATTATTCATTGTTTTTATTTCTTCTTGAATCAATTTTGGTAGCTTTTTTCCTAAGAATTATTTTGTCTAATATCTAAATGTATTCGCTTAAAGTTGTTCATAACATACATTCTCTTAAAACCTATATAAATAGATGTTTAAATTGTTAGCAAACTCTTGTTTTTGGTTCCTTTGTTCTTTAGTTATTATTTTGAATACCTGTTAAAGTATATGGTATATACTTTATATACCATATGTACTATGAAGTACATGGTATATGTATTGCCGTGTACATTATTTCTGAATGTTTTAGAATTGATTTCTTTCTCTGTCTAGAATAGCCCAGGACTCCAGAAGACAGCCTCAGCATGAATCCTCAGAATTCAAACTTCCTGATTTTACTTATACATATATATATATATGTATATATATATATATATATGTATATAACTAATACATAAATATATATAATCATTGTAGGACTATTTCATATGATATAATTTGTAATATGTAACATATAAATATAAAGGTTATAGGTCTGTGTTGCATGAGCATAAAGAAATATATATCAAAGGTCTAATATCCCACACCAAAAAAACCCAAACAAAAAAAATATGAAGTTATCACTTTAACATGGTTGAAGTTTGGGCTGAAGTTAAAGAGACGTTATTCCTACTTAAAAGGTAATAACTGAAAAATCGCTGAGCACAACTTATTTAATGAAGGATATTGAATACCATTGTGTCCTGATTATTCATCTTTTATTAGTTGTAAACTTAGCTTTTTGTGGCAAAGTATTATCCTAAGTAAGCACTGAGGAACAGAAGTGAACTTCATAAATCTTTCCTTTGTTAGTAAATTATGCTAGAGAAACCCTATAGCTGAAATCATTGAGCTTTCTTGAATATGTAATTTTTTTTTCTTTGAGCCGGAGTCTCATACTGTTTCCCAGGCTGGAGTGCAATGGTGCGATCTCTGCTCGCTGCAACCTCCACCTCCCGGGTTCAAGTGATTCTTCTGCCTCAGCCTCCCGATTAGCTGGGATTACAGGCACACACCACCACACCCGGCTAATTGTTTGTATTTTTAGTAGAGACGGAGTTTCACTATATTGGCCAAACTGGTCTCAAACTCCTGACCTGGTGATCCACCCACCTCGGCCTCCCAAACTGAATATGTAACTTAACTGTAGTTAAAGACAGTATTGAGGATTGTGCTTTGAGGATTGTCCCAGCACTTGGCTGTTCAAGTAAAGTATATTCAACTGATTATTCTTTACCTTTATGTGCTGTTGTTACAGATCATGATTAATCGAAGATGTTTTTATAGCATAAGACATTCTAAACTATTTTCCATTCTTCCCCTTACTAAACTGCGAGGTGAACATGGCAGCCTTGACAAGTATCTCTAGAGCTGGTGCATCTTAGGAGTATTCTTGTTAGAAAGCAGTACCCCACTATTGTCTGTCATTGTGGCTGAATGGAAGAAGGGCTGGCTTTCTTCTCTTTTTTTCTAGAGGTCTTTTTCATTCCCTGATCCATGTTTGATTGGGTGATTGCAAGATCACCTTTCATAAAGAACAGGAGGGGATTAAGAGGGACATCCTTGTGAACCTTCTTAGAACCTTATCCTTTGTGATCTTTCTGTAGAATTTTAGCATCTTTTAATTTGGATTGTGATCTAATGTTGGAACTAAGCAGTTGATAGGTGTCAGGAGGGCCATCAACCATGTTACGAAATGGTACGAAAAATACCTGCTTATATATATTTCCCTGTGTGTATACTCCATAGCTTTCTTTTGAAATCCAGCTTGAGTTCTACTTAAAGAGGTTAAGAATCAATATTTGGCAGGGGATGGAGGTTGCAGGGGAGTTTGGGGAGAGAGAGAAAGGAGAGGGAAAAAGGAAGGGGAGGAATATTTTTGATACTTCTGGTATAGCAATATTTGATGTTGTCTTAAGCATTTATAGAATGATACCATGGAACAGTAGTCAATAAGCGATTGGCTGTTGTTGGCCATCAGCTGTAGGAATAGTCAGCAATAGTTAGTTTACAACTTTTTGAAGTTTCTTCTAAAGCCAGAGATCTTGATTTAAAGAGAGTATCGTTTTAGTCACAGAAATGTATAGGGAAAAAAATGCTTTTTAAAAATGGAGTATTTGGGCTGGGCATGGTGGCTCATGCCTGTAATTCCAGCACTTTGGGAGTCTGAGGCAGGAGGATCACTTGAGCCCAGGTGTTCAAAACCAGCCTGGGCAACACAGAGAGACCCTGTCTCAAAAGAAAGAAAGAAAAAAAAATGGAGTATTTGGTAAGAATTTTACCAAATGTGTATAAAAATTGTTATGGGTGTAAGTTTTTGAGCTTTTCAGGAGCAGGGAGACTTTTGGTTACCTAATAGCAGTTACATGAATTACGAGGAAAAAATGCATTAGAAACAAAAATTCATATATATATATATATATATATATATATATATATATATATGAAATATATATGTGAAATATATATGTGCGAAATATATATGTGAAATGTATGTATAAGTGAAATATATACATATGCGAAATATATATATTGAGATAGAGTCTTGCTGTGTCGCCCAGGCTGGAGTGCAGTGGAGTGATCTCAGCTCACTGCAACCTCCGCCTCCCGGGTTCAAGCTGTTCTCGTGCCTCAGCCTCCCAAGTAGCTGGAATTACAGGTATGTGCCACCACACCCAGCTAATTTTTTTGTATTTTTAGTAGAGACGGAGTTTCACCATGTTGGCCAGGCTGGTCTCAAACTCCTAGCCTCAAGTGATCTGCCCACCTCAGCCTCTCAAAGTGCTGGGATTACAGGTGTGAGTCACCATGCCCAGCTGATATTTTTCATATTATATAAAAACCAAAGTTGTAAACTCATTTTCTTTTTTGGGCAACTGGCAAATTGAGATGGAAACTTTCTGACAGTTGACTAAGAACATTTTACCATTTACTTTTGTTGAAGAACTTTTAAATGATTGTACTGCCATTGCCTTTTATGTATTTATTGACCTTTTTGCTTAATAACCTTGGGTTGATTTTAGGCCAACAAAATGGAAATGAAAGAAACTGCTAAACAGGATACACTGTGGCAAATGAGCTCAACTAGCAAACCCGTGTTGAATACTCGTGAAGTCAATCCTTTGAAGAAATTCACCATTCCTAAGATCAGGAGGACAGCTGAGAAAGGTAATATTTCTGTGGTTGGGAATTTTTTTAGTAACTATTACTGTATTTCTCTGATTCTTAGTTTATGTTCATCTTTTATTTTGACTCTATATAAAATTAGGTTAATTCAGGTCTCTAATTCCTTAAACATACATGTACTTATGTTTCCACTCAAAATAGAATAGATGCACGTTCTGCATCCTTCCCACTAAGTACACCTAAAAACCCTGGACATTTTTATGAAACAAATATGAAAAGACTTTCGAAACTGGAGAGAAGACCAACCAACTAGGGAATGTGAGACTCAGGGAATGGCATAGCAGTAAGTTCCCTCAATTTTCTTTTTGTTTCCTCCATATCTCAGACTAGATGCCCCCAACACAGAAATGCCAGCTGGCACAGACCTCCCCCAAAAGCCCCAAGAAAAACCTCTTCTTTCTTGCCAGTGAACTAAGAAAAGGGCAGCCTAGAAAGTTGGAAACCTGTTTGACATTAAATATACCCCTCCCGTTTCCCACTGGGGTGATGGCAGAGGAGGTTGAGTGGGGATCCTGGACTCTGACCCCCTACCCAGCAGGAACAAGGTACCCCTTTCCTTCCCCATGGTGCCAGTGGTGATCCACGTAGGATCACACAGCAATAATGCATTCCCTTCTGTGCCATCATCCTGCTCCTGCAATGTCAGTTGATATCTACCCTTGCTTTGTGGTGATGAGTTGTCCTTTCCACTAGGGTTAGAGTCAGTGAACAAAGTGGAGAGCCTGGACCTCCACCACATCCAGCAGTAACAAGGCCTCCTACAGTGTTGGTGGAGGATGAGTGGGGACCATGGCCTTCCAGCCCTTTGCAGTGGTAACAGGGATACTCCCCAGGGTATAAATGGAGGCCCTGTGGAAAGCCAGAACTTCACCTCTGCATAGTATTAAAGAGTCAGTGCTCCCCTTTCCCTGCCAGCCATTGTTCCTGCCAGCACAGTTTTAGTAAAGTCTTGCTGAAGTGAAAGATTAAATATAATCTAGAGTCTCATAAAAATGCCCCAGTTGACCAGGATATAGTAAAAATCGCTCATCTTAACACACACCAAGAAAATCTCAACTTGAATGAGAAAAGATAATAGATGCCAACATCAAGATTGACACAGGTGTTGGAACTATAATTAACTGAGAAACTTTTAAAGCAGCTACCATGAAGATACTTGGACAAGCAGTTACAGACACTTTTGAAACAAATGAAAAGCTAGAAAATCTCATCAAAGAAATGAAATATGTAATAACTGAATAGAAGACTTAGAACTGAAAATTTAATTAAAATAAAAACTCAGGCAAAAACTAATAGAACTGCAAGGAGAAATAGAGAAATCCACTATTACAGTTGGAAATACCCCGTTATCAGAAATGGGCGTATCCAACAGACAGAAAATCACTAAGGACATAGTTGAACTCAGCAACACCATCAGTCAACTTGATATAATAGACATCTGTAGACTATTCCATTCAACAGTAGCACGTTAGACATTCTTCTCAAGCACACACAGGACTCACCAAGATAGACCATACCTTGGCCATAATACACGTTAAGAGACTTGAAATAGTGGAAATCATACAGTCACCTCTCAGACCATGTATTAATCCATTTTCACACTACTGATAAAGACATACTCGAGACTGGGCAATTTACAAAAGAAAGAGGTTTATAATGGACTTACAGTTCCACGTGGCTGGGGAAGCCTCACAATCATGGCAGAAGGCAAGGAGAAGCAAGTCACATCTTACATGGATGGCAGCAGGCAAAGAGAGAGAGCTTATGCAGAGAAACTCCTGTTTTTAAAACCATCAGATCTCATGAGACCCATTCACTATCATGAGAATAGCACGGGAAAGACTTGCCCCCATAGTTCAGTCATCTCCCACTGGATCCCTCCCACAAAACATGGGAATTATGGGAGATACAAGGTGAGATTTGGTTGGGGACACAGAGCCAAATCATATCAGACCACAATGGAATTAATTAAGATGATCAAGTAGGGGGCCCACACTAGATATAAGTAACCCAAAGATAGCTGGAAAATACCCAAATTCTTTGAGATTAAACAGCACACTTCTAAATAATAAAAGCATCAAAGAAGAAATCTCAGGAGAAATGTTAAAATACCTTGAACTAAATGAAAAGGAAAACAAAATTTGTAGGATAAAGCAAAAGCAGTACTTAGAAAGAAATTTATAGCATTGAATGCATGTATTAGAAAACAAGAAATATCTAAAATCAGTAATTTACGTTTACACCTTAGGAAACTAGAAAAAAGAGGACAAATTAAATCCAAAATAAGCAGAAGAAAATAATAAAAATTAGAGCAGAAATGAATGAAATTAAAAACAGGAAATTAATAGAAAAAAATCAACAAAATGAAAATCTGGGTCTTTGAAAAGATCAGTAAAGTTGATAAGCCTCTAGCCAGGATAACTAAGAAAAAAAAGGGAGCACAGATTACTGATATCAGAAATCAAGAGAGGACATCACTACAGATCCTATGGGCATTAAAAGGATAAGGGATACTATGAACAACTCTGGGCCCATAAATTTGGTGACCTAGATGAAATGTACCAATTCCTTGAAAGACACTATCTGCAAAAAGTCACACAAGAAGAAATATATGATCTGAATAGGCCTAAATCTATCTATTAAACAAATTGAATCAATAACTAATAACCTTCCAATACAGCACCAGGACCAGATAGGTTCACTGGTGAGTACTAGTAGACATTTAAGGAAGAAGTTACACCAATTCTTTACAATCTCTTTCAGAAGATACAAGTAGAAGGAATATTCTCTGACTCATGCTTTTAGAGGAGCATTATTTTAATACCAAAACAAGTTAAAGAACTTAGAAGAAAACTACAGAGCCAAGAAAAGCTCAACATCACTGATCATTAGAGAAATACAAATCAAAACCACGATGAGATACCATCTCACGCAAGTCAGAATAGAAGTTATTGAAAAGTCAAGAAACAATAGATGCTGGTGAGGCCGTGGATAAATAGGAATTTTTTACACCATTGGGCACTGTGGCTCATGCCCTGAGGCTAGGAGTTTGAGACCAGCCTGTGCAACATAGCAAGGCCCTGTCTCTAGAAAAAGATTTAAAAATCAGCCTGTGTGGTACAGTAGTCCTAGCTGCTTGGGAAGCTGAGGTGGGAGGAACGCTTGATCCCAAGAATCAAGCAAGAATGTAAATGTAAATTAGTTCAACCATTGTGGAAGACAATGTGACAATTCCTCAAGGATCAGAACCAGAAATACCATTTGACCCAGCAGTCCGATTACTGGGTATATACCCAAAGGAATATAAATCATTCTGCCATAAAGACACATGCACACATATGTTTATTGCGGTAATATTTACAGTAACAGAGACATGGAACCAACCCAAATGCCCATCAGTGATATAGACTGGATTAAGAAAATGTGGTATATATACATCATGGAATATGCGGCCATAAAAAGGAATGAGATCATGTCCTTTGCAGAGACATGGATGAAGCTGGAAGCCATCATCCTCTGCAAATACAGGAACAGAAAACCAAACACCACATGTTCTCACTTATACGTGGGAGATGAACAATGAGAACACATGGACACGGGGAGGGAAACAACACACACTGGGGTCTGTTGGAGGGTGGGGGTCAAGGGAAGGGAACTTAGATGACATAGGTCAATAGGTGCAGCAAACCACCATGGCACACATACATCTATGTAACAAACCTGCATATTCTGCACATGCACCCCAGAACTTAAAGTAAAATAAAAAATTAAAAAAAAAAGAAAATACTGAGAAGGAATAGCCAGGAATCGTTATCTCCTGGATATTCAGCTGTGGTCTCTGAATCCATAGGATGAGAGTTGGTTAAATTTAAAGAGCTGCCTACACTTAAACCGTCTAAATTCAACATTATTTGGGAAGCTGAAGCAGGAGGATGGCTTAAGCCCAGAAGTTCAAGGCTGCAGTGAGCTATGATCACAGCACTGCACTCCACTCTGGATGACAGAGTGAGACCCTGTCTCTAAAAAAAAAGATAGAGAAAGAAAAATAAAATTGACATTAAAAAACAAAAAACTACAGGGCCAGTCATGGTGGCTCATACCTGTAATCCCAGCACTTTGGAAGGCCAAGGTGGGAGATTTGTTTGAGCCCAGGAGTTTGACACCAGTTTGGCAACATGGAAAAACCCCATCTCTACAAAAAATACAAGAATTATCCAGCCATGGTGACATGTGCCTGTGGTGCCAGCTACTCAGGAGGCTGAGGTGGGAGGATCACTTGAGCCTTCAGAATATATGAAGCAAAACTGATAAAACTGAAAGGAGAAATGGACAAATTTTGAATTATAGTTGGAGACTTTGTACTCTCAATTGATAAAACTAATCAGAAAATCAGGAAGAATATTGAAGAATCTAACACTGTCAATCAACAGGATCTAATTGACATTTATAGATTATTGTACCTAACAGTAGCAGAATAGACCTTTCAAGCACCTGTGGAACATGCATCAAAACAGACAACATCTTGGGCCATGAGATACATGTCAACATAGTTAAAGGAATTGAGGCTAGGCACAGTGGCTCACGTCTGTAATCCCAGCACTTTGGGAGGCTGAGGTGGGCAGATCACAAGGTCAGGAGATTGGGACCATCCTGGCTTACACGGTGAAACCCTGTCTCTACTAAAAATACAAAAAAATAGCCGGGCATGGTGGCGGCCGCCTGTAGTCCCAGCTACTTGGGAGGCTGAGGCAGGAGAATGGTGTGAGCCCAGGAGGCGGAGCTTGCAGTGAGCTGAGATTGCGCCACTACACTCCAGCCTGGGTGACAGAGCGAGACTCCGTCTCATAAATAAATAAATAAATTGAAATCATACAGAATATGTTCTCTGACAACATGCAAACAGAAAAGTAAATCTCCAAAGACACTTGGAAAGTAAGTAGGGGGCAAGGGGCTTGCTTGAGGCTAGGAATTTGAGACCAGCCTGGGAAACATAGTGAGACCTTATCTCTGCAAAAAGTAAGGTAAATAACACATTTTGAAATAGTCATGGGATTTTAAAGGAAATATATAACTAAAATGAAAATGCAACATACCCAAATTTGAGGGACATGGTTAAAGCATTGCTAACAAGGAAGTTCATAGCACTAAATGTTTACATTTGAAAAGAGGGAGTGTTTCAGATCAATAATCTTAAGCTTCCAACCTTTAAGAAACCAGAAAAAGAAAGGCTGGGTGCGGTGGCTCACGCCTGTAATCCTAGCACTTTGGGAGGCCGAGGCAGGTGGATTGCCTGAGTTCAGGAGTTTGAGACTAGCCTGGGCAACACAGTGAAACCCCTGTCTCTACTGAAATACAAAAAATTAGCCAGGCATGGCGGTATGCGCCTGTAATCCCAGCTACTCGGGAGGCTGAGACAGGAGAATCGTGTGAACCCAGGAGGTGGAGGTTGCAGTGAGCCAAGATCGCGCCATTGCACTCCAGCCTGGGTGACAGAGCAAGACTGTCTCAAAAAAAAAAAATAATAAAAAAAAATAAAAAGTCAAGATGGAAGGATAATTAATGAAACTACAACAAAAAGATGGTTGTTTGGAAAGATCAATTAAATTGACAAACCTTTATCAAGTCTGACAAAGGAAAAAGAAGCCATAAATTACCACTATCAAGAATGAAATGGGTTATCACTACTGGCCCACAGGTTGTATCAAAAGTACAAACTGTTAAACACATGTAGTTCTAAATAGATCATTTAAATAGTCTTACAACAATTAAATGTAATTCATGGTTAGAAAGGAAAGTTTAAGGCCCAGATGGTTTCACTGGAGAATTCTAAAGATTTAAAGAACAGAAACTATACAATCTCTTCCAGAAAATAGAAATTGAGAGAATAATAATATGAGATTAATATTACCATGGTTCCAAGATGAGACCAATATAATATGGAAAACACCCCACAGACCATTGTCCGTGATAATTGATGCAGATATCCTAAACAATATTAGCAAATGGAGTTCAATATTTAAAATGAATTATTGCACACAACTGAGAGGTGAATGTTCTCTTGCACCACTCTTATTCAACATAATACTGGAAGTTGTACCCAGCACAAAAAGCCAAGGAGAGGAATTAGCAGGTATTCAGATTGGAAAAGAAGAAATAAAATTATCCCTATTTGAAGAGAACATGATGGTCTGCATGGAAAATCCTAAGGAATCTTAAAAAAAAAAGAAAGGAAAACTTGGAACTAGTAAGTTCAGCAAGGTCACTGGATACGATGAAAACATAAAAAAACAATTGTTCATTTGACTTATAAACAACCCAGGGGTTAGGGGCACTGATCCCGCCCCCACCCCCTCCCCAAAACACACAGCTGAAAAATCTGCATATAACTCACTCCCCCAGAACTTAACTTTTAACACAAATAGCCTACTGTTGACCTAAAGCCTTACTGATAACATGAACAGTTGATTAACACATAATTTTATGTACGTATTATATGCTACTATGCTTTTACAGTAAGTAAGGTAGAGAAAATGTTACTAAGAAAATCATAAGGAAGAGAAAATATGTTTACTATTCCTTAAATGGAAGTGGATCACCATAAAGGTCTTCATCTTCATCATCTTCACATTGAGTAGGCTAAGGAAGAGGAGGGGTTGGTCATGCAGTCTTAAGGAGTAGCAGAGGTGGAAGAAAATCCAAGTATAAGTTGTCCCACTGTTCAAACCCATATTGTTCATGAGTCAACTATACTTTTAAATACTAGCAAAGAACACATGGAAATAAACAATTTTTAAAATACCATTTAAAATAACTTTGGGCAGCCGGTCATGGTGGCTCACACCTGTAATCCCAGCACTTTGGGAGGCTGAGGCAGGTGAATCACCTGAGGTCAGGAGTTGGAGACCAGCCTGGCCACATGGCGAAACCCCGTCTCTACTAAAAACAGAAAAAAATTAGCTAGGCGTGGTGGTGGGTGCCTATAATCCCAGCTACTTGGGAGGGTGAGTCATGAGAATCCCTTGAACCCAGGAGGGGGAGGTTGCAATGAGCTGAGCTCACGCCACTGCATTCCAGCCTGGGTGACAGAGCAAGATTCCACCTCAAAGTAAAATAAAAGATAATAACCTTAAAATGAAATACTTAGGTACAAATATAACAAAATGTGTAAGGTTTCTATGTTATAAACTATAAAATACTGATTTTTTTTTTTAAAAAAAAAAAGGAAATCTAAATAAATGGAGAGATGTAGTGTGCTCATGGATTAAAAGACTCAACATAATGACATCAGTTCACCACAAATTTATCTGAAGGTTTATTGCAGTTCCTATCAAAATCCCGCTAAGATGTTCATAGGTAGGCAAGCTTATTCTGACACTTACCTGGGAAGGCAAAGAAACTAGAATAGCTAAAACAATTTTGAAATAGAAGAAGTATATGGAAATACTCTATCCACTGTTAAGCCTTAGCATATAGCTGTAGTAAGAAAGACAATGTGACCACAGAAATAGACACACAGATCTGTGGAACAGAATAAAGATTCCGAAAACAGACCCATGCAAATATGCTCAATTGATTTTCTTTCCATTGATTTTTAACAAAGGTGCATTCAGTAGAGGAAAAATAGTCTTCAAGAAATGTTGCTAGAGCAATTGGACATCCAGAGACCAAAAAAATGAACTTCACCCTAACCTCATGCAAAAAATAATTCCGAATGAACCTTGGGCTTAAATGTAAAATGTGAAGCTATAAAACGTCTAGAAGAAAACATGAGAGAACATCTTCAGGATCTCAGCTTGGATAAGGAGTTCTTAGACATGATACCAAAAACACAATCTATAAAAGAAAGAAGAAATTCACTTTCATGAAAATCAGAAACTTTTGCTCTGCGAAAGACTCTGTTAGGAAGGTGAGAAGATAAGCTAGGAATGGGGAAAAAAGCATTTGCAGATCGTTTATCTGAGCAAGGACTTACATCTGGAACATATAAAGCACTTTCAAAGTTCAGTAGGTAAAAAAAAAAAGGCAATCCAGTTAGAAAACAAGAAAAAGACATGAATAGACTTTTCACCAGAGAGAATACACTGATGGCAAATGGGCTTATCAAAAGATGTTCAACATCATAGCCATTAAGGAAATGCATATGAAAACCACAATGAGATGTAACTATATACTTGTTAGAATAGCTGAAAAAGAAAACAATAACAGTACCAAATGCCAGTGAGGATGGGAGACAACAACTCACTTGTGTATTGCCATTAGGGAATGTAAGATAGCACAGCCACTCCAGAAAACAATTTGGCATCATCTTTAAAAACTAAACATGCAGCCATGCCCAGTGGCATGTGCTTGTAGTTCCAGCTACTCAGGAAGCCAAAGCAGGAGGATTGCTGGAGCCCAGGAGTTCAAGGCCATCCTGAGCAACATAGCAAGACCCAATCTTTAAAAAAATAAGTAAGCACGCAGGCCAGGCACAGTGGCTCACGCATGTATTCCCAGCACTTTGGGAGGCTGAGGCAGGTGGATCACCTGAGGTCGGGAGTTCAAGACCAGCCTGACCAACATGGAGAAACCGCATCTTGACTAAAAAAAATAGAAAAATTAGCCCGGCATGGTGGCGCATGCCTGTAATCCTAGCTACTCGTGAGGCTGAGGCAGGAGAATCACTTGAACCCGAGAGGCAGAGGTTGTGGTGAGCCGAGATCGCGCCATTGCACTCTAGCCTGGGCAACAAGAGTGAAACTCCGTCTCAAAAATAAAATAAATAAATAAGCATGCAACTGCCATATGATCCAGCCGTCCTTCCCTTGGGCATTTTTCTCTGGCAAACAAAAAATGATGTTCACACAAAAACCTATACATGAATGTACACAGCAGCTTAATTTGTAATAACCAAAAACTGACAACCACCCAAATTTCTAATGAGTAAATGGTTAAACAAACTGGCACATTCATACCATGGTATACTACTTAGCAATAAAAAGAAACAATCTACTCATATAACAACTTGGTTGAATCTCAGAGGCAGTATGCTAAGCAAAAAAAAAAAAAAAAAGCAATCTTTACAGGTCTCATACTACAAAATTTCATTTACAAATATTCTAGAAATGACAAAAGTATGCATACGGAGAAGAGAGTAATAATTTTCAGGATTTAGGGACAGGGTAGGAGAATGGGGGTGTGGGAGAGTTTCAGTATGAAAAAATATATAAAGGAGTGGCAGAAGGGATGTCTCTGGTGATAGAGCAGTTCTGTATCTTAGGGTGATTGTTACACAAATCTACGTGTGATAAAATTACATAGAACTACACACACAAGTGGATGTAAAACTGGTTGGTAAAGTCTTAATAAGGTCTGTGGCTTGTACCAATGTCATTTTCCTAGTTTTGATACTGGATTATAGTTACATGTTTCCACTGGAGGAAACTGGGTTAAGGGTACACAGGACCTCTGTGAACTGTTTTTGCAACTTCCTGTGAATCTAGATTCATTTCAAAATAAAAAGTTATACATCCACAAAATCATCATGTTATAAAACTATCAAAATTTCTACATCATATGTTATGAAACTATCAAAATTTGTAATAATTATTACAAATACTAAAATGAAAATCATTTTGGGGGTCAATAATAGAATTAAAAATGGGAATGAGGAATGAATTGTTACTGAAATCAGCTGGTTATAGTGTTTTATATTGTTTTTGTCATTATGTTAACTTCTGTTGATAAGCTAAATTTAAGGGGCAAATTGTTAATTAGGTTCATTTATATGGAAGTTGCCTTAAACCTTCTATATAGTCAATCTTCATTATTTGAGGATTCCATGTTTGTGAATTTCCTACTTGGTAAAATTCACAATCAACAGTCAGCAGTGCTTTTTTGTCCGAACTTGTTACTCAGCAATGCTTTCACAGACATGCACGTAGGGCTCTAGAATTTGAGTTACCCAATGCATGCATTCTCATTTAAGGTCAAATGAGGCCATGCCCTGCCTTGTTGTTTCAGCTCTCATACTGCAATAAGTGTTCTTTTCCTAGTGATGGTGCTACATTGTTGTATTAGTCCTATTTTTTTTAATAAAAGATTTAATTGACTCACAGTTCCCCATGGCTGGTGAGGCCTTAGGAAACTTACAATCATGGCAGAAGGGTAAGCAAACATGTCCTTCTTCACATGGAGTCAGGAGAAAGAAGAGCTCAGCAAGGAGGGAAAGGCCCCTTATAAAACCATCAGATCTTGTAAAAACTCACTATCTCAAGACTAGCATGGGGTAACTGCCCCCATGATTCAATTACCTTCCACTGGGTCCCTCCCATGACACATGAGATGATGGGAACTACAAGATGAGATCTGGGTAGGGACACAGCCAAACCATATCAATTGTTAACATTTTTGTTGGTGATTTCACTACTTTAAATGGTCTCCAAGTGTAATGCTGAAGTGTGGTCTAGTGTTCCTAAGGTCAAGAAGGTTATGATATGCCTTACAGAGAAAACACATTTTAGGTAAGCTTCACTCAGGCCTGAGTTCAATGTTAATGTATTTCCAGGGAGAGGAGGAAGAAACTTGCCAATCTGTACATCAGGCCTCACCAAAAAGTGCTAAGGTAACATCTGTAGTGCCTGATGAAACTCTGGGAAAGATAGAAAAGCAGCTAAATTTATAGATTCATGAGATTTCGTTATGGCTAATTAAAAAAACATAGTGGGCAGCATTGTTGTGAAGCTAAAAGCCGGAAGAACTTAGGTCACATTACCCAGAGTCAGGAAAATGTTAAACCCTTCTTGGCTAGTGCTATTTGACTCAAACATTTCAAAAGGTGATAGATGCAATATGAAAAATATTGAACTTGCAGGCAGATGGGTTCTGCAGATCAGGATGTTAAGAAAGAATTTTTTTAAATAACCAGCTAAATGTCACATAGGAAAATGGAAGAACAAGTTTTCAAAACTGATGAGATTGGTTTGTTTTATAAAGATGTTGGCAGAAGAATCTACATAATGCAGATGGCATTTTGGTGGTCAAAAATTTGACCAGGATCAGCACAGTGGCTCTTGTCTGTAATCCCAGCACTTTGGGAGGCCAAGGTTGGAGAGGATCGCTTGAGCCCAGGAATTTGAGACCAGCTTGGACAACATAGCGACCCCATCTCTACAAAAAATAAAAGAAAAGCTAGCTGGGCATGTTGGGCCTGTGCCTGTAGTCCCAGCTACACAGGAAGCCAAGGCAGGAGGATCGCTGGAGCCCAGGAGTTAGAGGTTACAGTGAGAAATGATCATACCACTGCACTCCAGCCTGGGCTACTGAGTGAGAGCCTGTCTCTAAGGAAAAAAAAAAAAAAATTGACCAGATGCCCACAGTAACTTAACCCTTTCCTTTCCCCCAAGAACAGTAGTTTGTGACACAGTGTTTGTGACTCGATGTTGGTGGGAACTTTGTGGAATATAACTACCACCAATAACAATAGTCAATTATATTTGCTCCTTGCTTTCCTCTGAGTTCACTTCCATAGGATTTTATCCTTTTATGCATCTATTTACTACAACAATGCTGGAGATGCTCACTGTCCTAAGAAAGTCTGTTTCCTCTTTCACATGCCACTGTATCAGGCAGCATCTTACACACATGTTCTTGTACTTTTGCAAATCAAAATAACCCAATCATTTTCTAATGTGCAGATTGCCTTATCTTTACTTGGCAAATACTCATGCACTAACAGTAGCTGCCAGATTTGTGTAATGATGTGCATTGTACAGTCAGAGTTGCAACATCTTAAGTTGAAAATTCTGGGACTGTCATATCTGTATGTGTCAACTTTTAAGAACTCTTAATAGGTATGTGGAGAAAATCATGGTTCATATTTTCATTTATATCAAGTATAGGAGGTCTACATTACTGTTGTAGAATCTTAAATACAAATGGTTGCCTTATGTTGTTAATGAAAATTCCAGTACTTAGTTATTTTGTGTCTTAGAGATACAGTTGTCATTGTACAGATGTCCAATAATGTCATTTTAAATACAACTGCTTTCTCTTTTTCTACCTTTAGTTTACTTGTCACCTTGTTACACCAATAGTAGAGAGTATAGTTTTATACATGATACTCTTAACCAGTGCAGGCTTGATGTAAACTGTGATCTGCAGTCGTTATGGCAGTTTGGGGATACAAAACTGGTTCACAATGAGGAACTGGAAAAAAATTTTACTGCTAAGAGGTAAGTTACTATGATCTAAACGTGTTTGAGATTTTGTTGTGTTTGTTACTATGGAGTTTTATGCTAATTCATTTCTACCATATGAGATTTAGTAAGTTATTACTAAGAAAACACAGATTATTTTTTGTTACATTCTCATAGTCTTTTGTAACATTGAAAGCCAAGTGTGAGATTTGATTAGTTTTATGTATTAATGTAGTGAGATTTCAGACACCTCCTTCCAATTTTTTAACCTTGATAAATTTTTCAGAAACATGCATCAGCACCTTTATTAAGCAGGCAATTTGTAGATCCCTCACACCTCCTAGATAATGTAAAACTGCAGTCGAAGTAATCAAAAAGTAACTTCTTTTTACTCTTGAACCCAGCCCTTAAGAGACTGGGTTGATGTTTTAATTTGAGAGGATTGTAGCCAGCTGTTTCCAGCTATTCCACTAGAACTATTCTATGTTGATGCCATTTCTCACACATAATTTTTTAAAGTACTTCTCCAGGTTTTTTGGAAGGCATATTATTGTCATTTTGATAAGAATAAGAGCATATGCAAAGTTCTCATTGTAAGCATTTTTAATTATAGGTATAGATTTTGTGTAAGCACAATTTAGCATTCCTATATTTTCTTCTAACTTGTCTCCTTTGCCATTTCTCACTGTTTAACTTAAAACCTAACTAGAGCTTGATAGACCCACATGTGGAACTCGTTTTGGAATGTTTTGGCTTGTTCATTTTAGAATTGATTCCTCTTGATTCAAACATGCTGCCACACTTGGTGTCTGGAGATTTGGAATTAATGGGAATGACAGAATTTGTTGTGGTATATTGCCTTTCCTCTTAAAAACACAGTTTTGTAGGTAAAAAGGACTGGGTATATCCAATGACTTCCAAGTTGAAAAACACTTTGATCAAAAATGAATTCCTGACACGGTTCTTTGGTTTTGCTTATTTTGGACATTAAAATTTTTGTCCTTTCAAACAAGTTATTTCTCCCTGTTAGTGTTATAGAAAAGTTAGAACAAGTACCCAGTGATAGGGCTGTTAAAACATTGTAAATGACCAACATGTATAGGATTTATTGTTTTCTTAGCTATTTGCCCAATTAGACAAAAACTCATTTGTTTCCCATAGTTATTTATACTCATTTTATGGTACTTACTACAATATATTGATTTGTGTCTCATTCTCCTAGTATATTTTGAGTTTTATCTTGTTCTTGTGTTCAAAGTGCAAAACTGAGTCTGGCAACACAAGCCAGTTTGAATGGGTTTCTGTACTTGAAGTCAATGATAACCCAACTGGAACTGAATTTGGTACTGGGAAAGGGGTACTTGTAGGTAAGAGATTCTAAAATACGGATTTACTTCAAGGGAAGAGGGCAATGAGGAATCCCCACCCCTCCAGTATTCCCAAATGGGAAATTGGTGATAATCTGTACCTTAGGGCACAGATCCTGTGTTTCATGAGGCTGTAGTTTTTGAGAAAATTTCTACCAAAAACTCAGCATATTAGAGTGCCTTGACCATTTCCCGTTTAGACACAAGAAACATTATTTTCTCAATCGTAGAAAATTCAGATTCAATAAAAAAGAATCACTTTGTGGCCTAGTTTCACAGTTCAGCTTTGCAAGATTAGCTTGAAATAGGTAATTAATCCTTTCCAAAGTTAGGGTGAATATGGGTTTAAAAGGAATGAGATTTAACAGGGGATAAAGATGTGGTAAAGCACAAATCTGTTGCATTAAATCTTTCCCAAATAACTCCTTTTAAATATTTTCTGCCTAGTAAGTGGAACTACTCAAGTTTATACAGCAAAGATACACGTTGCTTAATGACAGGAATATGTTGTGAGAAATGCATCATTGGGCAATTTCGTCATTGTGTAAACATCGTAGAGTGGAATTACACAAACCTAGATGGTGTAGCCTACTTATACACCTCAACTATATCGTATACCTGTTACTACTGTAGACATTATAAACACTGTACACTTAGGCTACGCTAAATGTATTTTTTAATTTTCTCAATAATAAACCTTAGCTTACTGTAATATTTTTACTTTATAAACTTTAAAAGTCTAACTTTTTGACCCTTTTGTAATAACATGTAGCTTAAAACACAAATACGTTGTGCAACTGTACAAAATATTTTTATCCTTATTCTATACACTTTTTTCTGTTTTTTGTTTTTTTTAACTTTTAGAACTCTTTATTTAAAAACTTAAGACACAAACACACACATAAGCCTAAAGCTACACAGGGTCAGGATCATCAATATCATTGACTTCCACCTCCACATCTGTCCCACTGGAAGGTCTTCAGGTGCAGTAACGTGCATGGAGCTGTCATCTTCTATGATAACAATGCCTTCTTCAGGAATACTTCCTGAAGTACTAGCCTGAGGCTGTCTTACAATTAATTTATTTTAATAAGGAGAGATCATATACTCTAAAATAAAAAGTATAGTATACTAAATACATAAACCAACAACATAGTCATTTATTATTAACAAGTATTGTGTACTGTACATAATCATACATGCTATACTTTTATATGACTGGCAGTGCACCACCATCACCACAGACATGAAAGTGATGCATTATGCTATGACACTGTGAGACCTAAGCTATCACTAGGCAATAGGAATTTTTCAGCTCCATTATAATCTTACGGGACCACCATTGTATTTTTGGTTTGTCGTTAACAAAAATGTCTACTATGGCACATGACTGTATTTTAAATGCAATCTGGGGGTAGAAATTGATAGTTTCAAGTTGAAATCCACTATATGAAGTTCATTATAGATTGAGGGCCTTGGATGGTGGGAAGGTCCCAGAGGCTTGTTGCCAAGAGACAGACATTCTTACTCTCACCCATTGTCTGAACAAGATCTCCTGCTATAGTTACTAGCCTTTGGAATTTTGAGAGCAAGGAATCCCAGCTACTTCTTTACAGAAGGATATACTTGTGCTAAGGACAAGTTAATACTGACAATTGTTAGCATTCTTTACTTTTTAGAATTTAATTGTATTTTTTCCTCCACCATTGTATTTTGGGTTTAGATAATTTAAACCTAGCCGTAAGTCACCTAAAGGAACGTTGGTTATTTAGATCTATATCCAGATCTATTGGAAATGAAGGCATTTCATCCATGTGATCATCATGGATCTGGAGTTGGATGTAGTAATTCAGTGAGACTTTGGGTTGTTCCCTCCTTGTGAGGTGGATTGAAAGTGCTTTGTGTGAATGAGCGTTTTTGAAAGTATATGTGTTAGAAGAAGGGTATGTGTGAAAAAGCGTAGCCAAATGAGTAGACTGCAGTTTTCCTAACAATTCTAGATCATCTTTTATAATTAGCCTAACCATTTTTTGTCCAATTCCCCTTGCTTTATGAGTTTATTGATGTACAAGCCTAGTCGTTATTTTTAAACAACCATAGCATAAGACTTGCTTGGAAATCCTGGGAAGGTGAAGTCTGTTTCTCTTCTGGTGGCTGTGAGCAAGGAAGCCTCGTTGCTACCAGCTTTCTTCTTGTGACCATCATGGGAGCTGGATGTGGATAAAGATAAAGCTGTGCACAGCAGAGGGAGAGTTGTGGGGAAAAACAAGTTCTTCGTATCATTGAGGGGCCAAGTTCAGAATCTGTGTGTGGTAAGCAGCATAATGCTTCCCCAAAGATGTCCACATCCTACTCCCCAGAACCTGTGAATATATCACCTTACATAGCAGAAAGGACTTTGCAGGTGTGATTGAGGTTACAGACCTGGAGATGAGTGATTATCTGAGGTGATATTAGTGGGCTCAGTTTAATCACAGGAGCTTTTAGTAACAGAAGAGGGAGGCAGAAGAATGGATCAGAGAGCAGAGATGAAAGAAAAAAGATATGAGGGGGACTCAGCTTGCCTTTTCTGGCTTTGAAGATGAAAAAAGGAGATTATGAGCCAAGGATGGTGGGTAACTTCTAGAAGCTGGGAAATCTCCTTGCTGGTAATTCAGTTCTGCCAACTTGGAAAGAGATCCTCCCCTAGAACCTCAGAAAGGAACACAATCCAGACAGATGACACCTTGATTTTAGCCCAGTGAGAGTCATGTCTGACTTATCTGCATAACTAAAATAATAAATTTATGCTTTTTAATCCATTAAGTTTGTGAGAATTTGTTATAACAGCAAAGGAAACAAAGTCTTACATCTGGAGTTGGGTGGCATTAGCACATTTCTTAAATATTGTGGAATCCCAATTTCTCTTAGCTGTCAGCGTTTTGGTTCTTATATTGCACTTTGGGCCAGCTGGATACTGAGTTCTTATCACTAGCAATCTGATGGATTTGAAAATTATTAAGTTATCTTTAAAGATCTCCAAAGAAATAATTTTATTTTCTTTGTTATAAAAAAATACTTACTTGAATACTTTTAATCTCTACTTTAGGCGACCCCCCACCCCATAGCTAAATACCTTGTATGAACTTGTGTTTCCGCTTAAACTTAGAGAAAAAATACTTCCCAGAGTTTTATTTATTGCACAAAAAATTACCTACTATATGTAGGTTGTCTTGGAACCTATTTTAAATGATGTAATTAACTATGACATAGGCATTCCATCCAAAGCACTTATACTTTGTTGTAGTTAGCTTAAATGAGACAGTATGGTAGCACAGAGTAAATTAAAAGTTCCTGGTCTACAAAAAGATATACAAGATTCCAATTCTATTTCATCCACTCAGCTTCTCTATTATATGAGTTTTCTCATCTGTCTTTTACATTTATTTACTTAATATTTAATAAAATATTAGTTAAAAAGTAATGACCAAAATTAAAAACCCACAAGCAAGAGTATAACTACAAATTCTAAGACTTGAGTGTTGTGTTGATTTTGAGCTTTCCACCCCATAGCTTAAAGTACATGCAGGGTTCAGAGGTGACAGACTTTGACATCTATCCCTCATTAGTATTGCTGCAGAAAAACATGGGGAAACATTTCTAGAAAATTATTCTTTTATGTATTTTTAAAATTTAAGATAATATAAATATTATTTTAGCACAGATTCTGATGCTTATTAATGTCTTTTGGTAAAAGAGTACTTTGTATATGCTAGTTCTTCAGATTCTTACCCAGTTACGTTATCAAGCAGGTGAAGCTCCTTGCCTGATGCACTAGAAGTCAGTACTATGATACCGGGTTTTTGAGAAAAGAAAAGCTTTTATTGCAAGTAGACTCACAAGGAGATAGGAGGTCAAGCTCAAATCTGTCTCCCCAAGCTAGCTTTAAAGCAGTAGTTTTATTAGAAATGGTTTGGGGGTGGATCCTAGGATCTTTAGGTGATTGGTAGAAGGAAAGGGAGGTGTAGAAAGTCCTTGGGCATGCACAGTTGTCTCTTTATGCTTCCTCATGGGTCCCATGTGCAAATTTGGGGGGAGTTAGTATAAAACACACGGTGGAAATTCAGGCTGTGATGTCAGCAAGCTTATTGTGTATAAACTTCATTTGGCCAAAATGGTTCCAAATGATTTCAGCTGGTCTTGTTACAAGCGGAGGGAGTTTGAGTATTTCGGTAAGTTTTCTTATATGCCATCCTGCAAGCTTAAGAATTTCTGCTAGTCAATGGTTTCTTTAATTCTTGGGGGCACAGTTTCAATTACATGTTACTGTGTACAGAAAAGAGTCTTTAGGCTCGTTTTACCTATTGTTTCTGAAATGGAAGTCTTGAGACTCAGAGTGTCTGTCATTTAAAATCGTGATTTAGATCCTGTCGTCTGAATAAATTTGGAAAGCCAACCTTTTATGCAATTTTTAGAGCCAGAAATAGATCAAAAACTAACTTTTTTATAGGTCATTTTTTTACTAACATATTTAGGCCCATTTTTTTTTCAAATATAGTTCTGAAGACATACTGAAAAATAAAAAGTATTAGTAGTATAATTACCAATACAAAACTCCAGGGAGTATTTTCTACTTCAATTTACAGAGGATTTTGAGCCCCGGATTAGATTTTTATTGTTATATTTGTTTCATTCCACTGAAACCCTTGTGATGATATAATGGTAGTCAGGAAGATGACCAGGTTAAAAAAAAAAAAAAAAGAATTTAGCCCAAAATATCCCTGGTGCCACTGTGGAAAAACCCTGCTGTAGGGTTTACATTATACATCTTTAATTTATTCTGTGTACCTTCAAATGTTACTTTTATGTATAGTGTAAGAATCTTAGACAGTGATCTTAGTGGTTCACGGAATCTGATGTCAAGTTGAAATCAAGAGCAGGAAATGCCAATTTGTGGAGCCAAAAGTTAAGGCTGACATTTCTAGGAAATAGAAGTGATCATTATCTAATCAGTCAGTCTTGCTTTTGTGGTCCTGCCTACTGTTAATGATGAGTCATTCTTGAAAATAAGTATTAATATACTTATGTGCATGGTATACTTCAAACACATTCTATAAGTGGTGTTCCAGGAAATAAATCTCGGAAGCATGTGGTTCTCAAGAACAATTTTCTTTTTGTGGTATATACATTCCTTTGCTGGGTTCTGTAGGTTCTCCATTGCAGATAATCATTTGGACCCTAGTGTCTGAACCACTCTATTGTACCACCTGATGTGGCAATTTCTGCTGCCACTACTCCTGAGCAAGCCATATAGAATATCTAATCTGCCAATTTTAGGGAAGGGATATATATTTTATATGTTTAAATGGGTTTTGTAATGGAAGTAATAGAATTGGGGATTATCTATACTTCAGATTATAATCTTTTTGAGGTTGATTCCTAATTTTCTTTACCTAAGATAAGATCCTGTAATCAAATATTAGCTTGTTTCTCCCAGCTGTTACCTAAATCCCTGAAGAATGGAGAATGTCCCTAATAATTGATATATTTGTGCATGTGTGTGCGCTTTTGTGTCTATAGATGTGTAGAGATACGTAGATATAGACAAGATACTTTGTTTAGAAAATGCATGTTTTTCCCTCCATAACACAATTAACAAAAAATGTGAGCTCTGGAACCTGACAGACAAGAATTGGCGTGTATAATTCCAACTCTGTCATTTTCCTACTTCGGCAAGATTTAACTTTCTGAACCTCATTTTCCTCATTTTAAAAATGTCGATAGCAACAAAATAAACTATAAAAACTTCTTGGGAAGTTGAGAATGAAATGAGAAGATGCATGTAATGCTTAAGACTTGTACTGGTTACATTAGCAGCATTTAAGAAATGTTAGCCCCTGTTATTTTAGACCAGGAATGATGATAATGTTCATAAATCTTGGCTAAGTAATCCTGAATTTGTTCCTAAGATGATTTTCAACCAAATTTATCATCACAGTGTAGTAATACCTCTGAATATCGCTACTTCTCTTGCTTTCTAACTGTGGTAAGTGGAAATATGTATCTTCTTGAAAATTTTGTTGATATTTATCTTTAACTGTATACATTGTTTGTTTTACTTTAGGTCAGAGATGCGTGAAAGTGGAAGACATTGCAGGGAACTTGAAGAACAGTTCTGCTTTTTAGCACTTCCCCAGAGTGATGTAGCCCAGATATATCAGAATGGAATAAGTACCAGAGCATCTACATTGAAGATACTAGGAAATCCTCTTCTTGGAATTTATATGTTTAGACATGTTGATATTGCCTTGAATTATTCTCATAGTCAAAGCATTACTGTAGAAAGTATTTTAATTTTTAAGGTAGGTATCATAAAACAAATATTAAGTATATGGACAGTTTGCTTTGAATTGACCTGAACATATTATCCTTTCGATATAAATTGTTAATGTTTTTAAACTGCAGTCTATTAAATAAGTAATAATTATATTTATTATTTTTGTCATCATTATTCAAAATTTTCTCCTTTCCTCTTTACCTGGGTGTGCAACACAAAGCAAAAAAAAAAAAAAGCAAAGGCAGCCTTCATCTTTGTCTTCCCAATATGTATATTTTTTTGTTCTGATTTACCCACCTCTCTTTTACTCTTTTTGTTTCTATCATAATAAGTACTATAGTGTTTTACATACCCTCCCCTAAAGCATTATATTAATTTTGGTTTAAGCTAGTTATTTTTAAACTCCTGCAGTTTATTTTAGTTAATAGTATTGTATCAATGTTAAATTCTTAATTTTGGTGATTTTGCTATGGTTATGTAAGATGTTAACGTTAAGAAAAGCTGGGCACAGGGTATATGGGACCTTTGAACTATTTTGTGCATGCGTGTGTGTGTGTGTGTGTATGTGTGTGTCAAAGCCTTGTTTATAGAAGAAAATAGCCACCATGTAAATGTCCAGCAATAGTGTATTATGAAAGTATCATATATTATGTCTCTGGAATAAGAAGTATCCATTGCAGTTAGATTTATGGAGAATTTTTAAAGATATGGGAAAATGCTTATGCAATCATGTTTAACTTTTTAAATTTTTAAAAAATGAGATATCAAGATGATATAAAGTGTGCTTAGTTGTTATGAGTGATGATCTTTGGATCATGACAATATAGTTTTCTGTACTTTCTAGTTTTCCAAGTTAGGGTTTTCCAAATATCCAGTGGTAAGTGTTCCTTTCCTTCCCTTCCCCTTCCCCTTCCCCTTCCTCTTCCCCTTTCTCCTTTCTCCTTTCCCCTTTCCCCTTTCTCCCTTTTTGTCCTTTCTGCCTTTTCTCCTTTTTTCTCCCTTTCTCCCTTCCATTTTCCTTTCCTTTTTTTGCGACAGTCGCACTCTGTCACCCAGGCTGGAGTTCAGTGGTGCAAGCTCAGAGTGCAGCATTTGCAACTGTTGTAAATGAGATTGATTTCCTGATTTCCTTTTCAGATCAATAACTATTATCATATAGAAATACTACTGATGAGTGTTTGTTGATTTTGTATCCTGCAACTTTACTGAATTTATCAGTTCTAAGAGGGTTTTTTTAATGACACTAGGTTTTCCTAAATATAAGATCATGTCATCTACAAACAAGGATAATTTGACTTCTTCCTTTCCCATTTTGATGCACTTCATTTCTTTCACTTGCCTGATTGCTCTGGCTAGTACTTCTAGAACTACATTGAATAGAAATGGTTAAAGTGAGCATCCTTGTCTTCAAGATCCTTGTAAAAAGGCTTTCAATTTTTCCCCATTCAGTATGATATTAGCTGTAGGTTTGTCATATATGAGTTTTATTGTTTTGAGGTATATTCCTTCTGTACCCAATTTGTTGAGACTTTTTGTGAAGGAATGTTTGGTTTTATTGCTTTTTCAGCATCTAATGAAATGATAATATGGTTTTTTTGTTTTTGATTTTCTTGATGTGATCTATCACGTTTATTGATTTGTATAAGTTGAACCATCCTTGCATCGCTGGTATGAATCCCACTTGGTCATGATGAATGATATTTTTAATATGCTGTTGATTTCAGTTTGCTAATCTTTTGTTGAGGATTTTTACATCTCTGTTCATCAGGGGTATTGGCCCATAGCTTCTTTCGTTGTCTTTGGTTTTGGCATCAAGGTAATACTGGCCTTGTGGAATGAGTTTGGAAGTATCTCCTCCCCTTCAATTTTTTTGAATAGTTTGATTAGAATTGGTATTATTCTTTAATGTTGGTTAGAATTTAGTGGTGAAGCCATCAGGACCTGGGCTTTTCTTTGTCTGAAGACTTTATTACTGTTTTGATCTTGTCACTCATTATTTATCTATTCAAGTTTTCTTTTTCTTCATGGTTCAGTCTCAATAGGTTGGATGTCCAGGGATGTATCTATTTCTTTTGGGTTTTCCAATTTATTGCTGTATAGTTATCATACTAGTCTCTAACAATCCTTTGTATTTCTGTGGTTTCAGTTATAATGTTTCCTTTTAGTTTCTGATTTTATTTATTTGGGTCTTCTGTCTTATTTTCTTAGTCTAAGTAACAGTTTGTATATTTTGTTTTTTTAAAAACAAAGTCTTCCTTTGTGGTTGATTTTCTCTGGTAGTATGTTTTAATTCATTGCTTTTTAATTTTAGTATTTCTGCTTTTTGGTTACCCTAAGGCTTACAAAACACATTTTGTAGTTAAAACAAGTTATTTAAAACTGATACAGTTTAACTTTAATTGCAAAGAAAAAAACCTATACACACCAATTTTCTTTTCTTCCCACATTTTGAATTTTTGATAATCCCACAATTTATATTATGTATATTGCTTGTCTCTTAAAAATTGTGGTTAAGTTTTTTCATTTTGTCTTCTTAAAAAAGATGGTTTATACACCATGGTTACAGTATCATATTAGCATCCTTTTGGTTTTGAACAACTCCTTTTAGTATCTCTTGTAGGACAAGTCTGGTAACAATAAATTCTTTCAGCCTTTTTTTTTTTTTTTTTTTCTGGTCTGGGAAATTATCCCTCCTATTTCTTCTTCATTTCTGAAGGATAGTTTGCTGGCTACAGTAAAACCTTTTTCTTTTCTTTTCTTTTTTTTTCTTTTTTTCCCTGAGGACATAGCTTCAAACTCCCAGGCTCTAGCGATCCTCCTACCTATTTTTTAGATGTTTATATATATGTCTTTCATCAGATTTGGGAAGTTTTCAGCCTTCATTTCTTCAAATGTTCTCTCTGCCCATTTTCTCTCTGTCCTCAGACTCCCACAGCATATATGTTCTTACGCTTGATGGTGCCCCACAGGTCCCTTAGGGTCTGTTCACTTTTTTTTTTTTTTTAGTCTTTTTTCTCTCTGTTCCTCAGCCTCAATAATTTTCGTTTTCCAATCTTTAAGATCACTTATTCTCTCCTTTGCCTGCTCATATCTGCCTTTGAACCCCTCTAGAGAGCTGTTCATTTTAGTTACTGTACTTTTCAGCTATTGGATTTCTTTTTGGTTTTTAAGTTTTCTCTTTATTGATATTTCCATTTTGTTCATACATTGTTTTTTTACTATCTCCACATACTTAGCTCTTTGAGCATCTTTAAGACAGTTATTTTAAAGTCTTTGTCTAGTAGATCAGCCATCAGGTCTTTTTCAGGGACAATTTCTGTTTTTTTTTTCCTTTGAATGGGCTCTAATTTTCTGTTTCTTTACATGCCTGGTGATATTTTTTGTTGAAAACTGGACATTTCATCTAATAATGTGGTAACTCTGGAAATCATCTCCTCCCAGGGTTTGGTTGTGGTTTTGTGTTTCTGTTTTTTGATTGTTGTAGGCTGTCTCTGTGCCAAGGATCAACCTGCTGTATAAACTTCTCAGCCTTTTCTGAGCCTGCACTTTTCCCTCTGTGTGCTGATTTTCTAATTTCTCCTGTATCTGTAGTTGCTTTTGAGTAGTATTTTTTTTTTATGTCTGGCTGCAAAATAGGGGAAAAGAAAAAAATGAAGAAGGGAAAAAAGGCACTGGCTCTTTAATCCCCTGGGTGTCATTTCAGCCAGGCAAGGAGGGGCTTGCAACAATGGTATTGATGCAGCAATGCCTGCCACTTCTAGTTGCCACTCTGTTATTAATAGAAGCAGCACTCAGTGATGAGAATACATATACCATATGTTTATTATTGCCCACTCTGGCCCACAAAAATTGTGGCCAAGAACACATGTACAAGCTGCTCCAGGAACACTGTACAGCTGCCTGTCATGGGGCACAAAGGGTGGCTGCCACTGTGCTAAGAACTGAAATTGACTGAAATTAACCATAATACAGGTTTAGCATCCCTAATCCAAAAATTTGAAATCTGAAATGCCCCAAAATTTGAGATTTTCTGAGTGCCAACATTACACTCAAAGGAAATACTAATTGGAGCATTTAGGGTTTCAGATTTCCTTATTAGGGATGATCAACTGGTAAGTATAATACAAATATTCTGAAATTTGAAAAAATTCAAAATCTGAAACATTCTGGTTTTAAGCATTTTGGATAAGGGATATTCAACCTGTATGCTATTCAAGCGTTCCCCTGAAAGTTGCAAGCCTTCAGTAGGTTCCAGAGATCCAAAATAGTTACACCAGACAGATTTTGCCAGTGCAGTTATTGTCTAGGTGGGGAGACAGATGTCTGGTACCTCCTACTCCACCACCTTCCCAATTGACCTCTGAACTATTTTTACAACTTTTCTGAAATTCTAAAAGGTATTCAAAATCTTAAAAAGTCTCATAGCAGAATCGCAGGCATCCACAGATAAATTGGTTAAGATTTATTCTGGTCATTTTTCTTGGAGAAATAAACATAAAGAGAAATCTAAGTGGGGAAGAAAAGAAAAAAAAAGATTTACTCTGGTTAAGCTTTGCCAGGACTATTAAAATCACAGTAGGTATCCTGATTTGCATGAAAACAGCTTGGGATTGTGTGTATAGCTACAGAAAATCAGTGGTTCATGTGGCATAACTCCTTACAATTTTTTTGACCTCAAATATCAAATTAAGCATAATTTACTTTTATATTAAAAAGTAATAGATAAGGATTTTAGAAAATTTGGAATGTAGTAAAAAGTCCAAAAAGCCCAGCAGTAACCACAGAGTTTTTTGTGTATGTGTATTAGTCATCTATTCATGTATATAGACATGCAGGTATAATTGTAATTAAAGTATGTTGTTGCTTTGTATATTACTTGCTTTTTTCACTGATTATAAAATAAACATTTTCCAAGCCCTTAAATATTATTTTGTAATATCCTTTTGAGCAGCTGCATAATATTACACTGTAGACCTGCCATATTTGCCCAACAAATTCTGTAATGTTAGGATATAAGTTATTTGGTTTTTAGTTTGTTTTGTTTTTACACTCCTAAATGCTATGTAGATTATCCTTTTAGGTACATTTTACACACACGAATGATTCTTTGCTAAGAATTAATTGGTTTATTCCTAGGTGTCAAATTAGAAATCAAAAGTATGTACATTTTTACATCTTTTGATTGTGTAATGCTCAACTGTCCTGAGAAAGATTGCACTAATTGACATTTCCATCCACAGTGTGTAAGAATGCCTGTTATCTCACAACCTCAGTAAACCTATATATTATACTGAACTTTAAAAAAAACTTTTGCCAGTCTAATGTGTGGTTTAATTTTTTCTTCATTATGATTACTCCTGAGTTTAAAGTTTCTGTTGAATATATTTACTGACTGTATTTAGTGAATTACTTATTTATATTCCTTGACAGTTTGGGGGGATTTTTTCCCTTTTTCTGCGTTGACTGGTGAGCATTATCTATTGACTAAAGCATATTTTAAGAGCTAGGCTTCTCTCTGTATAATGTTTTATCATTTCACGTTTTTAATTTTTTAGTAAACTTTTTAGCTTAGAATAATGTTAGATTTATAGAAAAGTCACAAAGATAATAAAGAGAGCTCTTATATATAATGCACCCAGCTTCTTCTGATGTTAACATTTTACATAAATATGGCATGATTGTCAAAACTAAGAAACTAACATTGTCACACCATTAACTACATTACAGACTTTATTTGGCTTTTGCTAATTTTTCTACTCATGTTTGTTTGCGTTCCAGGATCCAATTCAGGATACCACTTTATTCTTAGTATTGTTTTGATTGTTGAATGAACGTACTAATCTATTTAAAATAACAGTAATAAAATACCGTCATTTATGTTCATGGTTTTAGTTTTTAAATCATTTGTTGTTTATGGGCAGAAATTTTAGAATATTATGTTGTGAAGTTTATATGTTTTTGTTTCATTTTATTGGCACATATTCTTAGAAAACAGTTGTCACTTTGAGATTGAATAAATATTGGCCTATGTTTCTTTCTACAGTATTTTCATTGTGTTTTTAATACTTAAATATTTAACATGTTAAGAAAAGAATTTAATTTTTTCTGTTGTCTCACATCATTAATTGAATAATCACTTCTTTATTTCAAACGGTATCTTTAATATACTGTATTTTTAGTATTTTTAATACATGTTGGAGCTTACTCCAGGCTTTTTCTTTCATTCTTTTTTTTGTTCATTTTGGTCTTTTCTCTGCTTTTTCTTGTGGTAGTACCATCCTTTTTAAAAATGTTTTTATATGTGTAATTGCAAGTCACTTGTCCTGTTCCATCATTGTCAATTGCTAACCCAGACTTAAAAAAAAAAAATTCTGAGCTATTCGTGTTTGTCTTCCAAGTACATTTTAAAATTAAACCCCATTTTTAAAAGTAGATTCTCGGCTGGGCGCGGTGGCTCACGCCTGTAATCCCAACGCTTTTCGGAAGCCGAGGTGGGCAGATCACCTGAGGTCAGGAATTCGAGCCCAGCCTGGCCAACATGGCAAAACCCCATCTCTACTAAAAATACAAAAATTAGCTGGGCATGTAATCCCAGCCATTCAGGAGACTGAGGCAGGAGAATCGTGGAGCCCAAGAGGCGGAGGCTGCAGTGAACCAAGATCACACCACTGCACTCCAGCCTGGGTGACAGAGTGAGACTCTGTCTCAAAAAAAAAAAAAAAAAAAGTAGATTCTCTGAAATTTTAATTGGTATTACTCTAATCTTAGAGTTTAATTTGGGGGAGAATTGACATAATTGCCATGTTGAGTCATCCCATTCATCTAGAAAATGGATTATCTTTCCATTCATATTTCTACTTCTTAAAAAAAAAAATCAGGGCCTGGCACGGTGGCTCATGCCTATAATCCCAGTGCTTTGGGAGGCCAAGGCAGGAGAATTGCTTGACCCAGGAGTTCATGACCAGCTTGGGCAACATGGTGAAACCTGGTTCCTACAAAAATTAGCTGGGCACGGTGGTGCTTACCTGTAGTCCCAGCTACTCAACGGGGCCGAGGTGGGAGGATCGCTTCAGCCTGAGAGGTCGAGCCTGCAACTCCAGCCTGGACTGAACAGAGTGAGACCCTGTCTCAGAAAAACAAAGCAATGTTAGCCTTTTATGTTTGAAATGTGACAGTTTAGAAACGTTTTGGTATATTTTTACGTACTTTTTTTTTGGCTTTTTTTTTTTTAGGTTCTCTTTGGAAAAGTGAAGAAAATCCAACCTTCTGTGGATAAAAATAAAGTTTCTTTGGATCCTTCTCCTAACTTTGATTGCCATATGTCAAGAAATGCACCTTCTTTGAAAGATACCATTGAACTGCAAGCCTACAGTTCAGCAGTATGTTAATGGTTCATTTGATTTCTTGAAAAGTACATGTTTCACATTGTATGTTTTAAGACTTAAATTCCCAAAATGTTAAATGAAAATCTCTTAATTCGTTCAATATAATATCTTAAGCAAACAGTGAAAGCTATTTTAATATTTGTTGTATGGAATATTAGTGAAGAAGTTTGAAAAATTACATTTAACTCAGTTCAAAGTACAGTGGCTTCTTTTATTTAGATATTATATAGATTAATTACTAACTTTCAAAATATACCAACTTCTCATTTAAACAAGGCTGCACAGCAGGGTGACCATACTTAATAATAATGCATTATTTCAGAATTGCTGAGAGTAAATTTCCAATGTCTCACCATAAAAAGTGATGGGTGAGGTGATGGACATGTTAATTACCTTGATTTAATTACTCCTCATTGTATACATATATCAAAACACCACATTGTGCCCCACAAATATATATAGTTAAGATTTATCAATCATAAATAATATTAATTTTAAAAAACAAGGCTATTTTGAAACAAGATTTTGATCTTCTATACTTTGCAAAAGTAGGAAAAAGAAAAGGCTTATGTATTAGTCATCAGATGAAACAGTAATCTGTCATATTTCACTTATTCTGTGGACCTTTAATTTTATACAGAATATTAAATTATATATGGATTATATATAATCATATTATGATTAAATGAAGATAAATCTTCCCAATGAAAGTATATCCATGCACCCACATGTAAAACAGATTACCTATTGTTATTTTCCTAATTTTTTCTACCAAATAAAATAGAGTAGTTGAAACTTCATGCAAAACATTTAGCTTTTAATGAAAAAATATTTTTTATTTAAAAACGAATTGTGCCTTTTTCTGCAGACATTAGTAGCCTATCAAAAAAAAATTGTGGGGGAGAAAAAGGAATTCTGTACATCTTCAAAAACATTAGGGTTAAACAAGGCAGCTGGAGAAGTTTATATGGAAGTATATAAATAATATGCAATTATATTGATTTTTTAAAAATATGAGCTTATTCAACTCTGATTGCCAAAATTAATCAGCATGAACCTGTTTTCATCTTTCAGGTGTACTTCTATGAATACAGTGTCCTTTCAAAGCCTGTAGATAAACCTAGGCAATGTCTTCCATATGCTGTAGTAACAGTAAAATTTCTTGGTTCAAAAGTAGATAATGGACGCCTTATGACATCTTTGAGATTCCTCTCAACAGGATTTCCTAAGAGAGCTGGTAAGATACACATATGATTGTACTTGATTAATATTTGTGCTGGTCTTAAAATTTCTCAGTATTATTTACTGGCTGGACACAATGGTTCACACCTGTAATCCTAGCACTTTGGGAGGCGGAAGTGGGCGGATTACTTGAGGCCAACCTGGCCAACATAGCAAAACCCCGTCTCTAGTAAAAATACAAAAGTTAGCCAGGTGTGGTGTTGTGTGCCTGTAATCCCAGCTACACAGGTGGCTGAGGAAGGAGAATCACTTGAACCCAGGAGGTGGAGGTTGCAGTGAGTCAGGATCACACCACTGCGCCCAGCCTAGGTGACAGAGGGAGACCTTGTCACAAACAAAAAAAAAAAAAGAAAAAGATAAAAAAAGTAGTGAATCTCCAAGTAAAATAGTTGTGTTTTACCTGTTTTACATTTTATAGATCTAGAATCATACTGCAGGTATTTTGCTCAGTATTAGGTTTGTGTGATTCTTCCCTATTGATATGTGTAACTGTAGTTTGTTCATTTTCTTGGATAAATGGAAAGAGTATTCCATTGTGTAGACACACTGTACACTATCCTACTGAGGATGTTTGGGCACTTTCCAGTCTTCTTCTTATTCCAAACATTGCTATTTTAAATATTCATAAAAGTGTCTCATGGCATATGTGCAAGAATTTTTCCATAGAATATGTATTTACAACAGGAATGTTCAACTTAAAGACAACATCAAATGGTTTTCCAAAGTGGTTTGCATTAGATTACATAATCACTCCATATTCTTGTCAACACATACTATGCTTTTTTTTAAAGTTTTGTTTCTGCCAGTCTAATGAGTGTGATATGTTATTTCATTGTGGTTTTAACTTGTTTTTCCCTAATTAATGAAGTTGAGGATTTTTGTATCCTCACCAAACTTAGTGCTGTCAGACTTTTTCAGTGTTTTTGCTACACTAGTAGGTACAGCATTTAATTGCTTTTGTATTTTACTTTTCCTCAAATGCTAAGTAAGTTAGGTTCTTTTTTGATAGGTGTATTGGCCATTAGTTTTCCACTTTTCTGAAATTCCTGGTCACATCTTTCATCTGCTTTTTCTAATTGAGCTAATTTTTATTTCATTACTGATTTGTAGGAATTCTTTTACATATTGGATATTGGCTCTTGGGTCAGTTGTATGTGTTGCGAGTGTCTTCTCTGAGTTTGTGTCTTCGTATTCTCATTTTTGTCAAATGTTTTTTGATGAACAGGGGTTCTTAATGTCAGATATGTCTTTTTAAGTACTACTACATGTGTCTTTCATAAGAATACTTTTCCTAGGACTTGAAGATATTTTTCTGTTTTTTTAAACTTTATGGGTATGTTTTCCCATTTTTGTTTTATCTACCTGGAAATGACTTTGGTGTGCGATAGGATTCTTTTAAAGTCCCAGTTTATTTTAGTTTACATGTGCTAACCCAGTTGTCTCAGTACAGTTTATTGGAGAATCCATTTTTCCCACTGATGTATACTGCAGTACCACCTCTATAATATATCAGTTGGCTGCAGGTGCTGCAGGGATCTCTTACTGGACTCTCTATTCATCTCTTTGCCTATCCTTTTGCCATGAGCATCTTGCCTTAATTATTGTAACTTCATTAAAAATACTAATACCTGACTTTGTATGAGAGAGAAAAAATACTAATACCTATATAACTGATCCTTCATCTTTTTAAAAATAATTTTTTGTTTCTGGTCCTTTGCTGTCATAGAAATTTTAGAATCAGCTTATCAAGGTCTGCCAACAAATCTATCAGAATTTTGATTGAGATTGATGGAATCTATATATTAATTTGTGGAAAATTGTCTTCTTTATTGAGTTTTCTAATCTATTAACATTGTGTTTCTCCCATGTCAGTTATCTCTAACGTATTTCAATTTTATAATTTTCTCTATAATATCTTACATGTCTTTTATTTTCAAACATTTGATATTTTATGCTATTTTAAATGATAGCTATTTTGTTTTATTTTCTATTGTATGTCAATTCAGTTGATTTAAAAGTATAAGATTCAGTAGCTTTTAGCATATTCACAAATATGTGCAATCATCACCACAGTTTTAAAATTTAAGGTATTTTGTTTTGTTTTGTTTTTGAGACAGGGTCTCACCCTGTCACCCAGGCTGGAATGCTGTGGCACAACTTGGCTCACCGCAGCCTCCGCCTCCCAAGCTCAAGCAATCCTCCCGTCTCCACCTTCAGTTGCTGGGACTACAGGTGCGCACCACCACACCTGGCTAATTTTGTATTTTTTTTTGTAGAGACAGGGTTTCACCATGTTGCCCAGGCTGGTCTCAAACTCCTAAGCTCAAGTGATCCACCTGCCTCAGCCTCCAGAAGTGCTGGGATTACAGTCGTGAGCCACCGAACCCTGCCGAAGCTCACATTTTAAAGAAACTTCGTGCCGGGCACCATGGCTTATGCCTGTAATCCCAGCACTTTGGGAGGCCGAGGCAGATGGATTACCTGAGGTCAGGAGTTCAAGACCAGCCTGGCCAACAAGGTGAAACCCTGTCTCTACTAAAAATACAAAACTTAGTTGGGCATGGTGCCAGGCGCCTATAATCCCAGCTACGTGGGAGGCTGAGGCAGGAGAATCGCTTGAACCTGGGGGTCAGAGGATGCAGTGAGCCGAGATGGCACCACTTCACTACAGCCTGGGTGAAAGAGCAAAACTCTGTCTCAAAAAAAAAGAAGAAACTTTGTGCCCTTTAAAAGCTATTATATCCCTGACCCCCAGCCCTAAGCAACTACTAATGTACTTATTTGCCTAATCTGGGCATTTCATTTAAGTAAAATCATAGTTTTTGGACTTTTTTGCGCCTGATTTCTTTCACTTAACAATGTTTTCCCAGTTCGTCCATGTTGTAGCATGTATCAGTACTTTATTTCTTTTTATGCAGTACCATTTCATTGTATAGATACACCATATTGTATTTATCAGTTGGTCAACATTTGGGTTGTTTCCATCTTTTGACAATTACAAATTCTGCTATGAATATTCGCATACAAGTTTTTACATGGATATATGTTTTCATTGCTCTTGAGTACAGTATATCCAAGAGTGGAATTGCTGGGTTATATGAAGACTCTGTAGTAACTAATCAAGGAACTGCCAGACTATTTTCCAAAGTGGCTGCACCATTTAAATTCACATCAGCAGTGTCTGAGAGTTAGAATTTCTTCATATCTTTGTCATAACTTATTTGACTTTTTTATTATAGCCATCCTAGTGGGTGTGAAGTATAGTTTTCAGAATATGAGTTTTGCACTTCTTTTGTTAAGCTTATTTCTAAGTATTATTTGGTGCTATCATAAATGGAATTATTTATTTTATTAGTGTATTGTTCATTCCAAATGTATAGAAATATAATTGATTTTGTGTAATTATAGTGTATCCTGCAGTCTTGCTGAACTCGTTATTCTAATAGATTTTTTTTAGTGGTCTTTGGGATTTTCTATATATAAGATCATGTCATCTGTGAATAGAGAAAATTTTACTTTTTTCTTTCCAGTCTTTTTTTGCATAATTGCCCTGGCTAAGCACCTTCAGTAAGAGAAGTGGCAAGAGCAGACATCTTTGTCTGTATTCTTGAATTTAGGGGGAAGGCATCCAGTCTTTTACCAGGAAGTATGATGTCCGTTGTAGGAGTTTTATAGAAGCTCTTTATCATGTTGAGGAAATCTGCTTCTGTTTCTGGTTTATTGAGAGTTTTTAGACTATTGGATTTTCTCAATTGTTTTTTCTTTGTTGAGATGGTTGTGACTTTTTTTGTTGTTGTTTTTATCGATATAATGTATTACATTAATTGATTTTAGATGTTAACATCGCATTCCTTGGATCCCATTTGGTCATGGTGTATAATTCATTTTATATGTTCCTGGAATCAGTTTGCTGCAATTTTATTGGGGATTTTTGTGTCCATATTTGTAAGAGATACTGGTCTGTCGATTTTTTGTGATGTCTTTGTCTGGTTTTGGTGGTAGGTTAATATTGTTCCATAGGATGAGTTGGGAAGTATTCTATTCTCTCCTCTTTTATTTTTTGGAATAATATATGAAGAATTGGTATTATTTCTTCTTTAAACATTTGGTAGACTTCACTAAGGAAGCCATCTGGGGATGGGTTTTTCCTTGTGGGTAGTATTCAATTACTCATTCAGTTTCTTCACTTGTTTTAGGTCTGTTCTTATTTTCTGTTTCTTCTTGCATCACGTTCAGTACTTTCTGGTTTTATTGGAAGTTGTTCATTTCAGTTATGTAATTTATTAGCATACATTTGCTTATAGTATTCCTTTAATAGTCTTTTTATTTCTGTTAGTAGTAATGTCCCCTCTTTCATTTCTGAGTCTACTAGTTTGAGTCTTCTCCTTTTTTTTTTTTTTTTTGGTCAGTCAGGTTAAAAAGGTTTATAAATTTTGTTTTTGTTTTGTTTTGTTTTTCAAAGAACCAATTTTGGTTTCATTCTTTTTGCTATTCTATTCTCTATTTCATTAATTTCCTCTCTTTATTTTTTTCTGTTTGCTTTAGATTTAGTTTGCTGTTTCACGTGTGTGTGTGTCTTAAGATGGAAGGTTAGGTTTTGATTTCAAATATTTCTTCTTTGTTAATATAGGTCTTTATAGCTATAAATTTCTAGAAACAACTACTTTAGCTGTGTCCCATGACATATGTAATGTTGTAATTTTCATTTATCTCAAATTTATTTTCTAAATTCCTTTTGATTTATTCTTTAATTCATTGGTTTTTTTCAGACCATGTTTTTTATGTATTTGCAAATTTCCAAAATTTTTTTGTTAACCGATATCTATTTCATTCCATTGTAGTTGGAAAACAGTTTGTCTTATCTTTTTCCTTTAAGTTTATTGAGGTTTGTTGTATAACCTAGCATATAGTCTTTCCTGGAGAATGATCCATGTGCAACTGAAAAGAATATACAGTAGTCCTCCAGTATCTGTCAGGGAGGATTGGTTCCAGGATGTTCCATGAATACCAAAATTTGTGGATGCTCAAATTCCTTACACAGACTGGGTCAATATTTGCATATAACCTACACACATCCTCCCATATACTTTAAATTATCTCTATATTACTTATAATACCAATACCACATTTGTGCTATGTAAATAGTTGTTATACTGTGTTTTTTATTTGTATTATTTTTTATTGTTATATTGTTATTTTGTTGTGTTTTTATTTTAATTTTTCACCCATGATTGGTTGAATCCATGGATTTGGAACCCACCAATACATAGGGCCAATTGTACTATATTCTGCTGTTGCCAGGCAGGGTGTTCCATAGGCTGTTAGGTCTACTTGTTTTATAGTTTGTTCAAGTGTTCTCTTTCCTTGACGATTTTACCTACTTGTTTTATAGGTTGTTCAAGTGTTCTCTTTCCTTGACGATTTTACCTAGTTGTTCTGTCCACATTTCCCCTCAGCCGGAAGGCTTATATTAGAGACAACAGATAGGGACCTTTCCCTACTTCTACTGCAGCCCATCCGCAATGTATTATAGCTTATTGCTTTAATCAAAGGATGATGCCTTTCAGGGTGATTAACTTTAGAGAAAACCTATATTATGCCCACAGTCATAGCCACATGTGTTGGCTATCAGCATATTCATCTCCCTCCAGAGTACACCAGACTACACTATCTAATACAGTAGCCACTAGTCACATGTGGCTCTTTAAATTTAAATTAATTAAAATTAAATAAAATTATAAATTCAATTTGTCAGTCACACCAGGCACATTTCAGTGCTCAGTAACCACATGTGGCTAGTAGCTACCACAGATAACATTTCCATCATCACTGAATATATGGTACTAATAACTATTTGGTAGTGTACTTTATTGATTGTAATCTGGTTTTATTAGTTTCCGTATTGCATTGAAGATGTTGGATTTGTTGGGGGTTTTTTCTTACTACTTTTTTATTTCAATTTTTTTTTATTTCCGTAGGTTTTTAGGGAAACAGGTGGTATTTGGTTACATGAGTAAGTTCTTTAGTGGTGATTTGTGAGAGTTTGGTGCACCCAAGATGTTGGATTTGTTCTGCAATTTTTAATTGTCATTTGATGAGAATGCCAACAAAAAGGGAATAAAGTAAAAATGCCATTATCAAGTTTAAAGAGATAGCATAATATAGAGATTAAGATTCTACTGTTAATAAACTGTGTGATTCTGAGCAAATTGTTCTTAATTTCACTTCCTCATCAGTAAAATGGAAATGTTATTAAGATTAAATTAATGTGGCCAGGCGCGGTGGCTCACACTTGTAATCCTAGCACTTTGGGAGGCCAAGGCGGGCGGATCACGACTTCAGGAGATCGAGACCACGGTGAAACCCTGTCTCTACTAAAAATACAAAAAATTAGCCAGGCGTGGTGGCGGACGCCTGTAGTCCCAGCTACTCGGAGAGGCTGAGGCAGGAGAATGGCGTGAACCCGGGAGGCGGAGTTTGTAGTGAGCCGAGATCGTGCCACTGCACTCCAGCCTGGGCGACAGAGACTCTGTCTCAAAAAAAAAAAAAAAAAAAAAAAAAAGATTAAATTAATGTACATAAGGCACTTAAAACAGGACCTGGCATCCATGTTAAGTATTTTATAAGTTTTTGTTAACATTATGTGTATGTTAAAATGCATTTGTCACACATTTGTAAAAGTGAAATTATTAAACTTAAGCAGTTAGGGTTTTTTTGCTTGTTTGTTTTGAGATGGGGTCTTGCTCTGTCACCCAGGTTGGAGTGCAGTGGTGCCATCTCGGCTCACTGCAACTTCCGCCTCCTGGGTTTAAGCAATCCTCCCACCTCAGCCTCCCAAGTAACTGGGACTACAGGCAATGTGCCACCATGCCTAATTTTTGTATTTTTAGTACAGACAGGGTTTCACCATGTTGGCCAGGCTGGTCTCGAACTCCTGACCTCAGAAGATTCACCCAGTCTAAACTTAAGTAATTAGGTTTCTTTTCCCACATTGGTATATATTAATCCATCTTTTTTTTTTCTTTTTCCTTGAGACAGAGTCTTGCTCTGTTGCCCAGGCTGGAGTGTAGTGGTGTGATCTCAGCTCACTGCAACCTCCGCCTCACGGGTTCAAGGCGATTCTCCTGCCTCAGCCTCCCGAGTACCTGGGACTACAGGCACACACCACCACGTCTGGCTAGTTTTTTGTATTTTTAGTAGAGACAGTGTTTCACCATGTTGGCCAGGCTGGTCTCAAACTCCTGACCTCAAGTGATCTGCCCGCCTCCGCCTCCCAAAGTGCTGGGATTACAGGCATGAGCCACCTTGCCCGGCCATATTAATCCATCTTAATCTTTGTAATAGCTGCATAACATTCTGTCTTCTAGGACATTTGTTATAACGTATGCTCATAGTAATTTTATCATTTTTGATATGTCATTCATTTAGCCAGTCTCATATTGATGTATAGTTAGGTTTCTAGCTTTTAACTGTCTTGGGTTATTTTACTGAAGATCCTTGTCCATAGAACTTTGGGTATTTATACAAGTTTATCAGAGTAGTAAATGAGTAAGAATGGGTTTGCTTTGAATGATTACATATAACATATCGATGAATACTGTCAGCTTGTTTTCCAGGAAATTTGTACGAATTTATACTTCCATGAACCATATTAAAAAGTGCTTACATTTGTATAGTATTAATCATTCTTTCAAATTTTTGCCAGTTTAAAAAGTTTTTTTTAATGGATCTTACTGTTTATTTAGTGGGGTTGGGGCATCTTTTTGTGTTTGTTGACAATTTTACCTATTTTTTTCCTTTGAGTATTGTTTATCATGCATTTTGACCTATTAAAATAATTTATATGTAATTGACATCATGTTTTACTTTTATGTTTTCTGATTTTCAGTCATGCTTTAAAAGTACTTTCCTATGCCAAGATTATAAAAACATCCATTCATTTTTTTTTCTAGTACTTTTATGGAGTTTTTTAAATAGCAAATTTTATTTTGGTGTAGGTGTAGGAATCTACATTTCCATTTTCTTCTCCATTATACTCCCCACTCTAAAGAACTACATCTCTTCATATGTGGTCATATTTCCATGATAGCTTACTGTAAGTAATAAAATCACAAATGGTAGTAGAATTTAGAAATCTTCAACATAGCTCTCTTACTGTGAAAAAGAACCTTATGGTACTTGTCAGTGACATGATAACTTCATATGTTTTATAGATGTCACAAGCAATTTCTCATCATTAATTCCTGTTTTAGGAAAGGTATTTTTAGGGTGTTACTTAGCTATGAATGTTTGGTGAACATTTATGAGAAATTATTATTTACTTGTTAAATATGCATTTTGTAAATTCATTATTACATGAGGTTTCTTAGGAAATTTTAGAAATAATTTTTATAAATTATTTTAAAAGTTTGCTTTTATTTTCCAGGTTTTTATTTGCATATATTATTTGCAGGAACATTCATTTCACTGCAAAAGACGAATAGTAGTTTGCTTTGGCTCCTGGGAAAGATTTTATGGAACTTTTTGGGTTTTCCTTTCCCTGTTTTTCCACCTCACACCCCTTTCCTTTCCTTTTTTTTCTCCCATGGTAGAGGGAGAAGCAAGGTAATGGTAGATAGAGGGAGATTATTTTGCCTTCTTATATGTACATGCTATTATTAAACATCTGAATATAGAAAATTAATATAAGAGAGCTGTTATCTATTGGGAAAATGTTTTTATTCCTATTTAGTTTTATTCTTCCCCACCTCTGCCCCCAGCCCCCGAGATGGAGTCTTGCTCTGTTGCCCAGGCTGGAGTGCAGTGGCGCAATCTCGGCTCGCTGCAACCTCCACCTCCCAGGTTCAAGCAATTCTCCTACCTCAGCCTCCTGAGTAGCTGGGATTACAGGTGCCCACCACCACACCTGGCTAATTTTTTTTTTGTATTTTAGCAGGGTTTCACCCTGTTGGCCAGGCTGGTCTCGAACTCCTGACCTCATGATCTGTCCACCTTGGCTTCTCAAAGTAATGGAATTATAAGCGTGAGCCACCGTGCCCAGCCCCTATTTAGTTTTTTTCTATTATTTGTCATTTTTTTTCTATTATTTGTCAGAATTAAACTTTTATGGCAAATACTCTTTATTAAGGTTTCTAGACGAGGAGAATTTCATGCTACGTCATTTATATTTTATTTATTTGTTAATCATCCCCTTCTCTCTTTGCTTTTTCCGTTGAAAACACATTTTAATCATCATTAGGTTATTAGCTGAACTTTCAATTAAAATTACTGGACACAATGTACCTGTATTAATAGTTGTCTATAGAAACACTTTTTTTCAAATTTGTCTTCCTTATTATTTCCACAGAAAGGACATGCTCTCTGAATAACTGTACAGTGGCCAAAAGATTTGGAAAAGGAAAAGATGCTACTGTCACCTTTGTGCATTTCAAGAAACCTGTAGATCCATTTGTTCAAGAAAACTGTTTATGCAATGCACTAAATTCAGAGATAAATCCTTTCATCTCAAATATTTCTAACTCCTATGGAAATGTACAAAATGGAAACATTTCTATACCTGAAACATACAGTGGACAGACAGAGCACAGTTTAGCAGAAATTAGAGACACTTCTCAAGTACTTGCACATGATTCAGACATTTCACTTATGCCCAGTGATGCCAAAGACAGTGTTAATGGTGACCTTTTGTTAAATTGGACAAGTCTTAAAAATATTTTAAGTGGTCTTAATGCTTCTTTTCCTCTTCACAACAATACTGGCTCAAGCACAGTCACTACTTCAAAATCCATCAAAGACCCAAGACTGATGAGGAGAGAAGAAAGTATGGGAGAACAGAGTAGTACTGCAGGCTTAAATGAGGTTTTGCAATTTGAGAAGAGTTCAGATAATGTTAATTCAGAAATAAAATCGACACCATCTAATTCTGCCTCCTCCTCAGAAGTTGTCCCTGGTGATTGTGCTGTTCTTACTAATGGTTTGGATACCCCTTGCTTTAAAACTTCTGTTAATGATTCACAATCTTGGGCTCACAACATGGGCTCTGAGGACTATGACTGTATACCTCCCAATAAAGTTACCATGGCAGGGCAATGTAAGGACCAAGGTAATTTTTCCTTCCCAATTTCTGTGTCAAATGTAGTGTCAGAGGTTGAGAACCAAAACCACAGTGAGGAGAAGGCTCAGAGAGCCCAACAGGAGTCCGGTAATGCTTATACAAAAGAGTACAGTAGTCACATTTTTCAGGACTCGCAGTCTTCTGATTTAAAAACAATTTATCAGACTGGTTGCCAAACGTCTACAGTTTTTCCACTCAAAAAGAAAGTAAGCATTGATGAATACCTTCAAAATACTGGAAAGATGAAAAACTTCGCTGACCTGGAAGACAGTTCCAAACATGAAGAAAAGCAAACTTCATGGAAAGAAATTGATAATGATTTCACTAATGAAACAAAAATCAGTCCAATAGATAATTACATTGTTTTGCACCAAGAATACAAAGAGAGTGAGAGTCATAATTCTTTTGGGAAAAGCTGTGATAAAATATTAATTACTCAAGAGTTAGAAATAACAAAATCTTCTACATCTACCATAAAGGATAAGGATGAACTAGATCATCTAGCATTGGAATGGCAAATTACTCCAAGTTTTGAGAGCCTGTCACAAAAGCATCCTCAGCACTCTGTGGAGTATGAGGGTAACATTCATACAAGTTTAGCCATTGCTCAAAAGCTAATGGAACTGAAATTGGGGAAAATAAATCAAAATTATGCTAGCATTATAACTGAAGCTTTCCCGAAACCAAAAGACATACCCCAGGCCAAAGAAATGTTCATTGATACAGTTATTTCATCTTATAACATAGAAACAGCTCATGACAGTTCAAATTGCAGCATAACTAGAGAACATATATGTGTCCATAGGAAAAATGAAAATGAACCAGTGTCATTAGAGAACATTCAGAGAGACTATAAAGAAACTGCTTATGTTGAAGATAGGGGTCAGGATCACAATCTGTTCTGTAATTCACAGTTAAGCAATGATATATGGCTGAATGTTAATTTCAAAAAACAAACAGATAGAGAAAACCAAAATGAGGCTAAAGAGAATAGTGCTTCATGTGTAGAAAACAACATAGAGAACATATATGGAGACAAAAAGCAGGATTCTCATACAAACGAAAATTTCAGCAATATAGATGAAAAGGAGGACAAAAATTACCACAATATAGAAATTTTGAGTTCTGAAGAATTTTCTACTAAATTTAACTTGATTTGCAGAGAAGATAATGCAGTGTCAGCAGCAACTGCATTATTAGAGAGTGAAGAAGATACCATTAGTGCCGTGAAACAAAAAGATACTGAAAATACTGGAAGAAGTGTAGAGCATTTGGCTTCCACGACATTTCCCAAAACTGCAAGTTCTTCAGTGTGTGTAGCCTCAAATGCTGCAATACAGATAGCTAGTGCTACTATGCCTGCATTAAGCCTAAATAATGACGATCACCAGATATACCAGTTTAAAGAAACTTGTTCTTCTGAAAGTCCAGATTTTGGTTTGTTAGTAAAACATAGGGTTTCTGATTGTGAAATTGATACGGATAAAAATAAATCACAAGAATCATTTCATCAATCAATAAATGAGAACTTAGTTCTTCAGAGCATTGAATTGGAAAGTGAAATTGAAATAGAATTAGAAGATTGTGATGATGCTTTTATATTTCAACAAGATACACATAGCCATGAAAACATGCTTTGTGAAGAATTTGTGACCTCATATAAGGCTCTGAAGTCTCGTATCAGTTGGGAAGGTCTGTTAGCACTTGATAACGGGGAGATGGAAGTTTTGGAAAGCACCACAGGAAGGGAGAATAGTGATCAGCATTATTCTAAGGAAAGTAACTATTTTTATTCCTCTACACAAAACAATGAAACAGAACTTACCAGCCCAATTTTACTTCCAGATCTACAAATTAAAATTACTAATATATTTAGGCCAGGATTCAGCCCGACAGCTGACTCCCTTGCATTGAAAGATAGTTTTTGCACACATGTAACTGAAGCCACAAAACCGGAAATAAATAAGGAAGATGGAGAAATTCTAGGATTTGACATTTATTCCCAGCCTTTTGGTGAAAATGCAGATTATCCATGTGAAGATAAAGTTGATAATATAAGGCAAGAATCAGGGCCAGTGAGTAACTCTGAAATCTCCCTTTCTTTTGACTTGAGTCGTAATACAGATGTGAATCATACGTCTGAAAATCAGAACAGTGAATCTTTGTTTACTGAACCTTCTAATGTCACAACAATAGATGATGGAAGCAGATGTTTCTTTACAAAATCAAAAACTGACTATAATGATACCAAAAATAAAAAGGAGGTAGAATCAAGAATTAGCAAAAGGAAGCTACATATATCTTCCAGGGATCAGAACATACCACATAAAGATTTAAGACGACATAAAATTTATGGGAGAAAGAGGAGGCTAACCAGTCAAGACTCATCTGAGTGTTTCTCTTCATTATCCCAAGGACGAATTAAAACATTTTCACAGTCAGAAAAGCACATTAAGAGTGTCCTAAATATCCTAAGTGATGAAGCATCTTTATGTAAAAGCAAATGTCTTTCCAGAAAACTAGACAAAGCAGTTGTTCACTTAAAAAAAGCTCATAGAAGAGTTCACACATCTTTGCAGCTTATAACTAAAGTAGGAGAAGAAAGAAAGGGCCCATTACCAAAATCATATGCAATAATATGCAATAATTTCTGGGAAAGTTGTGACCTTCAAGGTTATAGTTCTGTGTCTCAAAGAAAATATTATTCTACTAAGCATTTTTCGTCAAAAAGAAAATATGACAAACGGAGAAAGAAAAGAGCTCCAAAAGCTGATATTTCTAAATCATTAACCCATGTGTCAAAGCACAAGTCTTATAAAACAAGTGGAGAGAAAAAATGCCTTTCTAGGAAAAGTATGGCTAGCAGTGTCTCAAAAAGTCACCCCACCACCAGTCACATGGGAGAATTTTGTAATCAAGAACATCCTGAATCACAGTTGCCTGTATCCTCCACATCCCAAAGTACAAGTCAGTCAGTTTATTATAATAGCAGTGTAAGCAATCCAAGTTTATCAGAAGAACATCAGCCCTTTTCTGGAAAAACTGCATATCTGTTTTCCCCAGACCACTCAGATGAGAAACTAATAGAAAAAGAAAATCAAATTGATACAGCATTTTTATCTAGCACTAGTAAATATGAAAAGCTTGAAAAACATTCAGCAAATCATAATGTTAAAGATGCAACTAAAGAAAACAGTTGTGACGCTAATGAAGTAATAAATGAAAGTAATTCTGTATCTTTAAGTTGCATAAAAGAAAACATAAATTCTAGTACAGGCAACGATTGTGATGCAACTTGCATAGGTCACACAAAGGCGAAAACTGACGTACTTATATCAGTCTTAGATTCAAATGTGAAGCACTTTTTAAATGATCTCTACCAACAAGGTAACCTTATTTTATCTGATTGTAAAAGAAACCTGGAAGTAAAGTGGACAGATCCTATTGAGAGACCCAAACAAAACATTATTACAGGAAACTTCCTTATGGGCCCATTAAACCTAACTTTGATAGCAAGTAAAAAGTACAGTATTCCTCAGTTATCAGCCGCTGCAGTGACAGATAGTGAGGGAGAATCTTCAAAATCTTACTTGGATAAGCAGAGAATTCTTACTGTAGATTCTTTTGCAGCATCCAGTACTGTACCACACTGTGAGCAGAGCTGTAGAGAAAAAGAGCTTCTAAAGACAGAACAGTGCTCTTCAGGTAATTGCCTCCATACAGATGGGAATGAAACAAATGTCACTGAGAATTATGAGTTGGATGTAGCATCAGGAACTGAAGAAGATAAAAGTTATGGGGAAAATATAGTGGAATTATCTTCCAGTGATAGTTCTCTGCTTTTAAAAGATAATGTAAAAGGCTCCTCTTCAGAAACATGTATTGTGAAGAAAGACACTGAGGACAGAATAACGTGGAAAGTTAAACAAGCGGAAAAAGCAAAAGATTCTGTTTACAAAAGAAGCATGACTGAAGGATCAACTGTTAATACTGAGTACAAAAATCAAAAGAATCAGATCTCAGAAGAATCCTGCTTAAATGAGAAAATTATTACAACTAACTTGATTGATTCCCATCTGAGCACTAAAAATACTACCACTGAGTCAGTCCCTTTGAAGAACACAGTTTCTAATCCGCTTAACAAAAGAGAGAAGAAGGGGGAAATTAAAGTTAGTAAAGACTCGCAGTCTGACTTGACATTACATTCAGAAATAGCCTATATTTCCAAACCAGGAATTCTAGGAGTTAATCATACGCCTATTTTACCTGCCCACTCTGAAACCTGTAAAGTCCCTACTCTTCTGAAGAAACCTGCGTCATACGTGAGTGATTTTAAAGAAAAACATTGCTCAGCTAATCATACGGCCCTTATAGCTAATCTATCTCAAATTTTGCAGAGGGCAGATGAAGCATCATCTTTGCAGATTCTACAGGAAGAAACTAAGGTTTGTCTAAATATTCTCCCTTTATTTGTGGAAGCTTTTGAAAGAAAGCAAGAATGTTCAGTTGAACAAATCCTGATTTCAAGAGAACTGTTGGTAGACCAAAACCTGTGGAATAATTGCAAACACACATTAAAACCATGTGCTGTTGACACTTTGGTAGAACTTCAAATGATGATGGAAACAATTCAATTCATTGAAAACAAAAAAAGGCACTTAGAAGGTGAACCAACATTGCGAAGCTTGCTTTGGTATGATGAAACACTGTATGCTGAGCTTCTTGGAAAACCACGTGGATTTCAACAGCAGTCTAATTTCTATCCTGGTTTCCAAGGAAGATTAAAATATAATGCATTCTGTGAGTTACAGACTTACCATGATCAATTAGTTGAATTGCTTGAAGAAACAAAAAGGGAAAAGAATTCATACTATGTATTCTTAAAGTACAAACGACAGGTTAATGAATGTGAAGCCATAATGGAGCATTGTTCCGATTGCTTTGATTTTTCTCTTTCTGTTCCATTTACCTGTGGAGTTAACTTTGGAGATAGTTTAGAAGACCTGGAAATCTTAAGAAAAAGTACTTTAAAGTTGATCAATGTATGTGGGGACTCTCCTAAAGTTCATTCGTATCCAGGAAAACAGGACCATCTGTGGATTATCATAGAAATGATCTCCTCAAAGGTTAATTTTATTAAGAACAACGAGGCAGTACGTGTTAAAATATCTCTTTATGGTCTGGAACATATCTTTTTTGATGCTGCAAAAAATCTTGTTTGGAAAGAGAGAACACAATCCTTCAGCAAAAAATACTCACAAAAGAAGGACGAAGAAAGGCTACTCAGAGTGAATAAATGTGCCTTTTCTAAGTTGCAGAAGATATATGATACTTTGTCTAAAGATTTAAACAATGAACCAATTTCCCCTATTGGGCTTGAGGAGGATACTATAATTGCTTCCAGAAAGTCAGATCATCCAATAAACGAAGCAACAATTAGCATAGAAAATTCTAAATTTAACAGTAATTTGCTTGCACACCCAGATATTTGTTGTATTAGTGAGATATTGGATCAGGCTGAATTTGCAGACCTTAAAAAATTACAGGATCTCACCTTGAGATGTACAGATCACTTAGAAATTTTAAAAAAATACTTTCAGATGCTACAAGATAATAACATGGATAATATTTTTATCACAGAAGAAAATGTTTTAGACGTGGTGATAAACCACAGCCATGAGGCTATCATTTTAAAGCCTGAAGCTATTGAAATGTATATTGAAATCGTCATGGTCTCAGAAACAATTCACTTTCTTAAAAACTCAATAGCAAAGAAACTAGACAAACAGAGGTTTCGAGGTATGCTTTGGTTTGATTTGTCACTTCTTCCTGAGCTGGTTCAGTGCCAAGAAAAAATGGCTTCTTTTTCATTTCTTAAAGATAACTCAACAGATGTTTGCCTTTGGAAAGTGATAGAGACTGCTGTTTCCGAACTTAAGAAAGATCTGGATATTATCTGCAAATATAATGAAGCTGTTAATTGCTCATATGCTATTCATTTGCTCTCAAGAGAACTTCAAGAACTTTCAGAAATAAAAAAGCTTCTGAAGAAGTCCAAGTATTTTATTTCCACATATATTGACTTTGTGCCATATATAGCATCCATAAATTATGGAAGCACTGTGACAGAGTTAGAATACAACTACAATCAATTTTCTACACTGCTGAAGAATGTAATGTCTGCCCCTAGGAAAGATTTAGGAAAAATGGCCCACATTAGGAAAGTCATGAAAACGATTGAACATATGAAGATGATATGTACTAAAAATGCTGAACTAACCATTTCCTTTTTCCTATGCCAAATGCTGTATAACAGAAGGAAGATTTTACAGCTGAAGAGAAAAGAAAAAATGAATATTCATATTGTAAAACCTGGGGAAAATAACAATAAATTTAGTATTTCTACGATGTTGCCCCCAGTATCAGAGTGCATAAACAAAAACATCTCAAATTCCTCTAAAAAACGACCGAGCACTGTAGACAAATGTGAAGACTCTCAGGAACAACAGCAAGATACTACTGTTTCCAGTTGTAAAAAGCTAAAGGTATGTATGTTTTAAAACAAAACTTTTATAAGTATTCTTTTTGAAAACAAGTCTACTCATAAGCAAACAAGTAGTTTGCAGAATTCTAAAAGTTAAGAATGGTAAATTGTCTGGCAAAATGAATTTACTAACTATAATATTGATTTAAACAATTCATATTATCTATAAAATGATACATAAATTATATGTATAGGTGATACCTTGCAAATGTCTACTTTTTAAACGTAAATGTTTTAACTTAGAAAACATTTTTTGGAAGGACGTGGATTTTAAAAGCTTCTTAAGAAGGAGTTCAATATTATGAACACTGAGTGAGAGACCAATATTTATTGAGTAGCTTTTCTGTATAACAAGCCTATGCCCCGTGTAGTGAATATTAAAAAGTGGCTAACAAAGCCTGTCTTCTTGACCATTATCATCCCAATGGAGAAATAGGACAGATATTTTTCAAGAGATAATTATCAAGGAGTTAAAAGTCCTATATTAAATACATTTTAACAAATTGTCTAAAGCATTTAATATGTACTTGGCACTGATTTATTTTATACACAACCCCTTATGATGTATTTCCTATTATCTTACTTCAAGATAAGGAAAGTGGGACACAGAGGAAATGACTATCCTGGGGTCACAGAATTTAGTAAATGGGAGCACCCAGATCTAAACCAGGCAGTCTGGCCTCCAGAGCCCTTATTGACAGTTGTCTCAGCACTGCTCTAAGAGGTTTCTCTTACAGCTGTTCAAGACTTCTTAGTTCAGAAGTTTAGAAAAGAAACCTATATGCAGCTGGGTGCGATAGCTCACGCCTGTAATCCCGGCACTTTGGGAGGCCAAGGTGGGCAGACTGCTTGAGTCCAGGAGTTCAAGACCAGCCTGGGCAACATGGTGAGACCTCATCTCTACTAAAAATAACAAAAAATTAGCCAGACATGGTGACATACACTTGTAGTTCCAACTACTTGGAAGGTTGAAGCAAGAGGATTGCCTGAGCACAGGGGCGGAGGTTGCAGTGAGCCAGGATTACACCACTGTACTCCAAGCTGGGAGGACAGAGTAAGACTCTGTTTCAAAAAAAATTTATATATATAATTTTTAAATTAAGTCTGGAACAATTTAACTTAGTGGGTAAGAATAATCTATGGATGGAGAAGGTTATTTCAGATTATGGAATATCTTAAATTAGACCTAAGGAGTTTGACCTTCATTCTGTACACATTGAAGTGTACTGTCATATGAAATTCGTTTTTCTAATGATTTAACAGATAGATTCTGAGTATATAAGTCATATATGTCTTCTGTAGAAGTATATATAGTAATAAGTAGTAGTACTGTATACAATACTACTTACAGTAATAAGTCAGCCATGGCTTAGAAAAAGGTGTTAGAAAGGAAAATTCATATTGACAGACATGACTTAAAGAATCGATGGGGCTTAGCAACTGGTTTACAAGAAAGGACATAAAAGAGGGAGGGAATAGTCATAAATGGACTTCAAGGTTAGTTTTAAGGGCCAGGTGTGGTGGCTCTTGCCTGTAATCCCAGCACTTTGGGAGGCTGAGGCAGATGGATCACCTGAGGTCAGGAGTTCGAGACCAGCCTGACCAACATAGTGAATCCCCATCTCTACTAAAAATACAAATATCAGCTGGGTGTGGTGGTGGGCACCTTTAGTCCCAGCTACTCTGGAGGCTGAGGCAGGAGAATCGCTTGCACCCAGTAGGCGGAGGTTGCAGTGAGCCAATATCGCATCACTGCACTTCAGCCTGGGTGACAGAATGAGACTCCATCTCAAAAAAAAAAAAGATGTGAGGATAAGAAGAATGTTACAAATTTATTTTTTTTAAAGTTACTCCAAACATATATGAAATATGGGAAGTCTAGGAGAGTCACTGCTTTCTGCAGGGAGGTGATAATTAATTAGTTTAACTTTAGATGATGGCAGAACAAGCAATTAAAAATATCTAATATTGAAATAATAATTATTTTTATTATAGTTTGTCATCACTAATGAAGATTTTCTTTGTATCTTTTAAACACAGGTAGACATGAAAGATGTCACAAAAATCAACAGAGAAAAGGCAACATTCAAGCATCCAAGGTAGGAGTTCCCATCAGCCCTATGTGGAAAAAAAATTGAACAAAATTGGGCAAATACTAAACAACTAGAATAACACAATTATTTATATAATGTCATTGGATCATACATGTAACTTAGGGGATGAGAGTAAGCTAAGGAAAAAGAAATTTGTTTGAAATTATACAGTTTCTTAAATTCAGCCTAAGGAGTTTGAACTTCATTCTGTAAGTATTAAAGGCTAAAGTCATGTGAAATTTGCTTTTTCAGTGATGTAAAGGTTAAGAATATTCTGAGTATAGTTAGAAGTAAGTCAGCCAAGGCTTAGAAAAGGGTGATTGTTTCACAGAATAAGAAAGAAAAATTTATATCTTTACAAGATACGATACAATACATAAAGAATTGATGGGGCTTAGTAAGTGGTTTACCAAAAAAAGACTTCTAAAATCAAAAAGGGACTTTTAAAAATAGGACAAGTGATAAGATTACTTTTTTTTTTAACTTGTGCATTTTGAAGAATGGCAAATTTCAAAACTGGCATTTTAATGAGAACCTACATAGTCATCAATTCCCATACGATACTTTGAGCTCTCAGAAAGTATAATTTTGATTTTATCGCATTTCTGGTGATGTTTCAGTGAGGCTGAATTCAGTGAAATATTTGGCTTTTAGTTTGTTGAGTGGGATATGTGAATTCCAGGCCAAAGAAGAATTTCTCTTGACTACAGAGAAATAGTACTACTTTTCCCTTCTCAACATAATATTTCCTCATACAATTTAAGAATTTCATAAAGCACCAAAAAATCTAATTACTGGCTGGGTGTGGTGGCTCATGCCTGTAATCCCTGCACTTTGGGAGGCCAAGGCGGGCGGATCACCTGAGGTCAGGAGTTGGAGATCAGCCTGACCAACATGGTGAAACACTATCTCTACTAAAAATATGGAAACTAGCCGGGCATAGTGGCGGGTGCCTGTAGTCCCAGCTACTTGGGAGGCTGAGGCAGGAGAATCATTTGAACTTGGGAGGCGGAGGTTGCAGTGAGCTGAGATGGTGCTGCTGCACTCCAGCCTGGGCAACAGAGTGAGACTCTGTGTCAAAAAAAAATTCATATATATATATATATATATATATATATATATATATATATATATATATGTTTTTATATATACACACATACACATACATATGTGTGTATGTGTGTGTGTATATATGTGTGTGTGTGTGTGTGTGTATATATATAATTACCTCAGGGACCTATATTAACTGTCTGGCTTTAGACAATTCCCATTTGGATGCTTCTCTCAGCTGCTTGAGACTGTCTGAATTTAGCTAATAATTTCAAGGCTATTAAATTGGGCAAGAAATTTTGGAGATCTGCTTTTCCTATTCTCAAAGATGAACAGACAAAAACGTATTAGTCTGTTATAACAGAGAGGGAAGAAATCTTTGGTGGGAAGGCAGGGGTTACAGCTGGTAGTTTACCAGTTATTTATAGCTATTTACAAGTAATGAAGATCATCAGGCAGGAGGCATATGAATTAAAAAACTATACTGAACAATTGACTAGTGATAGTTTTCTACTTTTAAAAGCCTCCATTAGAAAATGTCTAATGCACAAAATAGTTTATTACAATATTGGAAATATATTTAAAATGTAGAGCATATCATCTTCAGTAGGAAAAGTATCTAAATCCAAACCACGGCAGTCAAACTAGGAAAATGTTAACTTGTATAGTGCCAATAGAATGGGAAAACGTAAAGCTTAAGAACTCTTCCCCTGGATAAAAATTTCAAATATATATTTCCATTAAAATTTTATGACCCTATATATTTAAATTCATTTTTATGTATGTGTTGCACCTAATAGGACTACAGGATCTCATCCCAAAAGCGAAAACAAAATAGTACCAAGTTCATGTGACAGTCTGAAAAGAAATCATTTAACGCCAAAAAAGGTTGAAATGCAAAGATCACTACCTGGCTCACTTTTACCCTTAGAGAACCCAAAAGACACTTGCGCATCAAAGTCGGAAAGCAAAATAGACTTAACTGTTTCATCTGATCACTTCAGTGGACAACAGGAAAATTTAAATAGCATGAAGAAAAGAAATGTGAACTTCAGTGCTGCTGAAACAAAAAGTGATAAGAAAGATTGTGCTGCTTTTGCAATTTGTGACCAAAAAAGTGTACATGGCACATTTTCACCAGACCATGGGACGCTTTTGCAGAAATTTCTTAAAAATTCCCCAGATCCCACCCAAAAATCCTGCCTTTCTGATATAAACCCAGAAACTGATGTTTCTCTTGTGCCTGATGCGTCGGTGCTCTCAAAGCCAATTTTCTGTTTTGTGAAAGATGTCCATCCTGATCTAGAAATGAATGACACAGTCTTTGAACTTCAAGATAATGATATAGTAAATTCATCTATTAAAAATTCCTCATGCATGACTTCTCCAGAACCCATCTGTATCCAGAACAAAATTCCTACTCTGCAGATAAACAAACTACAGCCTACAGAAACTGAGTCAGAGGACAAATACATGAAGGATACATTGAATCCCAATACTGTGCATACTTTTGGAGCATCTGGGCATATAACCCTTAATGTGAATCAAGGAGCAGAGTACTCTCTTTCTGAACAACAGAATGACAAAAATTCAAAAGTCCTAATGCAGAATGCTGCCACATATTGGAATGAACTTCCACAGTCTGCATGTAACCCAACATATAATTCTTCTGAGCATTTATTTGGAACTTCATATCCATACTCTGCTTGGTGTGTTTATCAGTACAGCAACAGCAATGGCAATGCCATTACCCAGACATACCAAGGGATAACATCATATGAAGTACAGCCATCTCCTTCTGGGCTGTTGACCACAGTTGCAAGTACTGCCCAGGGCACACATTCTAATCTTCTGTACTCTCAATATTTTACTTATTTTGCGGGGGAGCCACAAGCAAATGGCTTTGTGCCAGTGAATGGGTATTTTCAATCTCAAATACCTGCTTCTAATTTTCGGCAGCCAATTTTTTCACAATATGCTTCTCATCAGCCATTACCACAAGCTACATACCCTTACCTTCCTAATCGATTTGTGCCTCCAGAAGTTCCTTGGGTTTATGGTGAGTTTCACATTTTAATGCCTGCTTTATTGAGTTGTTACTTTTAACTGTGTCCATTTATGTAAGTGAAATTCACAGTAAGTGATGAGTTAGAGGGAGAAAGAGCAGTCATTTTTCTGTACAGATTTGTAGAATTGCCAATGGATTGGGCAGAGAGGGTGGAAATCTAGTTGTCAAAAATTCAAGAAAAAAAACTGTCAGTATCACTAATATGTCCTTGACATGTTTGTTCTTCAATAAAACCCAACAGTAGGGAATAGTTAAGTAACTTATAGTTAATCGATACAGTGGGGCTGGGCGCAGTGGCTCACACCTGTAATCCCAGCACTTTGGGAGGCCGAGGGGGGCAGATCACGAGGTCAGGAGTTCAAGACTAGCCTGGCCAACATAGTGAAACCCCATCTGTACTAAAAATACAAAAATTAGCTGGGCATGGTGGCGCACACCTGTAGTCCCAGCTACCCAGGAGGCTGAGGAAAGAGAATCGCTTGAACTCAGGAGGCAGAGGTTGTGGTGAGCGGAGATCCGCCACTGCACTCCAGCCTGGGTGATAGAACGAGACTCGACCTCAAAAAAAAAAAAAAAAAAAAAAAAAAACGATACAGTGAAATGTGACGCAACCATTAAAGGGTTTTTAATGACCTGACTTTTTTAAAACTATATCATGTAAACTTACCTACATAAATGTGGAAATAGATAGAAATACTGAAATAAAATATGCCAACATTTTAATTTGTCTATCTTCAGGTAAAAACTTTAGGGTGTGTAGAGAATTTTTTCTTGCATTTTCTAGATTATCTACTGTGAAACATACATTATTTTGATAATTAGAGGAAAAACAGAGTAAACTAAAGTGGGAAAATAAATTTCAATTAGACAAAACAACCCTTCTGTTTCTCTCAGTTATCTAATACAGTATCTTGGTGTAAGTGAATAGAGTTAATTAAAATGTATTGGTAGAAGAACTTGATAGTTTGCTCTGTAACATGAAATTGTTTCTTTCTAAAATGCTTAATTCTACTTGTAAAATAGCATGATTAGAATATAGGTGTTTTAATGAAATTGAAATGTGCATTTATCAGAGTTAAAGCAAAATATAAAAACAATTATCCTGCAGAAAAAGTTACCCTAACAACCAAATATTCTACCATTGGAAATAAAATGTACTTTAAATAAAAATAACCATCTTTTAATATCTTATACGGAGAAATGCAAGATAATTCTTTTTTAAGGCAGGGTCTCATTCTGTCACCTAGACTGGAGTCCAGTGGCACATTCATAGCTTACTGAAACCTCAAACTCCTGGGCTCAAGCTGTCCTCCCATTTCAGCATCCCAAGTAGCTGGAACTACAGGCATGCATCACCATGTCCAGCTAATTATTTTTAATAATTTTTAATTTTTATTTTTATTATTTTTAATTTTTAGTAGAGGCTGAGCACCTGTAATCCCAGCACTTTGGGAGGTGGAGGTGGGCAGCTCACTTGAGGCAAAACATGGCGAAACCCTGGTATCTACTAAAAATACAAAAATTAGCTGGGAGTGGTAGTACACACCTGTAATCCCAGCTACTCAGGAAGGTGAGGCATGAGAATCACTTGAACCCGGGAGGCAGAGGTTGCAGTGAGCCGAGATCGCGCCACTGCACTCCAGCCTGTGTGACAGGAAGACCCAGTCCCAAAAAATATATATATATTAGTAGAGAGGAGGTCTTACTGTGTTGCCTAGGGTGGTCTCGGACTCCTGGCCTCAAGTGATCCTCCTGCCCCTGCCTTGCAAAGTGTGGGATTACAGGTGTGAGGCATCAGGCCCAGAGAATTTCTTTTAAAAAGTTTCTAAGCCCTGGATATTGTTACAAATGGATATGTAGAAAAAACTGAGAGGCCGTAGGACATAGGTCTGAATTGGGCAAGAAGCAGCCTATTGACATAGTTCTGTTTCTAACTGAGAAATCTGATCACATCAGCTCCTCTGCTTTGGAGTTATATCACTGATTCACTATAACCTACTGGATAAAATTCAAATACTTTAGCCTGGAATGCAGAGCCCTTCACAGTCCTCTATGTCCAACGTCATCTGCCACCACTTCCACCTCTGCATTCAAGCCACGTTGAACAACTTAATGTTCTCCCGTAGGACCATAGAACAATCTCTCTCGTACTTCTGTAGTACTTTTTGTGTGCTTTTCTCACATAAGGTATGTGAGTATTAGGTGGTATTGTAATAATCTCTGTATCTTTCCCTTTCTTCCCTGCCTCAGTAAATGACTTTACACAGGGCTAGAAATTTTTCACCTAAGAACATAAGGAAAACGATAAAAGAGGGGAAAAAAGGCTGGACGCAGTAGCTCATGCCTGTAATCCCAGCACTCTGGGAGGCCAAGGCAGGCAGATCACTTGAGGTCAGGAGTTTGAGACCAGCCTGGACAACATGGCGCAACCCTATCTCTACTAAAAATACAAAATTAGCCAGGTGTGGTGGCACATGCCTGTAATCCCAGCTACATGGGAGGCTGAGGCAGCAGAATGGCTTGGATCTGGGAGGCGGAGGTTGCAGTGAGCCGAGATCACGCCATTGCACTCCATACTGGGCGACAAGGTTAAACTCTGTCTCAAAAAAATAATAAAAGGGGAAAAAGAAAGCAGGAACAAAGTCCATGACTCTGCTTTTTCCTTTTTTATTAATTTGGTATCATTGCTGATGCTGTAATGATAAACACCAAGCATAGTAGATGGGACAAACCTATGAATTAAAGTGGACACTTTAATTTCTGAGATAGGAAATCTTGATTGTAATTGTTTCAGAAGGGTTCTCATAGTTTGGGCTTTCTTTTGTTCTTAATAGTTAAGCTATTTGTGATATTAAAAAAGATAGCTCTGGAATCAAGTCCAGCTATGGCTCTCAAATAATCTGTATTGTTACCTCCTTGGTTATATTAGTCCAATTAAAATAAAAGAAAAAGAAATAATCATTTACTTAATATCCAAAAGTCACTCTAAAAAAAATTAAGGAGGCAATTGCAATGTTATAAGCACATCTTTGAGTTATCATGAGTGTAAATAATCCACAGAAATCACCTCTCACACTTACAGGAACTGCATTCTTAAAAATGTGAAAATCCCTTGGACCCATTTGTCACTATATTGTTCGTGGTGCTTGTATTCAACACCAGAAAATGGAACTAAAGGACAGTGCTTGAGTGAGCCCTGTGTCCAGCCACATTATGTCCTTTATTACATTTAATTTCACAGGATAGCTTAGAGAGATGCAGAGGTGCTGTTCTTTTACAGATGAGGAAACCACTCCTCAGAGAGCCTTAAATTAACTTTCATAGGACCTGATGACCCTATGGCTACTTAAGGGCAAATAAGCACTTTGATCTCTTTAGCTGTAATTTAAACTCAGGTTCTTTCCACTATAGTATCATGTACCATTAGTCTAAATTATTTATTTAAATCTTTGTGGTGTTTTTTCTTCCAGCTCCATGGCACCAAGAATCCTTTCATCCAGGACACTGAAAATAGTCTTCTGTCTATTGAAATAAGACATAACAAGTTTTTCCAAATATTTTTTACTTATATATTTTTTAACATTTAGCGATTTTTAATGTTTGTAAATGTGGTAGGAAATATAAATCATATGGTCCTTTGTAAAATATACAAATAATCTAACACATATCATATAGGACATCAATTTCTAACATCTGATATACCAGAATTATTTCCATGCAATTATAAGGGGAGGGTAATATGATCAAAGTTAAGCAATAGTGGTAAAATCTTTAAAACTAGATTCTTGCTTCTGATATGTTTCAATACATTGTTGATGGCATTGTGCCATTTGAGCTGAAAGCAGGATTTTTTTTCATTAGTCATCAAACCAAGAATTTTATAATTCTTGACACTTTATTATATAATTTACAATTCTATGCCAGATATGGCAAATTTCTTCAATTTCAGTATTTTATAGTTTCTACTTGTAAAATATTTTTAATAAGAAAAATTGGTTTGCATAATCTCAGTGTTTCCTTGAGTAGAGATGTTTTAAATGTTTATGTTGGAAGCAATTGTAGTTAATTATATTGGCAATGAAGCACTTTCAATGCCTTTTTCTACAAGAGCCATTTCCAGAAGATTATTTTGTTTTTGGATTTCACAATTTAAATAGTTATTTTAATGATTTTCTAGCAAATAATAGAGAATAATGTTTATGCTTATGCAGTTAGTCTTTATTACAGTAATTTAAACAATGTGGCACAAACATAGTTTTTTCATGCTCTTGTCATAGACTTTTCTTTTTAACCTTCTGCAAAAGTAAAAACTCTCTTAGTAATAATCATCATAGGGCAACAGGATATAGTATGTAACTGCAGTCTTGAGCTGTCTCTTTTCATGTATTACCTTTCTTGCTCAACAGCTATTCCTGTTTTCTGTAAGATCCTAGTCAGACAGAGCCCTCACAACTGGATAGACCTTTCTCAAGGGTTAGCCCTAAAATGTGACAAGAGAATTGGTTTGGCTGAATCACAACAAATAACTAGCAAAGCTTCAGTGCTTTTGCAAACTTTTTATGTAAGCAAACTTTTTGTGTTATCTGGCACAGGCCTTTGAAAAGACTATAATTCTACTTTGTTTAATGTAGAGTAACTAATTTTTCAATTTAGAAAGACAGTGAGAATCCCCAGGATAAGCCTCTTTATACTCACTTAAACCAACTGGGATGGAATTCAGAATACCTAAGCTGCTTCTTTAACATAGAGATCTTTAAAAAGGGAAGGTCAAGCAAAGAACTGTAACCGAAAGAAGTAAGAGATTTGAAAAGACGATAGAGTTAAAACAATATTTAAAAAACATTTCTATTTGGTCCATGCAGTTTTATTTGAAAATAGTCTGTCAAAATCAGAACTCCTGAACAACTTTGAAAGCAGTAATATTAACTGGTATTCAAAAATGAATAACAGCCAAAAATGAATAACAGCCATTTGATTTATGTTTCCCTCAGTCATTTGGTTTATGTTTGGTTATGGCAAGATGTTACAGCATTTATAGTTAATACTACTACTAATATGTAAACCAAAAGTTAAATATTCTAGTTAAGGATTGTTTCTTTAAACAACTTTCAGATTCTGTTGACATTGTCTTTGTGGTATTTTTATTTCATGGGTTTTAATTTCTCTTAAAGACTTACCTAAATATTCAGTTACATTTTTAAAAAATCTGTACGTGACAGAATATTAAAACATGGAATATTTTTGCTTCAAGTGTGTTTTTTGATTCTAAATAGTAGAAGAAATTAAACCTGAGCAAATTTTATAAGAAAAAAAAACCTGTTTGTAAATATTGTTAAAGAAGAATTATTTGAATAAACTGGATTCCTTCTAATTTCAGGGTTTTTTTCTTTTGTGTTTCTTGAATAGTAAGCATAAATATGGGCCAGGCCTGGTGGCTCACACCTGTAATCCCAGCACTTTGGGAGGCCAAAGCAGGCGGATCACCTGAGGTCAGGAGTTCAAGAGCAGCCTGAGCAACATGACAAAACTCCATCTCTACCAAAAATACAAAAATCAGCCTGGAGTGGGGGCAGGCGCCTGTAATCCCAGCTACTCAGGAGGCTGAGGCAGGAGAATCACTTGAACCTGGGAGGCAGAGGTTGCCATGAGCTGAGGTCGTGCCACTGCACTCCAGCCTGGGCAACAGAACAAGACTATCTCGAAAAGAAAAAAAACGTAAATGTGAGTGGTCCTTGGTTTACACATACCCATTACATTAAAAACAATCCATGAGGAACTGACCTCATGAGTATTTTAGTTCATTTTCTGTTGCCGTAACAGAATATCACAGGCTGGGTAATTTGTAAAGACAAGAAATGTATTTGGCTCACAGTTCTTGAGCCTAGGATGTCCAAGATCTAGGGGGCTGCCTCTTGCGAGGGCATAAAATGGTGAGAGAGAGCAAGAGATTGAGCTCATCCTTTATAGGGAGGCACTGCCACAGACTAGCCCATTCCCACAATAACGACATTAATCTATTCATGAGAGCACAGCCCTCATGGCCTAATCACCTCTTAAAGGTCCCACCTGTCAACAGTGTTGTCATTGGGGATTAACTTTCCAATGTAAGAACCTTAGGGGACACGTTCAAACCATAGCAATTAGATAACTAAATAAACTGCTGGAGCACCTTTTCCACTCCAGCTGTGTTTGCCTTCACCTCTATCCCTCTTTGCTGTCACTTTTAAAAACACATTACAGCCTGCGGTTTCATATGAAAAGCCAAAGTCCCCGCCCTTATATAGTTGTCAATTCCAGTCAAGGGAGACAAGTAATACATACATATTAAGTAATTTTGCATCATGAGAAGTGATATGTTAAAAAAATAAGTAATGGACTAGAGAATGGATGACACATAAGCTGAGATTTGTTGATGGCATCTTTGACAAGGTAAACATCCATGAACCTAGCAAAGTAGGAGGCTATGCCCCATTTTCCCAATAAGATTTCACCAAAACAGTATTTTGGTAAGATTACGTAAGTTGTTAGAGATATAGATGAAGTATTATGTCAGTTGTATGTTATATAAGAACATTGTAGAATATTTTTGCTTATGTTTTGTAGGATAATTTTATTGTCCTTTCATCCATCTTTGACATCAATCTCTTGGTCATCATTAGAGACTTCTTTAGCTCTCTGACCGTGTTTTCCAAAGCATGTCATCCTGTTATCAAAGTTTGAAATAATATCCTTTTTTTAAATGTATTTTAAAAATCTGTGTGTAAATACATGCAAAACTGCTATTAATTGAGGTCATTTCAAACTAATATCTTCCCCAAAGACATTACCTAGAGTAATGGCAGCATAAGGCTTCAAAATAAGATTAAGCTTCCATACCCTTTTCAGTGGGGTAGTTTTAGGGGGGAATATAACTTATATTCAGGCATATATGGTATTTTTAAACTACTAAGTTTGTCGTTGTTGATGCTGTTTTTGAGATGGAGTCTCACTCTGTCACCCAGACTGGAGTGGAGTGGTGTGATCTCAGCTCACTGCAACCTCCACCTCCCAGGTTCAAACGATTCTCCTGGTTCAGCCTCCTGAGTAGCTGGGATTATAGGTGTGTGCCACCAAGCCCAGCTAAATTTTGTGTTTTTGGTTGAGACGGGGTTTCACCATGTTAGCCAGGCTGGTCTCAAACTCCTGACCTCAGGTTATCTGCCCGCCTCAGCCTCCCAAAGTGCTGGGATTACAGCCGTGAGCCACGGCGCCTGGCTGCTATTAAATGTTTGTGCAGGCATAGTTTTCTTTCAATTCATATGATATTTATATTGCTTGAATAACGTGGTAAGTAGACTGGAGTCTACTTAGGAGTTGAGGGTGGGAGAAGGGAGAGGAGCAGAAAAGATAACTATTGGGTGCTGGGCTTAATACCTAGGTGATGAAGTAATCTGTACAATAAACCCCCATGGCACAAGTTCATCTATGTAACAAATCTTCACATGTACCCCCGAACCTAAAATTAAATTTTAACTAAATGTTGGCCACAAAAAAAATTGTTCAGATTTGCAGTGATGCAAAGATGGAAAGATAGTTCTTACATGAGATTGATTAGTAGTCTTTTTGAAACACCTGGCAAGTGATAGTAGATGCTATATATATAAGTCTGTTGTGCCAAACCAAGCCTGGTGTGATAAGGGCCCTGCCTAGAGGGTGGCCGTGGGAGTGGAGGATTGGATTCCAGAGGCATTTGAGAAGGAAAGAGTTGGCAGGATTTTGTGACTTGATATAAGTCGTAACAGAGAGGAAAGCAGCCCAAATGACTGCTAGTGCACCGTAATTTATGTTTTTAGTGTATGAAGAAAGAATAATTTTAAAAAACAGTAACTCATTCTTCGCCAGAACTTGATAGTTCGAATTTATATACTTTGTTCTGTATATGAGAAGGATAATAAAAATTGTAAAAAAATTTTTTAAAAAGGAAAGGAGTTAATTTCTTTAGCAAATTATGAAAGCATATAAATTGCATGCACTAAAAAAATCATCATGTAACTATGGCAACTTAAAATTCAACTGTATTTATTTAGTTATTTAGTTATTTATTTACCCTGAGACAGGGTCTGGATCTGTTGCCCAGGCTGGAGTGCAGTGGTGTGGTCATGGCTCACTGCAGCATTGAACTCCAGGACTCAAGCAGTACTCCCACCTCAGCCTCCCAAGTAGCTAGGACTCCAGGCTCACGCTACTGCGTCCAGCTAATTTTTAAATTTTTTCTAGAGACAGGGTCTTGCCATGTTGCCCAGGCTGGTCTTGAACTCCTGGCCTCAAGTTATCCTCCTGCCTTGGCCTCCCAAAATGTTTGGAATACAGGTACAAGTCACCATGCCTGGCCAAAATTCAACTGTTTTAAAAAGTGTTATATAAAAAGCGAACTATGATGCTAACCAGGACTGTGAATGTCATAAATTCAGCTGTCAAAAGGTGTATTAAAGCTGGGAGCAGGGGCTATAAACTTTTATTCTATTATAAGAGGAATAAAAAAGAACTACAAACAAATATTGGAACCTTTTTAGTAGGTTTATTTTTCACAGTGATAAATAGGCATAGCAATTCTGAAACCATTTTATGTGTATGATAGAATTGAGCAAAGGAGTAAATGTCATTTGATATTTTGGGGAGTCAGAGGTCTCATTGTGGAAGAAGGGAGGATAAGGAAGAATCCTCAAAGGGATGGAGATTTCAAAAGTAAGATATCAGGGCCGGGCACAGTGAATCATGTCTGTAATCCCAACACTTCGGGAGGCCGAGGTGGGTGGATGACTTGAGGTTAGGAGTTCGAGACCAGCCTGGCCAACATGGTGAAACCCCATCTCTACTAAAAATGCAAAAATTAGCAGGCGTGGTGGTGCATGCCTGTAATCCCAGCTACTTGGGAGATGAGGCGTGAGAATCGCTTGAACCCGGGAGGTGGAGGTTGCAGTGAACCAAGATCGTGCCACTGCACTCCAGCCTGGGCAACAAAGTGAGACTCCATCTCAAAAAAAAAAAAAAGATATCAGTATAAATTAAGCTCCCTTAAGTATTTCACTAAGTACTAATTTATGCATTGAGATAATTACCCAGACTGTGTGGGGAAAGAACCATCAGGAAGCTTTGGTGAAACAATCCCCAGGGCTCATCTAGGGCTGGGAATAGTGGGTGTTCCCACCAGCCAGGGTGGAAAGATCTTGTAATATAGAAAACATACAGTAGGGTCTTCAGAAGGATATCATCTAAGTATGGGGCCACATTAGCCCATGACTAAAAGCTGCTCTGAATCCTCCTTTAAAAGCTCAAAAGCAAGCCTTGCCTTGAAAAAAATCCAACTAATTCCAAGTAATCACACACAAGAACAAAGCTCAACACTACTTAAATAACCACAATGAAATCCAGCGATCAACAGTGTAAAATTCATACTATCTGTCATCTAATCAAACATTACTAGGCAGGCAAAACAACACAAAAATATGACCCATTACCAGGAAAATAAACAGTGAAATGATAGAAATGATGAAATTACCAAACAAGGATATAAAATCAGCAATTATAAATATACTTTATGTGGTCAAGAATATAGAGGCAAATAGGCCAGGCGTTGTGGCTTATGCCTGTAATCCCAGCACTTTGGGAGGCCAAGGTGGGTGGATCACCTGAGGTCAGGAGTTCAAGCCAGCCTGACCAACATGGAGAAACCCTGTCTCTACTAAAAATGAAAACTAACCGGGCTTGGTGGTGCATGCCTGTAATCTCAGCTACTCGGGAGGCTGAGGCAGGAGAATCGCTTGAACCCGGGAGGCGGAAATTGCAGTGAGCCGAGATCGCACCACTGCACTCCAGCCTGGGCAACAAGAGTGAAACTCCGTCTCAAAAAAAAAAAGAATATAGAGGCAAATAAAATAGGAGACAAATAGAAGATATAAAAAGTATGCAAATGGAACTCTTATCTGAAATGAAAAATACACTGTATGGGATAAAGAGAAGATTAGACAATGAAGAAGACAAATCAGTAAACTTAAGAACATAACCATAGAAACTATTCAAAATGAAGCACAGAGACAAAAAAGAATGGGGAAAGGAAAACAAAACACCAGAGAATCAGTGCCCTGTGAAACAATACAAAGCAGTTTAAGGTCAAGAGGGGAGTGAGGCAGGAACAGAAAAAAAGATTTTGAAGAAATAATAGATGAAAGTTTCCAAACAATCAAAACTATAAACCCACAGTTCCAAGAAGCTCAATGAACCCAAAGAGAAATAAAGCCTCAATAACACACTCACCTGAATGTCTAAACTTTTTTTTTTTTTTTTGAGACAGAGTTTCGCTCTTGTTGCCCAGGCTGGAGTGCAATGGCGTGATCTTGGCTCACTGCAACCTCCACCTCCTGGGTTCAAGCAATTCTCCTGCCTCAGCCTCCCAAGTAGCTGGGATTACTGGCGCCTGCCACTATGCCCAGCTAATTTTTTGTATTTTTGATAGAGATGGGATTTCACAATGTTGGCCAGGCTGGTCTCGAACTCCTGACTTCAGGTGATCCACCTGCCTTGGCCTCCCAAAGTGCTGGGATTACAGGCGTGAGCCACTGCGTCTGGCCGAATGTCTAAACTTTTAAGACTGGCCATACTAAGCGCTGGTGAAGACCCAGTGTAACTTGCACTCCCATGCACTTTTAGTGGGAATGCTGAGTTGTACAACCACTTTGGAAAACTGCTTGGCAGAAACTTTAAGCAATCACCATATGACCCACAAACCCACTCCTAGACATTTATTTACCCAAGAGAAATGGAAACATATATTTATCCACCACTTGTATTTGAATGTTTATAGCAATTTTATTCATAACCAAAAGTTGGAAACAACCCAAGGATGCATCAACCTATGAATGGATAAACAAATTGAATAAATTACAGGATATCATGGAATACTGGACAATAAAAAGGAACAAACTAATACACCATTTGAATGAGTCTCAACAATTATACTAACTGAAAGAAACCAGACACAGAAGACTTATCCCATTTGTATGAAATTCTAGAAGAAGCTAAACTATAATGTTAGAAGGCAGATCCTTGGTTACTAGGGGTTATGGTTGGGGAAAGGACTGTCCCAAGGAACATGTTGGAAGTTTCAGGTTGAGGGAAGTGTTCTACATCAGTGTTGTGTGGTGGGTGATAGGTAGATGACTGTATGCATTTGTTACAGCTCAACTAAATATCCATTTTAAATTGGTAAATAATTATTGTACATAAATCATACCTCAATAGAGTTGATTTTTTAAAATATACTATATTTTATTGAATCTAAGATTCCATTGATTATGAGATTAATTTTAGAGACAAAAAATGGTAACTTAGACTCAGCAAAATATGATATACAATATGGGAAAATTCAAATGGAAATTAAACCAAGAATCCAGGTAACTCAAGAGTATTAGAATAAACACCAGAAAACTGAGTTGTTAGGGTAGGACCCTTCTGTTAATATCAGCAAGTAACATGTATATGATCAGAAGGTATATATATATTAGGCTAAATGAGGTATTACTGCTTAATGGGTACAGAGTTTCTGTTTGAGACAACGAAAAAGTTCTAGAGATGGTACTAGTGATGGGTGCACAACATTGGGAATGTACTTAATGCCACTGAATTGTTTGCTTAAAAATGGTTTCATGGTAAATGTTTTATTTTACTCCAGTAACCAAAATCTTCAAAGAAATTGGGTTGTAAAGAAATTTTAGTAGAAAATCTACAATAAATTATGTATTTCACTTAAATATATAATACAATATTCATGCAATCTTGGGATGGGGAACCGTTCTAAACAGGCTTATGCAAAATTACTGACAGGATTGGTGAGGGAGAGAATAGAGGGAGAACAGGCTCTGAGTCAGACCACATGGCTTCATTTCCCAGCTCCAGGTGAGTGAACTCAGCCCCAGTCACTTGTTGCCTCTACCTCAGTATCCTCATTTGATTAATCAGAGTGATAATCATAGCCTACTTCTTAGGGTTGTTATGGAGGGAATAAATGAGGTAATAATCTAAGCACTTAGAACACCACCTGATTCATAAGTGCTCTTATTATGATATAAAGATTTAAAACTTTTGTATGGCAAGACTCAAACAAATATAAAATCCAAGTAACACACTGGGTGAAATACTGTAAATATACATACTAAGCAGCCTACAAATCAATAATAAGGAAGTGAAAAACCTAATAAAATAACAATTTGTACACACAAACACATAAGTGTCAAAAAATAAGAACAATTGCTAAATCCCACTAACCACAAAGTATATAATCTTTCAGCTACCGTTTGGTCAAAGCTTAAAATGAATAGTATCCGATTGCATCAGTCAAGTTTATGTTCCAATGTAAATAACAAAGCCCCCAAATGTAGCTTAAATATAAGTTTTATTTTTCTCCTATATGAAATCTAGAGGTACCATATGATCCAGCAATTCCTCTCCTGGGTATTTATCCAAAGGAAATGAAATCAGTATGTCAAAGAGATATCTGCACTCCCGTGTTTATTGCAGCACTATTCACAATAGCCAAGATATGGAATCAGCTTTCATGTCCATCAATGGACAAATTAATAAAACATGGTGTATATACACTGTAAAATATTACTCAGCCATAAAAAAATGAAATCCCGTCATTTGTGGCAACATGGATGAACCTGGAGGACATTAAGTGACATAAACCAAACACAGAAAGACAAATACCACATGGTCTCATTCACAGGTGGAATCTAAAGGAGTTGATCTTATAGAAATAGAGAGTCGAATAGTGGTTACCAGAGGCCAAGGAGGAAAGAAAGAGTGGATGATGGGGAGAGGTTGGTCAACAGGTACAAAATTAGAGTAAGATAGGAGGAATCTGTTCTGGTGTTCTGTAGCACAGTAGGGTGACTATGGTTAACAATATTATAGTGTATATTTAAAAATAGCTGGAAGAGGGGATTCTGAATGTTCTTGCCATAAAGCAATGATAAATGTTGGATATGCTAAAAATCTCAGATGATCATACAATTACATATATCAAAATATCACACTGTGCCCTATAAATACATACAATTATGTGTCAAATAGAAACAATAATAAGAAGAAGAAATCTATAGGTAGACAATTCAGAGCTATTATTCTGGCTTCACGTTGCTATCAGGAACCCAGGTTCATTTCATCTTTCTTCTTGGCCATCACTAATACATGGCCTTTACCCTCATCCTTTCTTTACCTAGTGGCCTCCAAATGGCTATTCCATCTCCAGCAATGAGTACCAGGCAGGAGCATTTTGAGTTTCCTCCCTTTAAGAAGTTTTCCTGTAGAACCCTATTGAGCTACTTCTCCTTACATCTATTTGCCAGAATGATACCCCATGGCCACTCCTAGGTAATTTTTCAAGCAGGGCATTTTTTTACTCCAAACGATTGTTAATGAAGAAATGTGCTAAACTATTAATAATCTGTGCTATACCAATACTATCTCCAATGAAAAATATAGTATCAAAAAAATATATATGGTATCCAAATCATAATGAAAACATAAATATACCTTTTAAAAGAAAGAGTAGATGAAGCAAATATTGAGGACTTCCTTAATGGGGGGGCCAATCCTAAGTGCTGAAAACAACCCTTTTAGTCATACTGCTAGTTACCATTTATCTTTTTTTTTTTTTTCTTTTGAGATGGAGTCTCACTCTGTTGCCCAGGCTGGAGTGCAGTGGCGCAACCTCGGCTCACTGCAAGCTCCGCCTCCCGGATTCACGCCATTGTCCTGCCTCAGCCTCCCGAGTAGCAGGGACTATAGGCGCCCGCCACCACGCCTGGCTAATTTTTGTGTGTGTGTGTATTTTTAGTAGAAACTGGGTTTCACCATGTTAGCCATGATGATCTCGATCTTCTGACCTTGTGATCCACCCGCCTCGGCCTCCCAAAGTGCTGAGATTACAGGCGTGAGCCACCGCACCCAGCCAGTTACCATTTATTCTTATGGCCCCTGCTACTTTGCTCAAATTTACTTAAATATTTACTGAGCACCTACTCTTTATAGATGTTTTGATATTACAAATCTAATATACATATGGATCTTGTGGTCAAGAGATTTATAGTCTAATAAGAAAGAGGAGAAATGCATGCAAATAACTAACATGAGATAGCAAGTGTGTGGTAGAAAAAAGGGACTGATCCAAAGGTATGAAATTTTAAAGTGTGCAGAGATGAGTTTCTCCTGGTATAAGAGCAAGAGAAAGGGCTTCATGGAAAAAAAAAATAGTCCTGACACTTGTCCTTGAAGATTGGGAAAGATATCACTGCATGGTGGCTTACATCTGTAATCCCATCACTTCGGGAGGCTGAGGTGGGAGGATTGCTTGAGCCAAGGAGTTCAAGATCAGCCTGGGCAAGATAGACCCCAGCTCTACAATAAATTAAAAACCCAGCATGGTTATGCATATCTGTAGTCCCAGCTACTCTGGAGGCTAAGGCGGGAGGATCACTTGAGCCTGGGAATTTGGGGTTATAGTGAGCTCTGATCATGCTGCTGCTCCCCATACTGGGTGACAGATTGAGACCCTGTTTTTTTGTTTTTTTGTTTTTTGTTTTTTGTTTTGTTTTTTTGTTTTTGTTTTTGAGATGGAGTCTTGCTCTGTTGCCAGGCTGGAGTGCAGTGGTGCAACCTCGGCTCACTGCAACTTCCATGTCCTGGGTTCAAGCAATTCTCATGCCTCAGCCTCCCGAGTAGCTGGGACTACAGGTGCCCGCCACCATGCCCGGCTAATTTTTGTATTTTTAGTAGATATGGGGTTTCACCATGTTGGCCAGGATGCTCTCAATCTCCTGACCTCGTGATCCACCCACCTTGGCCTCCCAAAGTGCTGGGATTACAGGCGTGAGCCATCACGCCTGGCCTCGAGACCCTGTTTAAAAAAAAAAAAAATTGGATAGGTTTATATATATACAGAAAAGGAAGAGAAAGAGAAGTGTTTCGTATGGAAGTAAATCATGAATTAAGGGATGGCGCCAAGAAAGTGGGGGGCAAGTGAGAGAATAGTAACTGATTGAATAAAATAGATTAAAGCATTTCCGAAAAGTTATTATGATGGGGTAATAAAGTGGCTATCAGGATTGAAGTGACTAAAGCTTCTTCTCTGGGGGTTATTTTTAAAAGTTTCCCAGACTTCAGGGGAAAAACTGGAGCCTTCACTGTGACTGAGAAATCAGCACCTGAGCTGTGTGTCAGTCTTTAGAAAACCAGGGCCTCAGCTTTTTGAAGGCCTGTAGTGGGTCCTGGAACTGATAAACAACTTCAGTAAAGTTTCAGGACACAAAATCAGTGTACAAAAATCAGTGCCATTTCTATACACCAATAACATTCCAGCTGAGAACCAAATCAAGAACACAATCCCATTTACAATAGCCACCAAAAAAGTAAAATACCTAGGAATACAGATAACCAAGGAGGTGAAAGATCTCTATAAGGAGAACTACAAAACACTAGTGAACGAAATCACAGATGACACAAATGGAAAAATATTCCATCCTCATGAATTGGAAGAATCAATATCATTAAAATAGCCATACTGCCCAAATCAATCTATAGATTTAACACTACTCCTATCAAATCACCAATGTCATTTTTCACAGAATTAGAAAAAACTATCTAAAATTCATATGAACCAAAAAAGAACCTAAATAGCCAAAGCAATCCTAAGCAAAAAGAATAAAGCTGGACGCATTACACTACACAACTTCAAACTATACTATAAGGCTACAGTAAACAAAACAGCATGGTACTGGTGCAAAAACAGACACATAGACTAATGGAACAGAATAGAGAACCCAGAAATAAAACTGCATACCTACAGCCATCTGATTTTTCAACAAACTAAACAAAAATAAGCATGGGGAGAGGACTCCCTACTCAGTAAATCTTGCTGGGATAACTGGCTAGCCATATGCAGAAAAATGAAACTGGACCCCCAGCTTTCACCATATACAAAAATTAACTCAAGATAGATTAAAAATTTAAATGTAAAATTTCAAACTATAAGAATACTGGAAGAAAACACAGGAAACACCACTGTGGACATTGGCCTTAGGAAAAAAGTTATGATTAAGTCCTCAAAAGCAATTGCAATAAAAATAAAAACTGACAAGTGGAACCTAATTAAAGGTGTCTGCATAGCAAAAAAACAAAAAACAAAAAACAAAAAAAAAACAAAAAAAGCTGTCAACAGAGTAAACAGACAACTTACAGAATGAGAAACTATGCATCTGACAAAGGTCTAATATCCAGAATTTGTAAGGAACTTAATCAACAAGCAAAAAACAACCCCATTAAAAAGTGGGTAAAAGTCCAGGCATGGTGGCTCATGCTTGTTTATTATTATTATTGTTATTTTTTTGAGTCAGAGTCTCACTCCATCACCCAGGCTGGAGTGCAGTGGCGTGATCTCAGCTCACTACAACCTCTGCCTCCCAGACTCAAGTGATTCTCCTGCCTCAGCTTCCCAAGTAGTGGGGATTACAGGCACCCACCACCACACCCAGCTAATTTTTGCATTTTTAGTAGAGACAGGGTTTCACCATGTTGGCCAGGCTGGTCTCAAACTCCTGACCTTAGGTGCTCCACCTGCCTTGGCCTCCCAAAGTGCTGGGATTACAGGCGTGAGCCACTGCACCCAGCCTATGGCTCATGGCCATAATCCCAGCACTTTGGGAGGCTGAGGAGGGAGGATTGCTTGAGGCCAGGAGTTTGAGACCAGCCAGGACAATGTAGGGAGACCCTGTCTCTATAAAAAAATTAAAAATTAGCTGGTCATGGTGTCACATGCCTATAGACCCAGCTACTCAGGAGGTTGAGGTGGAAGGATCACTTGAGCCCAGAAGTCAGAGGTTGCAGTGAGCTGAGATTGCACCACTGCACTCAAGCCTGGGTGACAGAGTGAGACCCTGTCTCAAGTAAAAATAAATAAATAATTAAAAATAAAATCAACAACAACAAAGTGGGCAAAGGACAGGACATGAACAGACACTTCTAAAAAGGGGACATACAAGAAGCCAACAAACATGAAAAAATGAAAAAATGCTCATCCTCACTAATCATCAGAGAAATGCACATCAGAACCACAATAAGATACCATCTGATATGGTTTGGCTGTGTCCCCACCCAAATCTCATCTTGAATTCCCACGTGTTGTGGGATGGACCCAGTGGGAGGTAATTGAATCATGGGGGCAGGTCTTTCCCGTGCTGTTCTCGTGCTAGCGAATAAGTCTCACAAGATCTGGTGGTTTTAAAAAGAGTTTTCCTGCACAAGCTCTCTCTATTTTTGCCTGCTTCCATCCATGTAAGATGTGATTTGCTCCTCCTTGCCTTCTGCCATGATTGTGAGGCCTCCCTAGCCATGTGGAACTGTAAGTCCAATAAACCTCTTTCTTTTGTAAATTGCCCAGTCTTGGGTATGTCTTTATCAGCAGTGTGAAAACGGACTAATACACCATCTCATACCAGTCAGAATGGCGGTTATTAAAATGTCAAAAAACCCCAATAGATGCTGGCAAGGCTGCAGAGGAAAGGGAGCACTTATACGCTGTTTGTGGGAATGTAAATTAGTCCCATCACTGTAGATGTTTGGAGATTCTCAAAGAACCTAAAACAAACTACCATTCATCCCAGCAATCCCATTACTGGGTATATATCCCAAAGAAAATGAATTGTTCTACCAAAAAGACACATGTACTTGTATGTTCACGGCAGCACTATTCACAATAGTTAAGACATGAAATCAACCTAGGTGCCCATCAACAGTGGATTGGATAAAGAAACTGTGGTATATATACACCATGGATTACTACGCAGCCATAAAAAAGAATGAAATCATGTCCTTTGTAGCAACATGGATGCAGCTGGAGGCAATTATCCTAAGCAAATTAACACAGGGACAGAAAACCAAATATTGCATGTTCTCACTTATACATAGGAGCTAAACATTGGGTACTCATGGACATAAAGATGGCAATAATAGACACTGGGGGCTCCTAGATGGGGGAAGGAAAAAGGAGGGAAATGGTTGAAAAACTGTTGGGTATCATGCTCACTTCCTAGGTGAGAGGTTCAATCATATCCCAAACCTCAGCATCACATAATATACTATGTAACAACCCTGCATGTGTACCCTACCCTGGAATCTAAAACAAAAGTTGAAATTTTTAAAAATAAAGAAATAGGCCAGGTGCAGTGGCTCACACCAGTAATCCCAGCACTTTGGGAGGCCAAGGAGGGTGGATCACCTGAGGTCAGGAGTTCAAGATGAGCTGACCAACATGGTGAAACCCCATCTCTACTAAAAATGCAAAAAATTAGCCTGGTGTGGTGGCGCATGCTTGTAATACCAGCTACCTGGGAGGCTGAGGTAGGAGAATCACTTGAACCCGGGAGGTGGAGGTTGCAGTGAGCCGAGATCACGCCATTGCACTCCAGCCTGGGCAAAAAGAACAAAACTCCATCTCAAAGAAAACAAAAAGAAAGAAAGAAAGAAAATAGAAAAAAAAATTGACCCCTAAAAAAATTTTTTTAAATAGCCTATAGTGGGAGATTATGAAAAATTATATTATGTAGAAGAAAAAGTATCAACATGAATGTACAAATCAAATTTTTATTATTTATTAATTTTTTTTTGATGGAGTCTTGCTCTGTCACCCAAGCTAAAGTACAGCAGCGTGATCTCAGCTCACTGCAACCTCTGCCTCCCGGGCTCAAGTGATTCCCTTGCCTCAGCCTCCTGAGTAGCTGGGATTACAGGCGTGTGCCAGCACGCCCAGCTAATTTTTTTGTATTTTTAGTAGAGATGAGGTTTCACCATGTTGGCCAGGCTGCTCTCGAACTCCTGATCTCAGGTGATCCACCTGCCTCAGCCTCCCAAAGTGCTGGAATTACAGGCGTGAGCCACCATGCTCGGCTGAATTTTTTATTATCTCCAACATAAGAGTCTCACTTCCAGTTTTATGAATGTTCAGGAGCCCTTAGGGAGCTGCCTGCTTCAAAACTACACCTGGGATAGGACACATTTTCTGAGGTTTCATTGGTCTCACAAGGGTAGGATAGCTCTCCACAGATTAGACAAAAAAAAACAAACAAACGAACAACAACAAAAAATAAACCATGAATTTAGCCCAGACCAGGAAGACACTGGAACTGAAATGGAAAGGATCTGGAGCTTAAGCCATCTGAAGATTTGAGAAGAAACTGGAAACGTGGGACAGAATCGCTGGAAAATAAGGTCAGGGAGACAAAGCATGGCCTGAGTAGGAGGGAGCTAAATCAACAGAGAGCCTGCTTAAACAATCTGGCTGCCAGAAGGTGTGAGATTGCTCTGAGATTGGATTCCTAAAGCAACATTGCTGTAGGGACACTGAGCCTTGAAACTTCAGTGAGGTAGGGGATCTGACACTCTCTCTCATTGTGAGCCAAAACTGTGACTGAAGTGGTACTAGATTAAGAATATGCCTTGACTACCAGAGAGATGCAAACTTTCTAGAGGAAAGCCTTCCCAAGGTAGGCCCACAGAACTCCCACAAAATCTGTTCAAGCTGCCAACTCATATATACTAGAAGACAAACCACTATGAGTAAGAGTCAGTGGAAACAAGAAAAACGTCTTCCGTCACTTAAAAATTGTCAGATACACAACATAGAATATCTGAGTATAAAAATGTTTAAAGATATAGAGGAATCCACTTTTGTAGTGTTGTAGTAAGAAATTTGAACCAACCCTTTTACTGAGGTCAGCAAAGGACAAAATGTTCAACATAGCATCTGCTCTGATTCCTTTGCCTTTCAATAATTCCATCTCTTGTTTGATAAATTTGAAAAGGTTTTTTAGAACTACGTTTTTGGGCAGAAGGGTGAGAATAGAGGATGAGAACTATGATCTTTTTATTGATCATGATTTGTTGTTTTTAAATGCAAAGAAAGCATTTCCAATTTGATTTTTTCTATATTAATTTTAATTTTTGTAATCATTATCAATAGATATTCTTATGCAGAATTCCCTGTGACAATTTTGATAATATCATATTCACATTCTAAGTATCAGAAGGTATTTGAACTGGAAATGAAAGTATTTCTTTAATCATTTGAGGATTACAGTGATATAGGAGAATCATTTTTAGACCCATACAATGTATAATTGTAGCATATAATTATGTGGATACATTACAAGATATAAATGATTCATATTTCATATTTTAAATGGTATATAATACATTAGGAAAAATATCAATGTTTATATATTTTAAAAGAGCCTAGTCAATTAAGTAGGAAGAAAATCTCACATGTACTTTTAAGGCAAATAATCTGTGGAAGATTTCTTTTTAATTATTTAACCAAAAGGAGAGAGGTAAACAGAATAACAATAAGAAAACCTCTAGGTCAAAAAAGAAAATTAGATCTGGCCTATAAACCTAAGATTAAATGCAGTTTGGCATGACAAGTAATTTAGCAAGGATTGGAGGTTGATGGTTATGTTCTGAAGGAGAACACACACACACAGACACACACACAAACACACACGTCTGACAGAAGCAGAAAGCAAAAAAGAAATAAGTTTAAGAATTATTGTTCTTCCAGACTGGCCCACATGTTGAAACCCTGTCTTTACTAAAAATACAAAAATTAGCCGGGTGGTAGTGGCATGCACCTGTAATCCCAGCTACTTGGGAGGCTGAGGCAGGAGAATCGCTTGAGCCTGGGAGGTGGAGGTTGCAGTGAGCCAAGATCGTACCACTGTGCTCCAGTCTGGGTGGCAGAGTGAGACCCTATCTCAAAAAAAAAAAAAAAAAAGAATTATTGTTCTTATTTATAATTAAGAGACCGTCACAACCAAAATAGCAAAAACTGATATTGTAAGTCATCAAGCCCCTTGGCCAATCTACCATTCTTGGGCTTTCCATGTTCCCATCCACACTGCAGGGACCATAGAACATAAAGCATGGAGTAGAACTCATATGTGAGTGTTAATCTGTACCCCACCAGTACTATCTGTGTGACTTGAACATGTATTTAAACCTCTACCTGTCTTTCTTTTCATCTGTAATATGGAAAGTATAATAACACCAGCCTCATGAGGTTACTGGAGCATTAAATGAGAAGCTACATGTAAAAACATTAGTATATAGGAACTACTCAAAGAAAGTATTCTTCTTTGTTCTACATCACTACTTGACTAAACTTCTTAGAAGTACTATTTTCACAAACACCTACTCACCTCTAAGAATATTCTCTCACATTCATTTCAAACACATTTGCTTCTATTTCAAGGACCTCCCTCCCTAACTACCATCCACAGTTCCCACTTGCCCTCAGGGTATATTTTGTTTTCAGTCCATCTTCTCTAGGAACCCTGAACATATTCTCATTCTCACTTTTGTTCCGAGCTTTCCAAGCTTAGCCGAAAATCAGCTTCCTTTTTTATGTATGTATTGAGACAGGATCTCACTTGTTGCCCAGGCTGGAGTTACGGTGGTGCAATCTTGGCTCACTGCAACTTCCGCCTCCTGGGCTCAAATGATCCTCCCACCTCAGCCTCCTGAGTAGCTGGGACTACAGGCATGCGCCACCATGCCCGGCTAATTTTCCGTAGAGACAGGGTTTCACCATATTGCCCAGGCTGGTCTTGAACTCCTGAGCTCAAGTGATCCTCCCACCTCAGCCTCCTAAGGGCTAGGATTACAGGTGTGAGCCACTGCACCTGGCCCAGCCTCCTTTAAAGCCTTATAGACTAACCTCCTCAGAGAATGTAATATCTATTGCAATGATATCTCACCAGTATTGTTTCATCACCTTTTGTGTTTTGTTCAACTGGTTTGCTGCTATTTACAAGCTGTTGAGAGCAGGAGCTCTTCCAGCCTTATTTCCAACAATATAATCTATTTCTGTTGCTAGGAGAATTTATAGCTTTCCAAACAGACAATGAATGGTCTTTCACTCATTTGTCTACTGGCACACGCACAAAAAAATTCCTTAGACCTTCTTTCCTCTTCTCCAGGCAACTTCAAGCTTTTGCCTTGAGAGAAGGTTGAAAATTCAGTTCAATTACCGCTTTTCTAAAGCTTTCTGTAATTGTTCCCTAGGAGGGGTAAGGCAACTAACATATCGCTCCCATACCGTACTATTGGGCAGGCACTTTTAAAACTTAATCTTCACAAAGGTAGGCCTTTTATTGATTTTAACAGATGAAGAATTTGAGGCTTACGGAGGTTTGATGATTGCCCAAGGACATAGCTAGGGGGTTAGCAAACACAAGAACCCTTGCTTTCTGATACAGGATGTTACCTTCCACTTGGGTTCAGCCGCAGTAGTATGTACCTTTAATAGACACAGTATGATCATTTAGCACATGCTATTCAAGGTATCTGGCAGCTAGCAGCTGCTCATGTTACCTAACTGAATTTAGGTCCTCCCTCAAGTACGGCAAAGCCAAACACTGACATTGGGGTTTGTAGTGAAAGTGAGGCATTTATTGCATTGCACCAAGCAAGAAGAATCAGGCAGCTCATGCTTAAGACCCCAACTCCCTGATGGTTTACAGGTAAGGGGTTTTTTGTGTGCTTTTTTTTTTTTTTTTGAAACAGAGTTTCACTCTTGTCACCCATGCTGGAGTGCAATGGCGAGATTTCGGCTCACTGCAACCTCCACCTCCCGATTTCAAGTGATTCATCTGCCTCAGCCTCCCAAGTAGCCGGGATTACAGGCGCCCACCACCATGCCCAGCTAGTTTTTGTATTTTTAGTAGAGAAGGGGTTTCACCATGTTGGCAGGCTGGTCTCCAACTCCTGGCCTCGGCCTCCCAAAGTGCTGGGATTACAGGCATGAGCCACTGCGCCCAGCCCAGGTAAGGATTTTTAAAGGCAGGGAGGCAGAGGTTACAGGCAAAGTCATAAATCAATACATGGAGGCTATACGTGGGTTTGATCTAAAAAGCCAGGATATCTGAAGCAGGGACCCACAGGTCATAGATGGATTCAAAGATTTTCTGATTTGCAATTGGTTAAGGAGGCAAAGCTTTGTGAATTCTTCCAGGCTCCTCAGGAAGAAATTTAGAACAAAGATAGGTAGTTTGAGATCTCCATGCCAGTGGACACCATTTTCCATTTGGTGAGGTCCAGGTTTCTGAAAAACAACTCAGGGACATATGTCGTCTTTAGTTTCTATAGGGAAGCAAACATTTTGTGAATCTAACGTCCTTGGCTACTGTCTTAAGCTATTATTACCTTCTTGCTTATCAGGTTGCTCATTGACTTATTGAGGAAGTTAGGTGCCTGGAATGTCCCTTCAGGGAACTCAAGATTTTCCTTTATTTCCATGCTTGGGGAGGGGGGTGCCTAGATGGCCCCTAAGAGGGGTCCCTGTTCTGTCTCTCAATAAATATTTGTTGAATGAACAAATCATTACAACTCAGTACACATTGCAGAAAATATAGCCAAGAGCTCTGGAGCTGGAAGGGCCACAGATTATCCTACAGAACAATCATTTCACTTTTCTAATGTCGAAAGGGAGGATTCGAGATGTTAGGGGCTACAGGTGAGGCTGGAAATAATTAATTTACTCCATCAATATTGAATGCCTGCTATTGAGTGCTAGACTCTGGGGAGACAATGTTAAGGGAAGCCCAAGTTTTCCAACTCCCTGTCCAGAGCGCTGCAAAGTACTGCAGGAAGCTAAAGTGAGGACAAAGTTCCCAGAGATCAGGATATTTAAAGGGAGAACCAGCAGAGCTTGGTCTGGGGCAGGGTGGGGAAAAGAGGGACCCTGGCCTCCTCGGACCGTTTCTCCGCCAAGCCACGCGAGGGCGCTGTTCTGCTCCTAGGGCGCCGTGTCCCGGCGGCGCCGCCTGCTCGCCTTTTCCCGGCGGAAATGCCCGAGCGATGACGGAAACCCGGAGGGAGGGGAGAGAAAGAGCGAGAGAAGGGGAAAGACAAGTCGGGAGAGGCCGGTAGGCGTGAGGCGGGCCTGAAGCGGCAGCGGGCGGCCTTCGTCCGGCGAGAGCTAGGCCGAGGACCCGCGCCGCGCTCCCCGGCACCTCACCGCGTCCTTCACCGACTCCCGCGGCGCGCGGCCGGGCGGGGAAGGGCGGGCGGGGGTCTCCTCCAGGCTGCGCGCTCGGAGCCGCCTGCTGGGCTTGGGCGGGGCGCGGGGCCCGCGGCCGCCCTACCCGGCTCAGTCCTCCCCCTGTGGGACCTGGCGACGGCGGCGGAGGGAGAGGGGAGCGGCGCCCGGGCCGGGGCCGGGGGCGGGTGGGGAGGGGGGAGGGCGGCGGCCGGGCTGGGGCTCGGGATCCGCATCGGGATCGGGCCGCCATGGACGACAAGGCGTTCACCAAGGAGCTGGACCAGTGGGTCGAGCAGCTGAACGAGTGTAAGCAGCTGAACGAGAACCAAGTGCGGACGCTGTGCGAGAAGGTGAGGGCGCCGCGGGGGCGAGTGCGGGAGCGCGGGGCTGGGACGGGCCGCCGCTTTCCTGCCCGCCCCGGTCCCGTCCGCCCCTGGCCCGGCGCGGCCCACCGGGGGCCTGCGGGGCTGTGGGTCCGGCTCCGGCGTCCACCTAGGCGGCCGGCCCATCGGTTCAGGGCCCGGGGCGTTGGGCTGCCCTCGCCTGCCCCTTCCACCTCCGCCTCACGCCCCCGGCCGGCTGCCCAGATCCCGGGCGTGGGGGGCTCGGGTGCGGACGGGCGGGGAAACGTAGCCCCCTGAGCCAAGCAGGAGGTTGGTCGGGGTCGCCTGCGCTCCACTGGGGAGTTCCTGCCACTCTAGCATTTCCCGAGTGGACTAGCGAGAGCGACGTCCGAAAAGGACCATTTTCAGACCAGTTTCTGAAAATGCAACTAAAATTAACCAGAATGTCGTGCGTATTAATGAACTTGTTAATAAATGCAGAATTTTTGTCAGGTGAACGGGGCACCTCAGAAATCACTAACTCAAGCCGGGCGTGGTGGCTCACGCCTGTGGCCACAGCTACTCGGGAGGCTGAAGCGGGAGGATTGCTTGAGCCCAGGAGTTAGAGACCAGCCTGGGCAACATAGTGAGGCCCCGTCTCCACACACAAAAAATTTTTTTTAATTAGCAGGGTGTGACGGCGGGTGCCTGTAATCCCAGCTATTCGGGAGGCTGAGGCGGGAGGATCGCTTGAGCCCAGGAGGTGGAGGCTGGTTGCAGTGAGTCGAGATCGCGCCACTGCACTCCAGCCTGGGCGACAGCAAAAAAAAAAAAAAAAAAATCGCTGATTCTTGAATGTGCCAAGCGTTTGTTTGCGGAGAGGTAGGCGTGATGGCCAACTGTGATTTTTAAAATAGAGGTTGACTTTGGTGGAAACAGATGGTGACTGGTCTTTGTGTTGAGTGGCTCTTGGAAGTAAAGTGTTGATTTTCAGAAACGAGAGCCGATCTTAAGTTTGGGAACAGTGTTTGCTGGAAATGATAAGTGGGATGTGTGTTTTCATGCACGATAGCACTTTGCAGAAAGTTATTTTTGTTTTTAATATATATAAAGTTTTTTTCCAAAGAATAATAAAACATGCGGGTGATCAGTTCGTTCTTGTACATCGTGAGTGTGTGATCTTCACTTTGTAAATTCTGTATCCATTGTTTTCTTAACCCCTGAAATTATTTCGATCTCTCCATCTTTGAAGTCTAGAGTTGTCCACATTCATCCTTTACAAGGTGGACTAAATAATTTTCATGTATTTTTAGGTTAAAAATTCTCACTTGAAGTGCATGAAGAAGTAACGATGTTATTTTAAAACGTAATCTATAAAATTTTCTTAACCGTAATGTTTAGAAGTCATGATGTGGCAGAAGTGCACTGGAGAAGGAAAGATTTTGTTAGTCTGATTTTAGGGTACTCTTAAGATCATGAAATTTACTTAGAAAAGGAGCACTAATAGATGGTGTTAAGTTACAATATTTTTAACGGGTGTAATGTTGGTCGGGGCCTTTGTGTATTAAGTAACTATTTGTTAACACAGGAGGATTTATTTTTGTAAATAGAAGTGCCAAGCAAGTGGTATTTTTCTCTTTCTGAAACAAACTGCTTACTTGTGGCTTCAGTTGACATTCATTTTTATTGTGATAACCTGTAATTTCATGAGTCTTAAAATTTATGCCTTAAACATCTCTCTCCAGCTCTAATGCGAAGTGAAATGTACAGGTTTGAAATGATCTGAGTCAGTTAACCTGACTATGAGCATCAGAATACAGACTTGAAGTTATGGGTAAAGTGTTAGTTGAATCAGTTTTTCCCATTGACTTCCTTTTTTTGTTTTATTTTTGTTTTGAGACAGAGGCTCAGTCTGTCGCCCAGACTGGAGCGCAGTGGTGCCGTCTCTGTTCACTGCAACCTCCACCTCCGGGGTTCGAGGGATCCTCCTGCCTCAGCCTCCCGAGTAACTGGGATTACAGGTGCATGCAGCCATGCACTGCTAATTTTTGTATTTCTAGTAGAGATGGGGTTTTGCCATGCTGGCCAGGCTGGTCTAGAACTCCTGGCCTGAAGTGATCCCTCAGCCTTCCAAAGTGCTGGGATTACAGGCGCGAGCCTCGTGCACAGCCCCTATTGACTTTCTAATAATTTTAAGATGAACTTCTAGAGAAGAATATTGTACCACTGCTGTACTTTGAAATAATCACACCGGAGTGTCAACGATCACTTGAGGAAGCTTTCTGTATTTGTCAAAAGAGATTATTTTTACTTCGGCTCCTAAATAAATCAGACTAACAGTTCCTAGGACTTCACAGGTATATTTAAGATTATCTCTTGTATCTTACTAGCCTTTTTTGGGGGCGGGGGGGGGACGCAGTCTTGGTGTGTCAGTCAGGCTGGAGTGCAGTGGGGCAATCACCGCTCACTGCAACCTCAACTTCTGGGGCATAAGGGACCCTCCCACTTCAGCCTCTCAAGTAGCTGGGACCACAGGCATGTGTCACCACACCGGGATAATTTTTTTATTTTTTTTATGGGGTCTCACCGTGTTGCCCAGGCTGGTCTCGAACTCTCGGGCTCAAGTGATCCTCCCGCCTTGGCCTCCCAAAGTGCAGGGATTGCGGGAGTGAGCCACCACTCCTAGCCCATTTTTTTTTCTTTGAATATTTGTCCTTACCCACAAAGCATGAATTTGTTAGTGAAATTCATTCATCTTTGTTCTCTACCCCCATTGATGGAGTTGCCAATGGGTTGGAAAAGTGTGATAATACTCATTTCTCTCTACTCTTTTTGAGCCGTGCTTAGTTTTGCAGCCCTCTTCTGGCAGCTATGACCTAGCTTTGTGGTTTGTGTATGTATGAGTATATATACATATATATGTTTTCTGACCTTAGTTTCTAGTTCCGTTTTATATCCCTACCCCATCCTCCTTGTTGATACATAACAAGTGTAGCATTCATCCTGTCTGAGTTCCAGTCCTGCTTCACAGCTTGCTAGCTGTCAGTCTTTCTGCACCTCTGATTCCTTATGACAGAGATAATATGTACCAATCCTCCCGGGTTGGTTGTGAGTGCTAAGATATATATTCATTGGCCGGGCACAGTGGCTCACGCCTGTAATCCCAGCATTTTGGGAGGCCGATGCAGGTAGATCACTTGAGGCCAGGAGTTCAAGACCAGCCTGGCCAACATGGCAAAACTCTGCCTCTACTAAAAAAAAAAAAAAAAATTAGCTGGGCGTAGTGTTGCACTCCCAGCTACTTGGGAGGCTGAGACACAAGAATCCCTAGGAGGCAGAGGTTACAGTGAGCAGTGATCATACCGCTGCACTCCAGCCTGGGTGACAGAATGCAGTTTTCTCAAAAAAAAAAAAAAAAAAAAAAGGCCATGTAAAGTCCTAATGAGAAGTAAGCACGCAGTGAATGTTAACTAAAGGAAGGCTGAAAGTTTTAATCATAAGTGTCACCCATTTTCTTTTGTAAGAAATGCAAAATGAATAGATGTGCCAATATGCCTTTTCTTTGGTAAATATACTTCAAAGGAGTTTTTTTTATATAGTGGCTATAGAACCCTGAAAAGTAGTGGTGCCTGTTATGTGAACCACACAGTACTGGAATTAATAGCAGTTGTGTGAAGTATCTTTACTCCTGACTTGGTCTACTTAATACTTGCCCTACCTTTCTAGGGCAAGAGTAGCAGGCATGTAGAAAGAAAATATGAGAAAAATAAAGAGTCAAACCTAATTATATAAACTATCTTTAATCCTTGTGATTCAATTTTTGGGTTTTTTAAAAATACCTTTTTTTATTCTATTGGAAATACTATTCTATAGGAAGTTACATCGTATGATGGTGGTTTTTCCTTAAATTTCTATTCTAATTCAGATTGCCTAAAAACTGAAGGAGTCGGCTGGTCATGGTGGCTCACCCCTGTAATCCTAGCACTTTGGGAGGTCGAGGTGGGCGGATTGTCTGAGCTCAGGAGTTCGAGACCAGCACGGGCAACATGGTAAAACCCTATCTCTACTAAAATACAAAAAATTAGCCGGGCATGGCGGTGTGTGCCTGTAGTCCCAGCTACTCGGGAGGCTGAGGCAGGAGAATTGCTTGAACCCAGGAGGCAGAAGTTGCAGTGAGCCGAGATCGCCACTGCATTCCAGCCTGGGCGACAGAGTGAGACTCTGTCTCCAAAAAAAGAAAGCTGAAGGAGTCCACTGAAATCAAGACCAGAGTAGTACTAGTAAAGGCCTATTTTGAGGTAGTTGCAAAAATAAAATCTATCCTAGTGCCAGTGGGTGAATGACTACAAAAAATAAAGAGTATGAATGGTATGGTGTGTCTGGCTTCCAAGGTTAATTTCTGCCTAGTGAAAAATTGTTTGCATAAAATAGCAAGGCATGTCTTCTGAGAAGACTAGCTCTTAACACTAGCTTAAATTAGCAATCCAGCTTTTGAAGCTAATTGTGAATTTGACTCCTCTTGTGTGTGCAGAGAAATTGCTTCTGTGATTCATTCCTGCATCAGCAGTATGCAGTTATTTTAGAAGATTGTGTGCCAAGAGAGCCAGGCTGGCACTGCTCAGGACACTCTGTGACTAGAACTATATTTAACTGTTGTCTCAGAAAGAGTAAAAATTTTAAGCTCTTTGACCTGTTAAATTTTATAACTGAAGAACCTTGGTGATGATTCTTTAGGTGGGGAGGGAAATTCAGCCAATGTGTGTGCTGGCAGATCTTTATTCTGATGATTATAAAGTACGTATTGAGAAAAATGTCGAGGCTTGTGTAGAAGTATAAATATGTAAATTTTATATTGAACTGATGGAAATGTTTCTAAGTCCTGGCGTTAGCCTTGAAATAAGCAGAAATAACTTTAGGATATGACTTCATTCCTAATGTGAAATAGTATGCTTGTTCCTGAATACCCAAAACCATCTTAATGAAGATTAGATTCTGGTAAAAATGAGTGATTTTTGTGAATTGAGAAAATTTTTTTAGATTACTTTCTGTGATTGATTACAGCTTAAAAAATAAAAATAGTGGTCTTGACAGGCAAAATGCCTAACTGGTACTTCCATTTTTAATTTCCCTCGAACAAAAATTAGTGCCAGCTTTGGTGGTCCATTGATAAAATCTAAAATGCAGTGATAAAATAGCTCCTTTCTTAGTATAATGAAGAATGGCATGATTACAGTGAAATAGAGGGTCAAGACCCAATTCTAGTGACTGAACAAATCATTGTTTTCCTTGCTAAGCCAGCCTCTTAGTGGACAGGTAAAGAAATTAAACCAAACTAGACTAGCATGAACTATTGCTAATGGCGGGAAAGTGGACTTTGTTACATTTCTCTACTTTATATATGACGTGTCAAATATATATGACTAGGTAAATATATTTAATACTTAATACTGCCCTTTAACAATAATATACCCTTGCCATAAGATATTTACCTAAGTAGATAAAGTGAAGATATTTGCAATGTAAAATTTCTTTTCATTGCCTGCTTTTATTGCCGTGTGTGCCTTTTATTCTTATTTGAAGATCTTGCAGAAATTTTTTCTTCACAGTCTTTTCTCTTCAGTACGAATGTTATAAAAGACTTGGTGAATGAAGCCCTTCCTTGGTAAAAGGAAATGAAAATGCCAGAAATTGAAGATGGAATTAATGCTTAATTAATTTTCCTAGATTGTTTTCTGAATGTAGTTTTTTCTAAGAAGAATGATATTAAAGTTACAGAAGTAATCTGTATAAGAAATCTGAGTCTGTGTTAAATAGAAATTTTTTATTGTTTTGAACTGATTTCCTTCAAGTAAATGTAATGAAATGTAAACCTAATCCAGATTGTTTAAAGAAACTTGTATGAAGACATCTTTTCTTCCTTAATGACCAAATGTGATCTAATAGTTCCTGTACGTTACTTTTCAACTCTAAATTTCATTAATAATCATATTAACGGCCGGGCATGGTGGTTCGCGCCTGTAATCCCAGCACTTTGGGAGGCCAAGGCAGGCGGATCATGAGGTCAGGAGATCCAGACCATCCTGGCTAACATGGTGAAACCCCGTCTCCACTAAAAATACAAAAAAAAAAAAATCAGCCAGGCGTGGTGGCAGGCGCCTGTAGGCCCAGCTACTCGGGAGGCTGAGGCAAGAGGATGGCGTGAACCCAGGAGGCAGAGCTTGCAGTGAGCCGAGATCGCGCCACTGCATTCCAGCCTGGGTGACAGAGGGAGACTCCATCTCAAAAAAAAAAAAAAAAAAATCATATTAACCCTGGGAAGGAGTTCTGTGTATTACAGATTCCGTTTCCTTTCCAGAGAATGGGAGAGCTCAAGCACTCAAGCTTAGAACTGGTTTGCTGTTGTGTCCTTTGTAATTTAGAAATATTTATCATCATTCCTTGTAAACTGTTTTTTGACTGAGATACTTTTGTGATCAAATGAATTAAAAGACAATCCTGAGGTGCAACCTGAGATTCCTGACTTGCGTTATAATAGCATCATGTTACACCAAAAATGTGGAAGACTCCATTGGAGATCTATTAAGTGAATATTTTATACAAAGACAATCGTTTTTATGTTGAGACTGGGATACAGTGGTGAATTTAAGTGTTCTCACCTATTCAATCTTAGAAAAAAGCTTATTTGAATTAACTTTTTAGCATAGTTGGATTTTTTTTAATATGCAGGATACGGTGTGTAGGCTGTAGTTTAATTTTGCTCAAAATCTCTTTTTTTTTGTTTTTTTGTGATGGAGTCTCTCTCTCTGTCATCCAGGCTGGAGTGCAGTGGTGCCATCTCGGTTCACTGCAAGCTCCGCCTACCGGGTTCATGCCATTCACCTGCCCCAGCCTCCCGAGTAGCTGGGACTACAGGTGCCTGCCACCACTCCCGGCTAATTTTTTGTGTTTTTAATAGAGATGGAGTTTCACCATGTGAGCCAGGATGGTCTCGGATCTCCTGACCTTGTGACCTGCCTGCCTCAGCCTCCCAAAGTGCTGGGATTGCAGGCGTGAGCCACTGCGCCCAGCTCAAAATCCCATCTTATAGAGAGGGAAATAATTTTCATCTTCGTTTAAAAGAGTTCCGCATGATATTTATGTCCTGGATGATGAGAGCTCAGAATTGGTTCAGTGTATTCTCGACTTGGCTTGAGTAGCAAAAGAGGCGCTTGTTCCTGTGGGCAGTGAAGAAGAAAGGAGAGGATTGGTTGACAGAATGCTGCCACTGTGTAGTTATCCCGTACATTCAACAGATTTTAGTTGAACCACTATGTACCAGACTGTTCAAAGTGCTAGAGATTCAGCTGTGAAGAGGGGACACGATTAATGAACACCAGGCATTGATTCTTGCTGGCAAGAAAAAGCAGAAGATGGGGACAGTGATGGGCTTGAATTCAAGAGACTCTTTTTTTTTTAATAGGGTGGTCATAGAAAACCTTCCAAATTCTTTATAATGTGGTTTACTTTTGTAATTAAAAAGGATTTTGCGAGAGTTAGAAGGCACAGTCCCTAACACTGTTCTCACCTCTGACACCATCTTCAAAAGTTTAGTCATGATGTACCTTCAGAACAGCAGACAAAAAATAAAGTTCAGTGAACTATAAATTACAGGGAACACTGCCCAGGACTGCCTCAGTTTTGGCACCAATATACTAGTTCAGTGGGTTCCGAAAACCACTCTTAGGTTCAGTGATTCACAGGAATGACTCACAGAACTCACTTTAAGCTGTTACACTGATGATTATGGTTTATTACAGGGAATGAATACAATTTAAAGTAAGCCAAGGGAAAAGACTCATAAGGGCAGAGTACAAGAGGGGCTGACATCTGTAGTGTCCAGTCCTCCAGAGACCAAACTGATAGTGGGATCATCCAAAGTCCGCATCGTGAGTCACATTGTTAATGGTCCGCAGGTCAGAGCCCCCAGGCAGAGATCTCTTTACCAAGCAGGAAATTCCAGGGGCAAAGGCCAGACCTCTCCTCGGGTGAGGTTAATTCTTCACTATACAGATTTTTATTCCATAGCAAATTCTGAGGGACGAGAACCTTAATAATAATAAATGGCAATACCAAAATACATGAAGAAAACAAGGCTAGATTTATCAGAATTGTGGAGTGTGTGCAATGTGAGGGATTTTTCCAGTTGAGTTGGCATATTCTTTTTTTGTTTTAAGTTTGTATTTTGTCAACTGGGCACAGTGGCTTATGCCTGTAATCTCAGCACTTTAGGAGGCCGAGGCGGGCGGATCACGAGGTCAGGGGTTTGAGACCAGTCTGGCCAACGTGGTGAAACCCCATCTCTACTAAAAATACAGAAATTAGCTGGGTGTGGTGGCACGCGCCTGTAATCCCAGCTACTTGGGAGGCTAAGGCAGGAGAATCACTTGAATCCAGGAGGCGGAGGTTGCAGTGAGCTGAGATGGAGATCGCGCCACTGCACTCCAGCCTGGACGACAGAGCAGGACTCCGTCTCAAAAAAAAAAAAAAATTGTATTTTGTCTTTTCTTGGTTGTATAAATTCTCCAAAAGTTAGCCATTTAAAAATGTTTAAGGTCTTATTTTCTACTTTGTGATATGTGTGTATAATTTTTACTGTGCAAGTTTTAGCATTTTTGTATAGTCTGATTGTCCATCTTTTCCATAAACTTTAAGCGCACATGAGAATCACTTGGGAAAGAAATAGGAAATTCATGTTCCTTGACTCCATTCCAGAGACTGATTGACATGTCTTGGGCAGGTCCAGGAAGCTGCTTTTTTTTTTTTTAAAGGCAGGATCTTACTGTCGCCTAGGCTGGAGTACAGTAACATGATCATAGTTCACTGCAGCCTTGTACTCCTGGACTCAAGCCATCTTCACGCCTCAGTCTCCTGAGTAGCTGAGACTACAGGAATACACAACCACACCTGGCTTTTTTTACTCATTTTTTTGTAGAGACAGGGTCTCCTCATGTTGTCCAAGGTGATCTTGAACTCCTGGACTCAAGTGATCCTTCTGCCTCGGCCTCCAAAAGTGCTGGGATTACAGGTGTGAGCCACTGCCCCCGGCCTCCTTTGTGCTTTCAGTGTCATGAAATACCTGTATTTGTCAAGAAGATTAAGACCATGTCTTAAAAAAAAACAAAAGCTAGTGAGATACAAGAGATAATCTTAAATATACCTATAAAGTCCTAGGAACTGTTCGTCTGATTTATTTAGGAGCCGAAGTAAAAGTGATCTTTCCTGACAAATACAGAAAGAGATTTTTGCTAGCATCACTTCTTCCAAAACAATTTTCCTCATTTATGCAATAAGTTTGGATTTTCACTTCTTTATGTCACTAAGTTTCTGCGTGTTGCTAAGTTCCTGGCTGCATATTTGGAGTCTCTCCAACAGCAGCATTGTCAGCATTCCCACAGTCGGTTCTTCCGTGTACTTTTGATTTGAATTTCATTTCCAGGGTTATGTCTTGTGTGTTTGGCTTCTCTCTTTTAGCATAATATATCCAAGATTCCTCCATATTGTAGCATGTATCTGGACTTCGTTCCTTTTTATGGCTGAATAAAATTCCATTGTGTGGATATTTTATAATTACTGCCATCTGGAATTTGTTTTGAAGTTTAAGAAGCCAGGTTTTTTCCGTTTGAAAAAGTAATACAGAATTTGTTTTTTAAAATTTCGAGCATTGGCCAGTCACGGTGGCTCAGACCTGCAATCTCAGCACTTTAGGAGGCTGAGTGGGAGGACTGCTTGAGCCCAGGAGTTTGAGGCTGCAGTGAGCTACGTTCACACCACTGCACTCCAGCCTGGGCAACAGAGCGAGACCCTGTCTCAAAGAAAATTTGTGCAAGCACCTCAGAAAGGTAGCAAGGAAAGCAAATGCACTCTACCCACCATTCCTGTCCCCTGCCCTCCTACCTCCCAGACAACCATTATGTTTCTGTATATAATCTCCTCAGCCATGTTCTTCATATGCAAAAAATATGTGGTGTGCAGAATGTTTGTGGTGTATTGGGAGCTGTTTTGTGGAATAAACTTGGCTTCTGGTAAAATTATTGTTTAATTTGTGATCTCAGGAAAAGAAACTGAAGGGTATAAAGGCCTTAAGATTACACAATTAGATTAAAACTGAAGAGAACCCATGTTTTCTGGAAGACTTCATTGCATATAATCTCATTCTAATTAATTACAAGCAAGGAGAAGAAAGTATGGGCTACATTGTCCATAACTCTTGGGAATCCTACCAGGCTATAAGCAGAAAAGGCATTTGTAGAAGAATACATGGTAGCCTAGAATCAAAAGAAAAGCTGGAGAACCAAGCATGAGCATTTTGCAGAAATTAAGGGAGGTTAGAGGTGCAGTCAGAATCATACCTTAGAAATGATTTAGAACACTAGAGAGAACACTTCTGTTGGAATAGAACTTGCCATTGTCCCTGCTCTTTAGAGTTGCTTCAAATTAAGAGTCTGGGCTGGGCGCATCTAGTTGGCATAAAGTAATCTGGGGCTAGAGTAACTTTGTGATTCCTACAGTGTGTGTACAAACTATTGTGTGTTTTGAAAATCGCTACAGGTTGAGTATCCCTCAACTAGTGTTAAAGTCTGTTGACAAAAATGCAGAGTAGCAGGAAATACAGTGAAACTCAAAATCCATGTTTTAAATACTCTTCAGATTATCAAATCACTGAAGAGGCAGAGAACTGTCTGTCCCTAAAATTGTGCTCTCTCCCCCACCAGTCTAAGCTGTCATCTGCTTTTACTTTAAGCTTCATCCTGTTTGACTTTTTTTTTTTTTTTCTGTGACTGAGTTTTGCTCTGTCGCCCAGGCTGGAGTGCAGTGGCACGATCTTGGCTCACTGCAAGCTCCGCCTCCCAGGTTCATGTCATATTCTCCTGCCTCAGCCTCCTGAGTAGCTGGGGCTACAGGCGCCCGCCACCATGCCGGGCTAATTTTTTGTATTTTTAGTAGAGATGGGGTTTCACTGTGTTAGCCAGGATGGTCTCAATCTCCTGACCTCGTGATCCACCTGCCTCAGCCTCCCAAAGTGCTGGGATTACAGGCATGAGCCACCGTGCCCGGCCCTGTTTGACTTTCACTGTGCTGTGTTGTTGCCTTTTTTTTCTTTTGTCTCACTCTCACCCGGGGTTAACTGCAAAGTGGTGCGACCATGGCTCACTGCAGCCTTGAACTCCCCAGCTCAAGCTGTCTTCCCACCCCACCCCACCCTCCTAAGTAGCTGGGACTATAGGCACACACCACCATGCCCAGCTATTTTTTAAATTTTTTATAGAGACCAGAGGTCTCACTATGTTGCCCAGCCTGGTCTCAAACTCCTGGATTCAAGCTATCCTCCCCCCTCGGCCTCCCAAAGTGCTGGAATTACAGGCATGAGCCACCGCGCCAGGCTGCCCTGTGTTTTAGCTATGCTAGCCATCCGGTTGTTTCTTCCTCTCGGTTTGCATTCTGTATTAGTCCCAGTTCTCATCTCTTAGCTTTCGTGGTTTTCTGTTTCTAATTTCTCATGGACCTGGAAACTCGGTAAATAGCTTGTTGGAATTTTGTAGATAACAGTAGGCCCAGAATAAGGCCTGAGAGTCTCTTCTGGTGGGTTAGATACATTTTTATGATGTCTGTTTTGTTACTTCAGAGGCTTTTAAATTTTTCTTCCTGATTCTGGGATCTTTTGCTATTAGGCAGAGAGGCCAGATCGATGAGCCATTAGTGAACTTCGATTTAGTCAGAACATTTCATTTGCCAGTGTTTAAGCATAAATTCTGTACTTCAGGGCCACCTAATGGTATTTTCTAACTTAATTCTATAAATATAAAATAATTGGAATAAAGAAATTCAAGGTTGGCCTATGAATTGGTGTAAGAATGTTTGTTCACACAAGAATTTGCATAATTTGTGACTTTTTTCTTTCATTGACCTTTTTAAACTTGTGAATAATAAGATTATTCTTTTTAAAACACAGACCTTCTGCCTTGAAGATTTGCCTATTCTGGACATTTCATGTAAATGGAATTGTACATTATGTGATCATTTGTGACTGACTTCTTGCACTTACCATAATGTCTTCAAAGTTGTAGCATGTATCAGTACTTCATTTCTTCATAGCTGAGTGACTATTCCATTGTATGAATATGTTATGTCCATTCATCGGTTGATCAATATCTGGTGGTTTCTACTTTTTGGCTGTTATTAATAATGCTGCCATGAACATGTATAAACTGGATTTCATTTCTCTTGAGTATATACCTAGGAGTGGAACTGCTGGATTACATGGTAATTTTAGGTTTAACTTTGGAGGAACTGCCAGACAGTTTTCCACAGCAGCTGCACCATTTTGCATTTCCACCAGCAGTGTATGAGGGTTCCAGTTTATCCACATGTTTGCAACACTTATTAACTGTCTTTTTTATTATAGCCTTTCTAATGAAAGTGTTATCTCGTGGTTTGGTTTTCACATACGCTTTTATAAGGCACTTTTCAAGTGTTTTTTTCCCCAAATTTTCTTTTAATAGATAAGAAATGATAGTTTTAACTTTGTAATTGTTGATTTCACTTTTCTAACAGGCAAAGGAAATTTTAACAAAAGAATCAAATGTGCAAGAGGTTCGTTGCCCTGTTACTGTCTGTGGAGATGTGCATGGTCAATTTCATGATCTTATGGAACTCTTTAGAATTGGTGGAAAATCACCGGATACAAACTACTTATTCATGGGTGACTATGTAGACAGAGGATATTATTCAGTGGAGACTGTGACTCTTCTTGTAGCATTAAAGGTATGATTATTGAAATTCAATTTTTTTTTCAAGATTTAAACCAGGCAAAAGGCAAGAATGACAGTATTGCATATCATCTGTTTTATGGTCTGTTCAGTTTATAGCCCCTTAAAATAATAATTGGTTTTACATCTTTTTAAAGGAGAGGTGAAAAGGATAACTTCTGTGTATTCCCGATAAATGTATCATTCTCTCGAGTAGTCCATAGCTGAAGTCTTGGAATCATATTTGACTTTATCACTTATCCGTTATATTGAGTCAGTAGACAAGTCTTTTTAAATCCTTGCTTTGAAAAGTCTGTTGTTCCTGTCTCTTTCTATTTTCACACAGTTTATCACTTCACAATTCGATTGTTACAATAGCTTAGTAACTAATATTTCTGCCTCCAAGATCTGATCCCCCCCAAATCCACCTGGCATACGCTGGCCGATGAAATCTCTTATTTAACCCTTTTATATTGTTACTTCCTGTTGATTGCCTGTTGCCTATAGAATCAAATTCAAACTCCTTGCCTGGCCTTCTATAGTCTAGTCTGAATTTTTGCCTGCCAGCGGTTGGTAGCATAAACTCTGGCTCAAATCAAAGTTTCTTCTTATTCAGTGCTCTGGACTCTGTTTATTTCCATAGTCGATTTCCCCCACGAGGTTATCCTGTCCCTGATTTCTTACCTTTCTGCCAAGACTCAGCTCAGGTCTCACTTCCTCCATGTAACCTTCAACCATTTTAGCCTTATTCCTTCTGCTCTAAATTACTATGAGGAAACTTATTCTCCCAGCCCTTATTTATGCTGCAAAAGTGGCTTATTGCCTTCTATTACTTATTATTTTACATATGTCCTTAGTGAGGTTAGTCCCTCAACAGCAGAAGCCATATATTACATGGTCATGGGTCACTTAACTGCAGGCATACATTCTGAGAAATGTGCCATTAGGTGATTTTGTCATCTTTGGAACTTACACAAACCTAGGTGGTATAGCCTACTGCACACAAAGGCTGTAATGGTATAGTCTCTTGCTCCAGCCAACATCGTACATGTAATCTGTTAACAAAAATGCTGCCCAGCACATGACTGTACTTGTGTAGATCTGGCATCTGGCTTTATAGCACCAAACTTACGTTAGACACATAACGGATGCTTAGTAAAATATGTATGAATTGAAGTACATACTTGCAGCTTTTAGCTTAATTTGCAGAATCCAGTGCTTTTTCGTATTTCTTATCAGATGCATTCCTAACTAAATAGTCGCTTATGTTTTTTAATAGAAAGGAAACTATTAATACATTTGAAATCTTGCCCAGTTTTGTCAAGGGCCTGTTTTTGTGTTATTATTGGCAAATCCAATCTTCCTGTGGGAAATAAAAATTGAAAAGGGAAGAAGTTAATCTGTAGAGTTTGTCTCAGCTTCAAACCTGTGATTTTCACTACTCATTCAGCAGTAAGAAGTCATAGTGTTCTAGAAAGATTTAGGAAAGTAGTAATAATTTGATGATGAAGATAATAGAAGCAAAGTATCAGATACAAGTTTATTATAGTAATATAAGTATTAGTTAAAGGTTCTGATGAGGGTTGTCGAAACCTGATGAAAAAGGATGATTATAATAAACACGTCAAATGTTAACCAGTAAGACCTGGTTATGAATAAGCAAGTTTTTTATTTTGAAACTGAAATTAACATTTAATATACTGGTGGCCAAAAGCGCCGTGTTTAAAAATGGGTCAGAGACTGGTGTACTTCACATGACACTAGTAAAAATGTGATTTTACTATGGGTTTTACTCCTTTTCTTCCAGGTGCGTTATCCAGAACGCATTACAATATTGAGAGGAAATCACGAAAGCCGACAAATTACCCAAGTATATGGCTTTTATGATGAATGTCTGCGAAAGTATGGGAATGCCAACGTTTGGAAATATTTTACAGATCTCTTTGATTATCTTCCACTTACAGCTTTAGTAGATGGACAGGTATGTATATGTGTGCTTACATCTTGGGAGGAGGTAAATGGAAGCAGAGATTGACTATTGGTAAGCTGGGGTCTAGATTCATATGACCTGTGTTTCTGCATCTCCTCGGCCTTTTCCTCCTCCTTCCCTTATACTTAAAATTTCAAAGCAGGGAAGTGGATAAGTTTCACATACATTTGGACCAGCAAATTTTCCTGTTGTTCTCAGATATGTATGTAAATCTTTTAACCAAAGAATATGCTGTGCTTTTTAAGATATCGATAAACATTATAAATAAATGTTTAAGACACTGATGTATAGTACTAGCAAAGCAAGATGTTATTTAAAACTATCTCTGCATATACATGCAGTGTCTGCTGGTTACCATGAATAACTTTTCATTTCTATTTTCATGGTAACTGCAAATGTTATATTGTGTATTACACCTTCCCTGAGAAGTGAATGCTTGGCTGGGCACAGTGGCTAGTACTTTGGGAGGCCAAGGCAAGAGGACCGCTTGAGTTCAGGGGTTCAAGACCAGCCTGGGCAATGTAGTAAGACCCTGTCTCTACAAAAAAAAAAATTTAAAAATTAGCTAGGCATAGTGGCGCGTGCTTGTGGTCTAGCTACTCAGGAAGCTAGAGGTGAGAGGATCTCTTCAGCCCAGGAAGTTAAGGCTGCAGTGAGCCGTGATCCAGCCTGGGCTTCAGCCTGGGCAACAGCAAAACCCCATCTCAAAGAACAAAAAAAGAAAATAGAAGCAAATGCTATTTCTGCATTTGCTGTAACAAGTAGTGCAGACATGTCATGAAACATTCAAAAGTATAAGAAGAAATTATGCAAATTTCCTATTTCAATTTCTAGAGATAATCACTGTAAGCATGAACTGATTTAAATTTAAATATAAAACAAAAGCCGGGCAAGTTGGCTCCTACCTGTAATCCCAGCACTTTAGGAGGCCAAGGTGGGTGGATCACCTGAGGTAGGGAGTTCGAGACCAGCCTGGCCAACATGGTGAAACCCCATCTCTACTAAAAATACAAAAATTAGCCGGGGATGGCATTGCATGCCTGTAGTCCCAGTCCCAGCTACTTGAGAGGCTGAGGCAGGAGAATCACTTGAACCTGAGAGAGACAGAGGTTGCAGTGAGCCAAGATCGTATCACGGCACTCCAGCTTGGGTGACAAAGTGAGACTCCATCTCAAAAAATAAAATAAATAAATATAAAACATATAATAAAACTCCATAATTCTTAAATTATGAAAGCCCAGAGTTGTCAAGAATGTAATAAATTCTCTCTTAGACTGCTCGTGGGAATATAATTTGGTTATAACTTTCCCTGTGTAATCCTGACAGTCTTTTTTCTCAGCCATGATTTTGGACACTGCCGTGATTAATTTGAAAGGACGATACTTTGCCTGGACTTGTTAAAAGAAAATGTGAATTTAAAAGATGTTAAATTTTAATTAAGGTTGTTTTTAATTGTTTTGAAGCAACATAGTCTTCATTAATAATAAAATTGCTGGACAGAATGATTTTTAAAAGACAGCCTATCAGTTTTAATGAAGTATCTAGTTTTTAAAATGGGTGCGTTAGTAGAGCTTTTATATATTTTTCCCTTCCTCCTTCCTTCCTTTCTTTCTGAAAAGTTACTAGAAAAGAAATAATAGTGAACAAAACTGATCTAGAAGAAAAGATGGAAGGCACATAAAACACTAGGAATGAAATAAGGCATAATTATAACTATGCAGGAGCTCGTGTATCACAAGAACAGGTGCAGCTTTAGTGCACTAAGTTTGAAAAGCTGAATGAAGCTTACTATAGTAAAATACCAGTTATTAAAATTGGCTTGCAGAAATTCGTCCAATATAAGTAAACAACCAATAGCAACCAGGTGTAAATAGTTTTATAGGCTAATTCTACCAAACCTTTAAGGAACATATAATTTCTGTGTTCTAGAACTTGGGAAAAGATGGAGAGTTCAAAACTCACACCGTATGCCTAGTATAACCTCAATGCCAAACCAGACGTGGCACGCACAGAAAAATAAAATCAGACCAAAGTCATTTGGAAAAAAAATTCCTATATTTATGATTCAAAACTCAGTTATTTTATAAAATAATAATATTAAGTGGATAAAGAAACGCCAGTTGTACTATCAGCTAAACATTAGAAACCTTCTCATCAGGCCAGGTGAGGTGGCTCATGCCTGTAATCCCAGCACTTTGGGAGGCCAAGGCGGGCGGATCACCTGAGGTTGGGAGTTCAAGACCAGCCTGGCCAACATGGAGAAACCCTGTCTCTACTAAAAATACAAAATTAGCCAGGCATGGTGGCACATGTCTGTAAACCCAGCTACTCAGGAGGCTCAGGCAGGAGAATTGCTTGAACCCGGAAGGCGGAGGTTGCGGTGAGCCGAGATCACGCCATTGCACTGGGCAACAAGAGCGAAACTCCGTCTCAAAAAAAAAAAAAAAAAAAATCAAAATCAGAAAGAAAATGCTTGTTAAAACTTACGTTATTCTCTCTGATTCAGAATACCTAGAGCATGGACTTGAAACTAGGTAGTTTACAAAAAACAAAACAGAAAACATTTGTATTATTCCATTTTATTTTAGAAGTCCTGGCCAATGCACTAAGCAATAAAAAGAATTAAAACGTATAAACATTGAGAAGAAAAAACAAAAATAGTTTTGCAAATGACTTGATTATGTACTTAGAAAATATGAAGGAACTGAAAATTTATTGTAGCCAGTAACAGGAATCAGAGTGTTTGCTGTAAGAGAAACAAAAAATTGTATATATCAGCAATAACCAACAGAAGCTGTAATGACAGCTGGGTACAGTGGCATGCACCTGTAATCCTAGCTTCCCAGGAGGCTGAGGCAGGAGGATTGCTTGGGCCCAGGAGTTCATGGCTGCATTGCGCAGTGATCAAGGCTGTGAATAGCTACTGCTCTCCATCCTCAGCAGCACAGCAAGACTCCATCTCTACAGAAAGAAAAGAAAGGAGGGAAGTGGGGAGGGAGAAAAAAAAGAAAGAAAGAAATTTAATGGTAGGTACCAAGGATGGGGATACCATTGACCAGAGAAAAGGAAGGGAGGGAGGGAGGGGAAAAAAAAAAAAAGAAATTTAATGGTGGGTCCCCAAGGATGGGGATACCATTGACCAGAGAAGGGGTAAAGAAGAAAAAATGATGGACAAAATATGTTTAAATGTTGGCACTATTTGGACTGACACTTTTAACCATTATTTACTCTTTGTTAACTGTTTGGAGTTAGTAAAACAAATACATTCTCTTTTGTTAATTCATACATAGATATTCTGCCTCCATGGTGGCCTCTCTCCATCCATAGACACACTGGATCATATAAGAGCCCTGGATCGTTTACAGGAAGTTCCACATGAGGTAAACTTAATTTAAAAAAGAAGAAGAAAGGAAAAGAAAATATAACCACATTTTGAGGATGATAAAGTATGACTGATAATAATTTGTAACATGTACTTATTTTTCTTGGCCAGGGCCCAATGTGTGATCTGTTATGGTCAGATCCAGATGATCGTGGTGGATGGGGTATTTCACCACGTGGTGCTGGCTACACATTTGGACAAGACATTTCTGAAACCTTTAACCATGCCAATGGTCTCACACTGGTTTCTCGTGCCCACCAGCTTGTAATGGAGGTATGTACTTTCCTGACAGAATGATCTTTATTTCAGATTAGTATATACTTCTGTAATAAGGCATTATGACTTAACTAAGAAACATTCCTCACCATTTATTACCTAGGTGAAAAGAGGAAAAACTTGCTGGTTTTAGCAAGTAGGGAAAGCACTAGTAGACCAGAGCAGAATTATAACTCATTTTTGAAATTGAGACTTAGAAAAAAGTTACAAAAATAGTACCCCATAATTCCCTGTATGCTTCATTCAGATTCCTGACTGTAAATATTTTACTATATTTGCTTTATCATTTTGTGTCTCTCTTCCTCTTCACCCCTCACACTTTCTTCTGAACCATTTGAATATCTGTTGCAGACAGATACTCCTTTACTACCAACTTTCTATGTGTATTTTGTAAAATTAAGGACACACTGTCACATAACCACCGTATAGTTATCACAGTTGGGAAATTTGTGTTCATATAGTACTGTTATTTAATATGAACACTTTATTCAAATTTTGCTAATTGTCTCACTAATGTCTTTAATAGCAAAATTTAATTTTTTGTGCATACTGTATGTGCATAGTCGAATCCAAAGATTAGGTTGTATTCATTCTACTTTGATGTGGAAATCCTCCGATTTTCATTGTTTTCCACATTCTTGACATTTTGGAAGAGTAGGAGCATTTTATCTTACAGAAATATCCCTCAGTTGGGGTTTGCCTGATGTTTTCCTTGCAGTTAGGGATTCAATGTATGCATTTTTGGCAGTCATGACATAGAAAGATGGTGTGTCCTCCTCCGTGCATTGTATCAAGTGGTCCTAAAATCTGCTTGTCTCAATGCTGGTGGTGGCAACTTTAATTGCTTAGTTAAGATGATGTCTGCCAGATTTCTCCACTATAATATTAACTGTTATACAACTACTAAGGGAACATAAACAACATAATCCCTGCAGACCAGTAGGGAGTGGCTTCAAGATGTTTAGAGAAAACTTCGCCAGCCCAGTAGAAACAAGGGAGCATGATAAAAAAAACACAAATTTACATAGTAAAAATAAATTTAATTATATCAGTGATTATAAGAAAGAGACTAAAATTTTAGCCTGAAAGAGACTCTTAGATTGGATAAATAATCAAAATTTAGCTGTTATTTGGGATGTACCTAAAACATAAATGATTGGCTGGACAAAGTGGCTCATGCCTATAATCCCAGCACTTTGGGAGGCCGAGGTGGGAGGATCTCTTGAGTCTTGGAGTTTCAGACCAGCCTGGGCAACATAGTGAGACCTCATCTCTATATAAAAAAAAAAAAAAAGTCAAAAAGTTAGCTGGGCATGGTGGCATATGTCTATTGTCCCAGCTACTCAGGAGGCTGAGGTGAGAGGGTCACTTGAGGCCAGGAGGTTGAGGCTGCAGTGAGCTATGATCGTACCGCTGCACTCCAGCCTGGGCAAAAGGGTGAGACCTTGTCTCAAAAAAACGAGGAAAAAGAAAAAGACACCACAAACTAGAGGTAAGAGTTGGAAAATGGTATATTGGTATATCAAGTAATTAATCAAAATATCAAAAATATAGCTAATGAGCTGGCGTGGTGGCTCGTGCCTCTATTCCCAGCACTTTGGGAGGCTGAGGCAAGCGGATTGCTGGAGCTCAGGAGTTCGAGACCAGCCTGGGCAACATGGTGAGATCCTGTCTCTACTAAAATACAAAAAATTAACCTGGTGTGGTGGCACGCACCTGTAGTCCCAACTACTCGGGGCTGAGGCAGGAGAATTGCTTGAACCCAGGAGTTGGAGGTTGCAGTGAGTCTAGATCGCACCACTGCACTCCAGCCTGGGCAACACAGGATGTGTGTGTGTGTGTATATACACACATACATACACTAATGTATGTATATATATGTATACATATATACACACATGTATGTGTGTATACATATATGCACACGTATATATACACATATACACACGTATACATATATGCGCACACATACATGTATACATACATATATACGTGTATGTATATACACATGTATATACACATGTATACATATATGCACACACATATATACATATATACACGTATATATACATATGTATATACACATACATTAATTAGCATGTATGTATACACACTATATATAATACTATAGCTAATAATATGAATGAGATAGGCTCTAATAAAAGGTATTATTAGAAATAAAGAGATTATTGATGAAAACTGGCCCAGTTCTCTAGGAAGAAAGTATTCTAAATTTGTATTTACCTAGTAATAGCTTCAAAATATATAAAGAAAAAATTGGCATAATTCATGAGGGAAAATTGAGAAATTAATTATGATTGTGGGAGAAATTCAGTACACATCCTTGCCAAGATTTCAAGCATAGATACGGCAAAACAACAATTAGCGAGCTGCATTTAACAGACTCCTAGGCCCACGAATTGCACAGTATTCTTTACAGGTACACAAACTATTAAAGATGGAGACCTTATATAGTAATATAGACGACTACATTTCCACAGAGAGTACCTGTAGTTTTTGAGTTTAGTTTTTTTTAAATGTGTCTGTGTCAAAATCATAATATTATAATGAAATAATGAATTTGTTTTTATCCTGCAGGGATACAATTGGTGTCATGATCGGAATGTGGTTACCATTTTCAGTGCACCCAATTACTGTTATCGTTGTGGGAACCAGGCTGCTATCATGGAATTAGATGACACTTTAAAATATTCCTTGTGAGTAACTGTAAATTTTAATTGTATATACTTTCAGAAGGAAAATTTTAAATGTTAAAAATAGAAGATTTCTGTTTCTGAAATTGGATGAGGAGTATAGCAAAGCCCCTCTCCAGCAAAAATAACCATTAGCTGGAGAACATTATTTTTAAAAAATAATTTTTCAAAGCTTTTGGAAATTGTCCTAAGGGCATACAGCAGGTGGAGAAACAGTTAATTCAAGAAAACCTACTAAATCTCAGTAATAATAGCCGTAGTCTGTGGCATTTGAGCTATGACTTGCCCCCTCCAACTCCTCCCAGATCCCTCTCACAGAAACGACTACAGGCGCTCTACGCTGGGTTGGTATAGTCAGGAGGCTAAGGGATTCCCCCTCTTCATCAGCTCCCAGGGCTGGGGCTGTGGGTTCACTCCCAGAGATCAGATGCCAGCATATCTCACCTCTCCTAGTCTGGAGTTACAAAAGCTCTACTCCTGGTAGACACAGTCAAGCAGGCTGAGGCCCCCTTCCCTGCCCCAGCTCCTGGGGCAGAAGCTCTGCTCCAGGCATGCATGGCAGATGAGAATGCTGGGTTTCCCAATGCTGTTACCCCAGCACCTGCTTATAAACCAGGTGGTATCACTGAGCCTGCACTGGCACAGAAGTTCTGCTCAGGAGGAAAGGCAGGTCACAGAAGTTCCTCAGCTCTGCCTCAGAGGACTTATCTTACTTAGGTGATGGAGAATTCCAAATCTGAGTGCTTTGTGGAAAGCAGTAGATGTCATGGTGGAGACCAATTAAGAGGGCTGTAATAGCTCCCATGATACTAGGAGCAACATACAAAAGAGCAGAGCAACATGTTGTTCAACAAATAGCACCAGGGAAAAAGCCAAGAAGAGCCCTTCTGGGATCACAGTCAGCCCTGGGGGACAAGAAGGCTGTGCACATGCACTAGCCATACCCACTCAGGAGCAGTCAAGAGTAGGATGTGGGGTATTCATATAATATTTTCAAGCCACACATAGATTGTACTGAGTTGAATAATGTCCCCCCAAAAAAATTCATGTCCACCCAGAACCTCAAAATGTGATGTTATTTGGAAATAGGATCTTTACAGATATAATTATTAAAGATGAGATTGTACTGGATTAGGGTGGGCCTAAATCCAATTCGAATGGGATTTTAGTAAGAGGAAAAGAAACACACACAGGGGAGAATGCTGTGTGAAGCCAGAGATTCAAGTGATGCATCTACCAGCTAAGGATTGCCAGAGCCATCAGAAGCTAGGGAGAGGCTAGGAAGGATTTTTCCTAGAGCCTTCAGAGAGAGCGTGGTCCTCCCAGCATCTTGCTTTCAGACTTGTAGCCTCCAGAACTGTGAGAGGATAAATCCCCGTTGTATAAGCTATACAGTTCGGTAATTTGTTACGGCAGCCCCAGGAAATGGATAAGTAGATTGATCAACAAATGGTGTAACCATCACTAGTATGTGAGGCTTAAACACAACCTCTCATCATTGACTGAACGACATTCAGTTACTCTGATCCAGGAGCACCTCCTAGGTAGTCAGGCTTTAAAATAAAATCACACTCATCCCTGACAGTCTGGCAGAATATGTGCATGCCCAAGGTTATACCCTCTCTGGACTGAGTGCAGTATGAAGATCCAACTATTAGTCCCTGGCTGAATGGGAAGCCAAAATATAAACTCCTTCAGCTTTGATAGCAATCTGCAAGTCACATAACATTTCCGGTGGCCATTAGGGTGAGCTTTAAGATCTAACTGGCCAAGGGGGCTTAAGTACAATCTTTGATCAGTAAGTGGCTTATGCCTACCCAGAGACAGCCCCTCAGTAGCCAGGCTGTGAAAGATTAAAAGAAGTAAAAACGGTCAGGCACGGTGGCTCATGCCTGTAATCCCAGCACTTTGGGAAGCCGAGGTGGGCGGATCACCTGAGGTCGGGAGTTCAAGACCAGCCTGACCAACATGGAGAAACCCAGTCTCTATTAAAAATACAAAATTAGTTGGGTGTGGTGGCGCATGCCTGTAATCCCAGCTACTCAGGAGGCTGAGGCAGGAGAATCGCTTGAACCTGGGAGGCGGCGGCGATCACGCCATTGCAGTCCAGCCTGGGCAACAAAAGTGAAACTCAAAAAAAAAAAAAAAAAGTAAAAACATCCGAGCAGGGCCACAGGGGCTGCACACTATGGGGGAAGTAGACTTTACAGTTAGTTCAGCTAAGTCACTAAACAAAAATAATAAACCACCAAAAAGACAAGATCAGTCCCCAAGGACATGAATTCCAGAGCTACTGCAATATGTTATCTATAATGTCCAATTTTTCAACCACAGATTATAAGACATGGAAAGAACAAGGAAGTGTGACCTCTACACAGGAAAAAACTAAGCAACAGAAACTGTTTCTCTTGGATAGAACAACTAGGCAGGAGATGAAGGCAGGAGAAGACTTGAGCAACACTGTAAACTGACTGTATACCTCATGTCTGTAAAACAACACCCAACAACAGCAGAATACTTTCCTCTCAAGTAAACATGAAACATAGTCATATGCTAGACTGTAAAACATGCCTCAGGCAATTTAAGAAGATTAGATTCTTAAAAGGATATTCTCCAAACACAAGGAAATGAAATTAGAAATCATTAACATGGCTGGATGCTGTGGCTCACACAAGTAATCCCAACACTTTGGGAAGCCAAAGTAGGAGGATCACTTGAGGCCAGCCTGGGCAACATAGGGAGACCCCGTCTCTACAAAAAAATTTAAAAATTAGCCAGGTATGGTGCCAAGCACCTGTAGTCTCAGCTGTATGGGAGGCTGAGATGGAGGATCACTTGAGCCCAGTTGATCAAGGCTGCAATGAGCTATGATCACAGCACTACACTACAGCCTAGGCAACAGAGCAAAGACCCTGTCTCAGAAAGAAAAAAACAAAAAAAAAAACAAGAAGATTTGAAATCAGTAACCTATCTTTATACTTGAGGACCTAGAAAAAGCAGAGTAAACTAAACCTGATGTAAGCTTATGAAACGAGGTTTAGAGTAGAAATAAACAAACAGTAGAAAATCATTACAGAAAAATCAACAAAACCCAAAGTTGATGCTTTGAAAAGCCTTAACTAGACTGGCCAAGAAAAAAAGGAGTAAAGACTCACATTACCAAATCACTAGAGACCTTACTGAAATAAAAAGGATTATAAGGGAATACAATAAATAACTATATGCCAGCAAATTCAGTAACTTTGATAAAACGTACTAATTCCTAAAAAGAAACTACTGAAACTGACTCAAGAAATATGAAATCTGAATGACCTTTCAAATGTGAAAATATTGAGCCAGCATGGTGGCTCACACCTATAAATCCCAGCTTTGGGAGGCCAAGCTGAGAGGATTGCTTGAGACTAGGAGTTTGAGACCAGCCTGGACAACATAGCAGGACCTTGTCCCTATTTAATTTAAAAGAATATAAATAAATGAGTGAAAAAGTTAAAACTCCCCACAAATAAAAGGCCAAGCCCAATTGGCTTCATTGATGAAGTCCACCAAATGTTTAAAGAAAGGAATTGGCCAGGTGCGGTGGCTCTAACCAGTAATCCTAGCACTTTGGGAAGCCAAGGCAGGCAGATTGAGCCCAGGATTCAAGATCAGCCTGGGTAACATGGTAAAACCCTGTATCTACAAAGAATACAAAAATTAACCTGGTGTGGTGGCTCAGCCTATAGTCTCAGCTACTCAGGAAGCTGAAGTGGGAGGATCACCTGAGCCCAGGGAGGTTGAGGCTACAGTGAGCCATGATCACACCACTGCACTCCAGCTTGGGCAACAGAGTGAGACCCTGTCTCAAAAATAAAAACGAGTTAATGCCAATCCTTCACAAACACTTCCAAAAAACAGAAGAGGAGGACTACTGCATTCATTCTGTCACACCTGCACTATTATCCTTGATACCAAAAGTAGACAAAGGCAAAAACAGACCAGCATTTGTTACGAATACAGATATAAAATTTTCCAACATACGTACCAGCAACCTGGATCTAGCAATATGTAAAAAGATTATACACCATGAGCAAGTGGGATTTATCCCAGGAATGCTAGGTTGGTTCAAAACATGAAAATCAATATAATAAACCATATTAATATTAAGGGATTAAAAAACACATGATCATCTCAATAGAGGCACAAAAATAATTGGAAAAATCCACTAGCCAGAAACACTCAAGAAAATAGTGATATTAGGCCTGGCGCGGTGGCTCACGCCTGTAATCCCAGCACTTTGGGAGGCCGAAGCGGGTGGATCATGAGGTCAGGAGATGAGACCATCCTGGCTAACACGGTGAAACCCCGTCTCTACTAAAAAAAAATAAGAAAATTAGCCGGGCATGGTAATGGGTTCCTGTAGTCCCAGCTACTCAGGAGGCTGAGGCAGGAGAATGGTATGAACCCAGGAGGCGGAGCTTGCAATAAGCCGAGATCGTGCCAGTGCACTCCAGCCTGGGCGACAGAGCAAGACTCTGCCTCAAAAAAAAAAAAAAAAAAAGTGATATTATTATTATTATTAAATAATATTAAACAATTATTGTTTAATTATTTAAACTTGATATTATTTAATCTTTAATTATTTAAGCTTTTAAATAATAATAACATTTAGAAATTGTTATGCCAGGCACCAAACCAGACATTCTGTCTTCTTAAATTTTCACCATAGCCCTATGAAGCAGTTAGTTGGAATGGGAGCATCTGCAGTGATTTGCCCATGGCCATTCCAGCCGTAAGTGATGTAGTCATGGTGGGAAAGCAGGACTGCTGTTTCTACTACAGTGTCTTGTTCTTTATTCATTTGTTTTCTTTGCAAAGTCAGATCCTTTATTTGCTTCCTTTTTTGCCATTTACAGCCTTCAATTTGACCCAGCGCCTCGTCGTGGTGAGCCTCATGTTACACGGCGCACCCCAGACTACTTCCTATAAATTTCTCCTGGGAAACCTGCCTTTGTATGTGGAAGTATACCTGGCTTTTTAAAATATATGTATTTAAAAACAAAAAGCAACAGTAATCTATGTGTTTCTGTAACAAATTGGGATCTGTCTTGGCATTAAACCACATCATGGACCAAATGTGCCATACTAATGATGAGCATTTAGCACAATTTGAGACTGAAATTTAGTACACTATGTTCTAGGTCAGTCTAACAGTTTGCCTGCTGTATTTATAGTAACCATTTTCCTTTGGACTGTTCAAGCAAAAAAGGTAACTAACTGCTTCATCTCCTTTTGCGCTTATTTGGAAATTTTAGTTATAGTGTTTAACTGGCATGGATTAATAGAGTTGGAGTTTTATTTTTAAGAAAAATTCACAAGCTAACTTCCACTAATCCATTATCCTTTATTTTATTGAAATGTATAATTAACTTAACTGAAGAAAAGGTTCTTCTTGGGAGTATGTTGTCATAACATTTAAAGAGATTTCCCTTCATTTAAACTAAATTACTGTTTTATGTTGATCTGCATATTTCTGTATATTTGTCATGACAGTGCTTGCATCCTATTTGGTGTACTCAGCAAATAAACTTTTCATTTTAAACAAAAACATTCATTTATTGTGTTGTGCATTAAATGAAAACTTTATTTTTTCTAGACCAGGTCTTGCTCTGTCATCTGGGCTGGAGTGCAGTGGCACAGTCATAGCTCACTTCAACCTTGAACTCCTGAGCCCAAGCCATTCTCCTCCCTCAGCCTCCTGAGTAGCTGGGACTACACTCAACATACCACCACACCCAGCTAATTTGTAAAATATTTTGTAGAGACGGGATCTTGTTATGTTGCCCAGGCTGGTCTTGAACTCCTGGCCTCAAGTGGCCCTGCCAAATTCTTGAGATTATAGATGTGTGCCATCACACCTGGCCTGCTATCTTGAAACGACATAAAATCTTTCAAAGCAGGGCAATGGGACATGGCTATAGTCCCAGCTACTCAGGAGGCTGAGGTGGAGGATGGCTTGAACCCAAGAGCTTGAGGGCAGCCTGGGCAACATAGCAAGATGTCATCTCTAAAAAATAAAAAATAGGCTGGGCATGGTGGCTCATGCCTGTAATCCCATTGCTTTGGGAGGCTGAGAAAAGAGGATTGCTTGAGCTCAGGAGGTTGAGACCTGCCTGGGCAACACAGTGAGACTCCATCTCTGTATTTTTTTTAAAAAAATTTTTAATCTCTAAACTTGAAATAAACATTTGTGTTGAGGAAATTTTATTGTAATATTCTTTGTTACAGGACTTACTTTCAGAAGAAATTCAAATAGCTGATAACTTTTAGACCATAAAAAAAAGCCAGTCGAAAAATTTTAGTAGGTAATTTATATTAATGTCACATTTTTAAGTACAGCTATGGATTATATACTAAAACTAGAATATAACTGGGAAGAAACTTTCAAAAACATATGTAATATATACATACATATATATGTATACGTATATATGTATATATATGTGTATATATATGTATATATATATGTGTGTGTGTATATATATATATATATATATATATTTTTTTTTTTTTTTTTTTTTTGGGGGGACAGGGTCTCACTTTGGGTTGCCCCAGGCTGGAGTGCAATGGCCCAATCACAACTCACTGCAGCCTTGACAATAAATCAGTTTTAGAATATTTTCATGATTTCAGTCTCTCTCTTGACCTGTGTTGATTTTCATTGCCACCAACCAGCCCCAGGCAACCACTAATCTACTTCTGTCTACAGATTTACTACTTCTGGACAGCTCATATCAGTGGAATCACATAAATTGTTTTTGTGCAGGTTTTTCACTAGCGTGTCCTGAAGTTCCTCCATGTCGTATTTAACAGTTCATTCTTTTATTCCTAAGCAGCTTGCCATGGTGTGAATATAACACATTTCTCTCTATGCATTCATCAGTTGATGTGTCCATTTGAAACATTTAGGCTATTTCCAATTTTTAGTTATTAAAGTAATTATTGTCATGGTTGCTCAATTTGGTAAATTTACCAAGAATCTTTAAATTGAACCCTTGAAATGGGAAAATTTTATGATTTGTAAAATATACCTCAATGAAGCTGTCTTTAAAAAGAAAGAGATGGGCTGGGCACGCTGGCTTCTGCCTGTAATCCCAGCACTTTGGGAGGCCAAGGCAAGAGGATCACTTGACCCCAGGAGTTTGAGACCAGCATGGGCCACATAGCAAGACCCCGTCTCAAAAAAAATAATAATAAAATTAGTTGGGTGTGGTGGCACACACCTGTGGTCCCAGCTACTAGGGATTTGAGGCTACAATGATCTATGATCATGCCACTGCACTCCAGCCTGGGCAACAGAGCAAGACCCTCAAAAAAGACTTGTGCAATACCACCAGAGCAGTCTTTAGAGGAAAATTTATAACTAAATGCTTGTAACAGAACAAAAGCTGAAAAGTAATTAGCTAGGTGTTTATCATGTAAAAGTTAACAGATTAAGCGCAAAAATCAAAAGATCAACAGAACCACAAACTTACTTGAAAAGACTAATAAAACAAATATTACAAAAAAACCACAAACATACAGAAGGCACAAATAAAAGCATGAATTTGCAAAATAAAAGGTAACAAAAGTGATAAAAAATTGAGGATAGGCTGGGCACAGTGGGTCATGTTTGTAATCCCAGCGCTTCGGGAGGCTGAGGTAAGAGGATGACTTGAGTCCCAAAGTTCAAGGCCAGCCTGGGGCAACATGGTAAAACCTAACCTCAAAAAATACCAAAAAATTAGCCAGGCGTGGTGGCAGATACCTGTAGTCCCAGCTACTCGGGAGGTTAAGAGGGGAGAATCACCTAAGCCTGTGGAGGTCAAGGCTGCCTTGAGCCATGATCTTGCCACTGCACTCCAGCCGAGATGAGAGTGAGACCCTGTCTCAAAAACAACAAAAAAGTTGAGGATACTATGAATAGCATTTGCCAGTACATTTGAAAACAAGAAGTTACAGAAGTAAATTACTAGAAAATTTATCAAACTGACTCAAATATAGTCTAATTCTGTCACTAATATTAAACCAATTGAATCACGCATTTACGTCTTATAAAGAATACACTAGGTACCAAAGTTTATAGCAGTATTCCATAGCCAAAAAAGGTGGAAACAAGCCAAATTCCATCAACAGATTAATGGATAAACAAAGTGTGGGCCAGGTGCGGTGGCTCACACTTGTAATTCCAGCACTTTGGGAGACCAGTGGGTGGATCACTTGAGGTCAGGAGTTCGAGACTAGCCTGGCCAACATGGCGAAACCCCATCTCTACTAAAAAGACAAAAATTAGCCAGGTGTGGTGGCACACGCCTGTAATCCCAGCTACTCAGGAGGCTGAGATAGGAGAATCACTTGAACCCAGGAGGTGGAGGTTGCAGTGAGCGGAGATCACTGTACTCCAGCCTGAGTAACAAAGTGAAACTCTGTCTCAAAAAAAAAAAAAAAAAAAATGTGGTATATCCATACAATGGAATATTGTTCAGCCATTGGAAAGGAATCAAATTCTGACACATGCTGCAACACGGAGCACCTTCAGAACATGCTTAGTGAAATGAGCAAGACACAAAAACACAATTGTATGTTTTCACTTATATGAGGGTACCTAGAATATAGGCAAATTCATAGACACAAAAAGTAGAATAGAGATTGCCAGGGGCTGGAAGGAGAAAGGATTGAGGAGTTACTTTAATGGCTGTAGAGTTTCAGATGATTAGAAAGTTATGGAAATGAATGGTGGTGAAGATCACACAACATGAGTATACTTAATGGCACTGAATTGTGTATTTTAAAATGATTAAATTTTATGTCATATATATAGTACCACAATAAACAATTTAGGGCTGGGTGCAGTGGTTCATGCCTGTAATCCCAGCACTTTTGGAGGCCGAGGCGGGTGGATCACCTGAGGTCAGGAGTTCGAGACCAGCCCGGCCAACATGGTGAAACCCTGTCTCTACTAAAAATACAAAAATTGGCCGGGCATAGTGGCACATGCCTGTAATCCCAGCTACTTGGGAGGCTGAGACAGGAGAATAGCTTGAACCCGGGAGGCGGAGGTTGCAGTGAGCCAAGATCGCGCCATTGCACTCCAGCCTGGGCGACAGAGGAAAACTCTGTCTCCAAAAAAAAACACAATTTAGAATCGGCTTGTTATATTTACACACATAGGGATACAATAAATTCTGCTGGGATTTGGGGATTATACTGAACCTCTATCAGTTTAGGAAGAATAGGTCATTTTACATTATTGAGCCTTCTAGTCCATGGAGATGGTATAAAATACCTCTTTCATCAAGTCCTCAATTTCTCTCAACAATATAATATTTGGTATAAATGTCTTGCCATCTAACCGTAACATTTGATTTTTTTTTTTTTTTTTTTTTGAGACGGAGTCTTGCTGTGTCGCCCAGGCTGGAGTGCAGTGGCATGACCTCAGCTCACTGCAAGCTCCGCCTCCCGGGTTCATGCCATTCTCCTGCCTCAGCCTCCCAAGTAGCTGGGACTACAGGTGCCCGCCACCACGCCCGGCTAATTTTTTTTGTTGTTGTTGTATTTTTAGTAGAGACGGGGTTTCACCGTGTTAGCCAGGATGGTCTCGATCTCCTGACCTCGTGATCCACCCGCCTCGGCCTCCCAAAGTGCTGGGATTACAGGCGTGAGCCACTGCACCTGGCAACATTTGATTTTAAAATGCTGTCGTGGGTAATACCTTTCTATTTTGTGATTGTTTAATGATGATAAATTGAAATAAAAGCGATCTTTTAAAATATCTTCTTTTTTTTTTTTTTTTTTTTTGAGATGGAGTCTCACTCTGTCGCCCAGACTGGAGTGCAATGGCGCGATCTCTGCTCAATGCAACCTCTTTTTTTTGAGACGGAGTCTTACTGTTGCCCATGCTAGAGGGCAATGGCGCAATCTCTGCTCACTGCAACCCCCACTTCCCAGGTTCAAGCGATTCTCCTCTGGAGTAGCCGGGATTACAAGCACCTACCACCACGCCCAGCTAATTTTTGTATTTTTAGTAGAGATGGGGTTTCACCATCTTGGTCGGGCTGGTCTCGAATTCCTGACCTAAGGTGGTCCACCCACCTCTGCCTCCCAAAGTGCTGGGATTACAGGCGTGAGCCACCACACCTGCCCAAAATATTTTCTTCAGTAGCTATACTAAATGCACTTAGTTCTTATATAAGTTGAGTATCCCTTATTCAAAATGCATGGGACCAGAAGTGTTTCAGATTTAGGATTTTTTCTGATTTTAGAATATTTGCATATAGATATCTGGTTGAACATCCCTATTCCACAAATCTGAAATGCTCCAATGAACATTTCCTTTGAGCATCAAGTACCTGCTCAAAAAGTTTTGGATTTTGGAGCATATTGTATTTCAGATTTTTGGATTAGGGATGCTCAACCTGTATTTATCAGCAATTACTTTGGATTTTTTTAAATTACAAAGTCACATAGTCAGTGAATACAAAGCTTTTTTCTTCTTTTCTAATCTCTATGACTTTTTGTATATGTTTCATATTGCTTTGATTAGGACAACTAGTATTTCATGTTCGTGGGTAGGGGTTTTTGGAGGTATTTATTCCTTACCACTGTTTCTTGTAGGCAGCATTTTTTGTTGTTGTTTTAATTCTAATCTAATATTCTCTACTTTTTGTTGTTGTTGTTTTTGAGACATGCTTTGTCACACAGGCTGGAGTGCAGTGGGGGCGATCTCGGCTCACTGTAACCAACCTCCGCCTCCCAGGCTCAAGTGACTGTCATGCCTCAGCCTCCTGCGTAGCTGGGATTACAGTTGTGCACTACCAAGCCCGGCTAATTTTTATTTCTTTGTTTTGTTTTGTTTTTTGTAGAGACGGGGTTTCGCCATGTTGGCCAGGCTGGTCTTGAACTCCTGACCTCAAGTGATCTGCCCACCTCCCAAAGTGCTGGGATTATAGGTGTGAGCCACTGCACCCGGCTAATACTCTCTACTTTTCATTTGGGGATATTTAGATTGTTTATATTTAATACGATTATTGGTATTGTTAGGTTTAAGTCTGTCATCGTGCTATTTGTTTTCTATTTGTCCCATTTATTTCCTCTTTTTCTGAATTCTTTTGGATTAATTGAATATTTTTTATTCTATGTATCTCTTTTGTGTGGCTTATTAGCTATACCTTTTTGTTTTGTTCCTTTAGTGGTTGCTTTAGGATTTGTGGTATACATCTTTAACTTTGTTCCATCTGCCATCAAGTGGCATTACACCACTTCACATAGAGTATCAGAATCTTGTAATATATATCCCTAACTGTGCTATTGTCATAAATTTTGGTTTTATATGTATTATAAGCCCCATGCAACATTGCTATTATATTATCATCACTAAAATATCACTTAAAGGGATTTAGTAACAAGAAAAAAGTTTATTTACTCATATAAATCTGTGTTATTTCTAGTGTTCTTCATTGCTTTGTGTAGTTTTGTATTTCCATCTGGTATAGTTTTTCTTCTGCCTTAAGACTAACATTTTTTGTAGTGCAAGTTTGATGGTGATGAATTTTTTCAGCTTTTGTATGTCTTTAAAAGTATTTCTTTCATGTTCATGTGGGAAAGATCATTTTACTAGGTATAGGCCGAGCGCAATGGCTTATACCTGTAATCCAAACATCTTGGGAGGCAGAGGCAGGCTGATCACTTGAGGCCAGGAGTTCAAGACCAGCTGGGCCAACATGGTGAAAACCTGTCTCTACTAAAAATATAAAAATTAGCCGGGCATGGTGGCCTGCTAAACCCAGCTACTGGGAGGCTGAGGCACAAGAATCACTTGAACCCAGGAGGCAGAGGTTGCAATGAGCTGAGATCACACCACTGCACCCCAGCCTGGGCAACTCTGACTCAAAAAAAAAAAATTTTTTTTAAAGATCATTTTACTAGGTATAGAATTCTATCATTACCCATGGAATCACAGCCCATTAGCCTGCAATTCCACTAATTTAAGCTTGACTGCTGTCACCTTGTGCTTAGGTGCTGGGTTTTTCTCGGGCGCTCCTGCTCCCCATTCAGCAATCCTTTCACGCCTGCATACGAGGGAGGTCCTTCTCCATGCCCTCACCCCTTCCCCAGTTGGAGACTGCTGCTGTGTATCACTCAGTGCTGGGCTCATGGTAGGAGCAGGTGAGGTTCTCTGTTGTCCCAATTCAGCCTCAATCTTGGGCTGGCTCTTTGTGCTATGTTTTTGTTTTTCTCTTTTGAGATGGAGTCTTGCTCTGTCACCCAGGCTGGAATGCAGTGGCGCAATCTCGGCTCACTGCAACCTCCGCATGAAACCTCCGGGTTCAAGCAATTCTCCTGCCTCAGCCTCCCGAGTTGCTGGGATTACAGGCGCGCGCCACCATGCCTAGCTAATTTTTGTGTTTTTAGTAGAGACTGGGTTTCACCGTGTTGGCCAGGCTGGTCACAAACTCCTGACCTCAGGTGATCCACCCGCCTCAACCTCCCAAAGTGCCATGATTACAGGCATGAGCCACCGCACCCAGCCTGTGCTTTGGTTTTCAAGGTGAGGTTTTTCTAAGCATTCTTGCTCCTTCTACCTGTGGCTGCCAAACTTCTCCTTGTGTCCATGGTTGGCGTAGGGTGGGAGTTTTCGGCCCCATTCCTAGCAAGACTAGACATCTGTTTGATATCTGTATCCACCCTTCCCTCCAAGGTAGAGAATTTTTGCCTCGACCTTCTGCCAGCAGCAATAATCTTTGCCTGAGTCCTGGGAGAAGCAGATGGGTTTTGTTTTGGTTTTGTTTTGTTTTGTCTGCCTCTGTTCCTTCTCCAGAGACAATAGATCTGCCAGTTCCTGGCAGGCCATAGTACTTGCTGTACTTTCCCCAGCAGGTTAAGACCTTGGCTTGGTAGGAGAGGAGGGTCTGGGGAAGCCAGTGGAGCTTTGCGCTTGTTCCCCTACAGCCGCCAGTCACTCATTGTTTGCTCTGAGGTTGGCTTTCTCTGGTCTCCTGCCCTGTCTCAGTCCTCCTGAACACCTAGTGAAGGGTGAGGAGGAAGAACTTTCTAGAGAATGGGCACTCCCTTTGTGTCTGAAGCCCCCAGCCAGGACTGGCTTCATGGCATGGTACCTGTGCAGGGCCCCACACTTAGAAGGGCTTCATGTTTGGTTTACTGCATTGCTGTCGCCTATCGCCATCTTGAACTTCTTCACTTTTGAGTAAGGGTTCCCACATTTTCATTTTGCACTAAGGCCCACAAATTAAATAGCCCGTCTGGTTCCAAACTGATGCAGTAGCCCATGCGTGACCTTTACGAACATCAAAATCTTAGCTTGTATAGCAGCTGCCTTTTCTCCCGTGTTTTGCCAAAGGGAAGACAGTTTCTGTGTCCCGTCTCTCCTTGGAGAGGGTTATCTCTTTTTGGAATTCAGTTTACATAATTGCTTTGCAGCCTCAGCTCACTGTGGGCTCAAAAATGTTATGATTTTGTGTATCATCCAGCTGTTTCTTTTCCTTTTCTTTTTTTTTCTTGAGACAAGGTCTCAGTATATTGCCGAGGCTAGTCTTGAACTCCTAGGCTCAGTGATCCCCCCACCTCAGCCTCCCAAGTAGCTGGGACCACAGGCATGCAGGCACCATGCACCCAGCTAGATCCAGCTGTTTCTTGTTGCTAGGGTGAGAGCAGCATTCTTTACAGATCTCTGTGTCCTAAGTGGAAGTCTAAATAAGCCATATGATTTAGAGCTTGTTATTTTTAGAATCTCAATTTCAGCTAGCAGAGCAATTACCTGACTAAAGCTTTTTCCCTCCCTTTAAAGGGAAATTTCACACTTTTTAATTTAAATATTTCCTTCAGAAAAATGTCACTTTATTTTCTTTTATCCCCACAACAACAAAACCCCTTAGTGTCACGGTCACAGTAGAACAACCTAGAATGACTTTATATTGTCTTTTGATAATAGCTACTGTATAATTAAGCTCAAATGAGCAGAGCTCCCATATCAATCCATGATAGTGAGGAAGAGCGTTTACAAAGTGAAATACAGAGATGAAGAGTAATAAAATGAGGGCAAATTCTCTAAATAAGACCATGTAGGACCAAGTGTGGTATCTCACGCCTGTTATCTCAGCACTTTTGGAGGCCGAGGCGGTAGGATCACCTGAGTCCAGGAGTTAGAGACCAGCCTGGGCAACATAGTGAGACCCGATCTCTACAAAAATAAAAAATAATTAGCTGGGCATGGTAGCACGCACCTGTGGTCAGTCCTCAGCTACTCAGGAGGCTGAAGCAGGAGGATCAATTGAGCCCAGGAGGTCGAGGCTCCAATGAGCTGAGATCGGGCCACTGTATTCCAGCCTGGGCAACATAGTGAGACCCTGTCTCTACAAAAATATTTAAAAATTAGTCAGGCATTGGTACTTTGAGGTTTTGTAATGAAAAAAAAAGCTAAAGATAAAAAATGAAAAATAAATAAAATAAAAATTATCCAGGCATGGGAGGCAGATCAGCAGCAGTGGAGGGTCCTGGGTGGTGCAGCCTGCACCAGTGTGGGGTCACTCCTGAGGGCCGCACCTCGCGGGGGCACTGGGGTTGCCGGTAATGTCATTGGGAGCATAGTCCCAAGGCCCTTCTCCTCCTGGTCTCAGCCTCCTCCACCTCTCCTGGGCCATCGGGTTTTGTCATGTTGGAAACAAGGTCTGAACTGAGGCCAGTTAACTAAGATCAAGGTACAAGGCCTATTTTGCAAGGAATAGCAATATGCCCCCTTCAAAGATGACAGCTGGCCACAGGACTAAGCTTGGCAACAAGATGTGAGTGGAAGCTCCCAAAGCTCTCTAAAGAGGCCTCCTCTTCTCTGCTTCTTGGAGTGTGGACAGGATAGCTGGAATCCTAGCATCCAGTTTTGAATACCAGGTGACCTTGAAGATGAAAGCCATGAACTGAGACAATGTCCTTATCAGATTTTTATTTTTTGTTTGTTTGTTTTGAGATGGAGTCTCACTTTGTCACCCAGGCTGGAGTGCAGTGGCGCGATGTCAGCTCACTGCAACCCCCATCTCCCAAGTTCAAGCGATTCCGGTATCTCCACCTCCCAAGTAGCTGGGATTATAGGCGCAAGCCACCATGCCCGGCTGTTTGTGTTCGTGTTTTTTTTTTTTTCTTTTTTTAGCAGAGATGGGGTTTCGCCATGTTAACCAGCCTGGTCTCGAACTCCTGACCTCGAGTGATCTGTCCACCTCAGCCTCCCAAAGTGCTGGGATTACAGGCGTGAGTCACCACCCAGCTCCTGTAAGCTTTTACATGAGAGAAATCAACTAGGTTGTGGAGGCTGAGTCAGGAGAATTGCTTGAACCCAGGAGGCGGAGGGTGCAGTGAGCCGAGATCGTGCCATTGCACTACAGCCTGGGCCACAGGGTGAGACGCTATCTGAAAATAAATAAATAAATAAATAGCCAGGCGTGATGGCACACACCTGTGGTCCTGTGGCAGGCGAATAGAGAATTAGGATAACGGGGGTTCGGCAGGTGCAGCCAGTTCTCATAAGCAAAAGAACAGCAGGTGCAGCCAGCTCCTATAAGCAGGAGAGCGGCAGGTGCAGCATATAGGCCACATCCTCCCTCCCATCATAACAAGGCACTTCAGCCTCTGCTGGGTTGCAGGCCAATCCTTCATGGGGTGTAGCCAATTGGAGGCCTCTCTAGGGCACCGTGGGGTGTTGCCAGGTTCCTTGGGCTTGATAAAAATCCTAATTAAGGAGGCTCTTGAGCCGCTTGTTCGAGCTCACTCTCACTCTGTGAATTGTCTTCAATAAGTCTGTTTTCCCTACTCTTCTTCTGTTGTTTTGTCTTCCCTTGTTTCGTTCTTTTGTTACTTCGTGCATTTTGTTCAATTCTCTGTTCAACACGCCAAGAACCTTAACAACTCTATCAGGTAAAAGTCCCAGCTACTCGGGAGGCTGACGTGGGAGGATGGCTTGAGCCTGGGGAGGTTGAAGCTGCAGTGAGCTGTGATTGTGCCACTGCGCTTCAGCCCAGGTGACAGGCACTGTCTCAAAAAAAAAAACCAACAAAAACTAAAGCTTTTTAAAGTCAGAGCTTTCTCATAGAGCACTTGACAAATTTACAAGTCAGCCTTTCTAATCTTCAGCCTGCTGATACTTTTTAACATTTAATCATTAAATATTATACAGAAGTAGAAAAGTATAAAATATCCTCATGTACCTGTCCCTTAGATCTTTTGAGATGGAGTCTTACTCTTGTCTTCCAGGCTGGAGTGCAATGGTGTGATCTCGGCTCACTGCAACCTCCACCTCCCAAGTTCAACCGATTCTCCTGCCTCAGCCTCCCAAATAGCTGGGATTACAGGTGCCCACCACCACGCCCAGCTAATTTTTGTGTTTTTAGTAGAGATGGGTTTCACCATGTTGGCCAGGCTGGTCTCGAACTCCTGACCTCAGGTGATCTGCCCGCCTCGGCCTCCCAAAGTGTTGGGAATACAGATGTGAGCTACCACGCCCAGGTACTCCCTTAGCTTTAATATTTACTCATCTGTATCTGCATGTGCTGCCCCAGACGATGATGATGATGATTGAGACATGATCTCACTCTGTCACCCAGGCTGGAGCACAGAGGTGAGATCATGGCTCACTGCAACCTCAACCTGTGGGGCTCCAGTGATCCTCCCACCTCAGTCTCCAGAGTAGCTGAGACTACAGGTGCAGGCAATCACGCCTGGCTAATTAAAAAAAAAAATTGTAGAGATGGGGTCTCACCTGGTTGCTAATATGGTTTGGCTGTGTTCCCACCCAAATCTCATCTTGAATTGTAATCCCTGTGTGTGGAGGGAGGGACCTGTAATCCCCATATGTGGAGGAAGGTAAGTGATTGGATTATGGGGGCGGTTTCCCCATGCTGTTCTTGTGATAGTGAATTCTCACAAGATCTGATGTTTCTATAAGGGGCCCTTTCCCCTTCCCTCCTCAATTTTCTGTCTCCTGTCACCTGTGAAGAACATGTTTGCTGCCCCTTCCACCATGATTGTAAGTTTCCTGAGGCCTCCCAGCCCTGCGGAACTGTGAGTCAATTAAACCTTTTTATAAATTACCCAGCCTCGGGTAGTATCTTTATAGCAGTATGAAAATGGACTAATACAGTAGCCCAGACTGGTCTCAAACTTCTGGGCTCAAGCGATCCTTCTGCCTCAGCCTCCCAAAGTGTTGGGATCACAGGTGTGAGCCACCATGTCTGGCCTTAATCATATGTTTCTAATTTTTCCATCTCATTGCAAGAGGGCTACAGCAAACACACACACACACAAAGTGTAATTAACCAAGAACCTAAAGACTTAAAGCATCAGTACTTCCTTTCCCTAAATCCAGAGGAAGAATGCTGCTTTTCTAACTAAGGAAACAATTAAGCATCTCAATTTTTAGCCCTTTAGTTATACATGCAACTGATGTTTGTCCTTTCTGTTGAAGAAAAATATCTGCATTACCATGCCAAGAAATGGCTCTAATGATTTTTATGTTAAGAACTGGGGAGAAGGGGCAGAGGAGAACCATTCCACAAATGTTACGAATTATTTACTGAAATTTTTGCTGTATAAAAGACCACTTTTTAGGTGATAATCATTTTCTGTACTCAAAATCCTTGAAAACGGATGTGGAGGGACAATGGAAAATAGAGCCTATCATACGAATGATACAATGGACTTTGGGGTCTCCAGGGAAAAGGTGGGAGGGGGTTGAGGCACAAAAGACTACACATTGGGTACAGTGTACACTGCTCAGGTGATGCGTACACCAAAATCTCAGAAATCACCACTAAAGAACTTATTTGGCCGGGCATGGTGGCTCACACCTGTAATCCCAGCACTTCAGGAGGCCAAGGCAAGCGGATCACCTGAGGTCAGGAGTTTAAGACCAGCCTGACCAATATGGTGAAACCCCATCTCTACTAAAAATACAAAAATTAGCCAGGCATGGTGGCGTATGCCAGTAATCCCAGCTACTCAGGAGGCCGAGGCAGGAAAACCACTTGAACCCAGGAGGCAGAGGTAGCAGTGAGCTGAGATCGTGCCATTGCACTCCAGCCTGGGCAACAAGAGCAAAACTCTGTCTCAAAACAAACTTATTCATGTAATCAAACACCACAAACCATTGAAATAAATAAATATATATATATATGGAGAGAGAGAGAGACAAATATATCTATAAGGAAAAAAAAAATAGAGCCTATGGAAGTCTGTGGGCCAGGTGCAGTGGCTCACACCTGTGATCCCAGCACTTTGAGAGGGTCAAGACAGGCAGTTTGATAGCAGCCTGGGCAAGATGGCGAAACCTTGTCTCCACAAAAAAAATTAAAAACTTAGCTGGGCAAGGTGGCATGTGCTTGCAGTCCCAGCTACTCAGGAGGCTAAGGCCGGAGGTTCGTTTGAGCCCAGGAGCCAAGGCCGTGGTGAGCTGTGATTGTACCACTGCACTTCAGCCAAGGTGACAGAGCGAGACCCTGTCTCAAAACAAAAAAAAGAGAGAGATATTAAGAGATATCAACAGCTAGAGAAAAGAAACCATCTACCCAGAAAAGTAAATGTCGTTCCTAAGGGCCTTTTCATATTGTTGGGGAAAATGCCCTGAATACTTCCTATAAAGAATTATCTATTGCCATAACACATGTTCCCAAAACATAACAGCTTAAAGAGAAACTGCCTTTGCAAAATTAAGACAGTAAGAGAAATCTGACATAGTTGACTTCATCTTGCTTGTAACCTCCAAGCTGTCCTTGGTCATTCCTGGCATAGGCCAAGTTAATCTTGGGAGGAGTTTAGTTTATTTAAGCAAGGGTGATACTAGCCCTTCCCAAAACTAAACTGCCTTCATAAAACTAATGAAAGCCCACGAGGTTAGGATTATGAGAGTGGCCTGAATTCTGCTAATATGGAGTTATTAAATGGTAACCAGCCATTGTTCTGAGGTCACAAGATTTGCAACCTCCACAGTTGCCCCTGTAATTAACATCACTATTGTAGAACCTAAGATTGGTCTTTTGAGACGTTTTAGCAGACTTTTGCATTCAGGCAACTGACTGACCACACCTGGGCTTGCAACTTGTGACTCAACAGGCCCTGTGGCCCCACCCAGAGGGGGACTCAGCCACCAGGACTGTTTTCCACACCCCTATGAGTCCATCCCCAACCGATCAACATTCCCTATTTCCTAGCCCTCTGCCCACCAAACTATCCTTGAGTATTAACTCCCTCTTCTGCGTGGTCGGCCTCACATCAGTTACACTCCCTTTGCTGCAAAGCTATGGCCTCAGTGAATTGATTTTTGTTTGTGCTGACAGCAGGAGAAAGCCACTGGGCAATTACAAAACAGCATTCATTATCTCCCCTAGTTTCTGTGGGTCTGGGCTCCAGGAGCAGCTCAGCTGAATGGTTCTGGCTCGAGGTCTGTCATGAGGCTGCAGGATTCACTCCCAGCTGGCTCATGGAGCTACTGGCAATGAGGCTCCAGTTCCTTGGCACGTGGTCCTCCCTGGTGCACTAACATGGTTTCAGCTAGAGCAAGACAGAAGACAGGGATAGAGAACCAAAACAAGTGCAGTCCTTTATCATCTAACCTAGGAAGAGACATACCATGACTTCTGGTTAATTCTGTTGGTGTTTTTCATTTTGGTTTGGTTTGCGTTGGTTTTTTTTATTTTTTTTATTTTTTTGAGACGGAGTCTTGCTCTGTAGCCAGGGTGGAGTGCAGTGGCGCGATCTTGGCTCACTGCAACCTCTGACTCCTAGGTTCAAATAATTCTGCCTCAGCCTCCCAAGTAGCTGAGACTACAGGTGCGCACCACCACACCCAGCTAATTTTTGTGTTTTTAGTAGAGATGGGGTTTCACCTTGTTGGCCAGGATGGTCTTGATCTCTTGACCTCATGATCCGCCTGCCTTGGCCTCCCAAAGTGCTGGGATTACAGGTGTGAACCACCGTGCCTGGCCAATTCTATTGGTCTTATAGATCAACCATGGCACAGTGGGAACAGATGACGGCACAAGGTCTGAATATCGGGAGAGAGGGATCGTTGAGGTCTGTCTTGGAGGCTGGCTCCCACTCTGCTCTCTATCCCCCAAAAATCCACAGTCCTCCCACATGTAAGTACATTCACCCCCTCCCAAGGAACAAGACAGTCCCATCAGCTCACAGCATCAGCTGAAGAGTTCATCTTATCTATGTTAGGTCCAGGGGCGGATGACGACCCTAGGGTTCTCAGGTACAGCTCTAAGACAGTTCTTCCTGATCTGCAAGGCTGAGAACTAGACAAGTTATCACCCTCCAAACACCCAGCATGCAATGGTGGGACAGTTACATGATGCCCAGATGCTCCTGTTCAGAAAGGCTGCAAATGAAAGGCACACACACTGCTGGTCCATAAGCAGTTCTGAAATTCAGCTGGGTAAGCACTGGAACCCAGTGATACTCCTGCCAGGAAATGACTTTCCAGACTGTTTGACTCTGCCCTGGGAGGACTTGATTTCATCTTAGGAGTCATACTTTTACATGAAAGGTGGTGTGGATTTACAGCAAACCATTTTTCTCACGTTGTTTCCTGCCTGTAGAATCTTAGAAATCTCAAGGCCTGTTTTTTTTTTACTTTGTCTCTTTCAGTTCAAGTTGACCAGCTTACTGCTGATGTAATTATTTTATTATTATTATTATTTTTTTTGAGACGGAGTCTTGCTGTCGCCCAGGCTGGAGTGCAGTGGCGTGATCTCGGCTCACTGCAGGCTCCGCCTCCCGGGGTTCATGCCATTCTCCTGCCTCAGCCTCCTGAGTAGCTGGGACTACAGGTGCCCGCCACCTCGCCCGGCTAATTTTTTGTATTTTTAGTAGAGACAGGGTTTCACCATGTTAGCCAGGATGGTCTCGATCTCCTCACCTCGTGATCTGCCCACCTCGACCTCCCAAAGTGCTGGGATTACAGGCGTGAGCCACCGTGCCTGGCCCGATGTAATTATTTTTTAAACTTTGTCTTCTATGAGTCGTATTGAGGCATCAACTTTGATTTTTCTTTTTTCTTTTAGAGACAAGGTCTTGTTCTGTTGCCCGGGCTGGAGTGCAGTGGCATGGTCTTGGCTCACTGCAGCTTCAATCTCTGGGCCCCAGCAAAACTCCCACCTTAGCTTCCCAAGCAGCTGGGACTACAGGCACATGCCATTGTGCCGGGCTAATTATTTTTTGCAGAAATGGGGTCTTACCATCTTGCCCATGCTGGTCTCAAACTCCTGCACTCAAGCAATCCTCCCACTTCGGCCTCACAAAGTGTTAGGATTACAGGCGTGAGCCACTGTGCCTGGCCCACCTTTGTCTTCTCCAGTTTTAACAAAGGATTTTATAGTTACACCCTCACTTTAATCTTTAAACCATATTTTCCTGAGTGTTCTGAATTTAATCTTTGCTCTGAAGTCACTTCTAAATGTTAGTGTAATCATTTGCCACCTGGAGAAGCTGTGCATCTTCTAAACCAGTGAGCCCTGGTTTCTTTTTTAACAGTTCTTTCTTTAGCTTATTTCATTCCTGTCTTATTTTATTAAAGAGGCAAGAAGAAACCAATGGCATTTTCACTCTAGTTGGAAACAGATTTAGCTAGATCACTCATTCATTAGCTAGCTGTATTTTCCACTTTCCACACAACTGTGGGTGACAGCGTTGCTGAACTTACTGCCTCTCACCAGGACTTCCCTTTCTCCAGCTCCCGGGAATACTCCCGGGTTCAAGTAATTCTCATGCCTCAGCCTCCGAAGTAGCTAGGACTACAGGAACCTGCCATCACACCCAGCTAATTTTTGTATTTTTAGTAGAGATTGGGTTTTGCCATGTTGGCCAGAGTGGTCTCGAACTCCTGGCCTCGGGTGATCTGTCTGCCTTGGCCTTCTGAAGTGCTGAGATTATAGGCATGAGCCACCATGCCTAAACAAAAAAAATATTTTTTAGAGATAGGGGTGTTGCTATG